>NC_000018.10:79359218-79660573 GCF_000001405.40 Homo sapiens
TGCCAACTTACTTTGTTGGTTTTTGTGGAGTATTTTTTGGTGTTTTTGAAGCTGTGACCTCTAATCCAGAGGTCTGTTTCTAGCTGTGTGGTAGAAGTTTCTCACGCCCATTGCACTCCGCTCTTGGTCTTGCAGGTATGCCACCATATACACCATGTTCCCAGTGTTCTCCTTAGTGCTGGACCAGGACGTGAAGCCAGAGATGGCGATGCTCTACCCGGAGCTGTACAAGGACCTCACCAAGGTACGGGCCTCAGGCAAGCTGTCTGCCTCACGACTAGCACCCACATCTAGCATTTTACACGAGTGAGAAACAGGCCAGTCAGGAGGCATTTCCAGGCATTTTGTGAAAAACGATTCTCTGTCCTTGAAGATGTTTTTTATGTCTCCTAATTGTTGTTGGCATTTTCTCTTTGAGTTAAACTTCAAAAGGGGAAAAACATCTCAGGGAAAAAAATTTCTCAAATGTTTGCAATAAAGCTCTAATATCATACATACAATTAGAATTGTAAAAGATATTCTAACCATTTGTGGAACTTTTGTGAAGTGAGCTCACCAAATGTCAGAGAAGATCTCACTGTGTAATTTCTGTAGAAAGGCTCCCCCGGACAGCGTCACTGCACCTGCTGCAGAAATAGCATTCCAAAGCTGGGGAACCCATGGGCTGCATGTTTCCTGTGTATTTCCAAGTTTGTCAGTAGTTGTGGATTTCAGAATTATCCCTGAAAAGTGATAACATGTGTCTGTCCCTAGGGTCCATAGACTATTTTTGCAGTGATGTCACCAAGAAAAAAATCCACCCCAGAAAACTTCAGTCACCTGAAACTCTGAGAAAGATGGATTTATTTGGCTTAAAACTGTGCTCTGTTAGGATTAAAGGAGGCTTTGAATTTATCATATTCTTTACGACAGCATATTTTATAGCATAGAACGTGTAAGGATACGGGGTAGAAGAGAGGCTCAGCTCTGCAGACACAAATCATGGTAACTCTGGTATTTTCCACAAAGCTAGCTGTTTTGAATCAACATTGAAAACAAAATCCACTAACCGCAATTAAATTTAGATTTACAATCGATAAATGACAGGTGTCTGAAATTATCAACTCAGATTTTTAAAGCAGTAGCTGTATGGTAAAGAAAGAATTAGATTAGGCATTAAAAAAGAAAGCTAATGACTACCTAGCAAACAGATTCTAGTCCAGCTAACCACTAATTAACCAACTAGATTCTTACCTAGCTAACCACAAACTGAGAAACTAGACTCCTGTCTGTCTAACTAGTAACTAACAAACGATACTCTATCTAATACAGCTAACCACTAACAAGCTAGACTCTTATCCAGCTAACCACTGACAAACTAGACTCTAGTCCAGCTATAACCACTCATTAGCCAGAGAGGTGCTGGGTAAGTCATGTTAACTTTTTGATTTCTTGATGTTATTGAAATGAAATAAAGACTTTAAAGTTTCTTGAAAAAAATAAAGAATTCTCATTAGTGTTATAATCAAGACAAATAAAGCTAGTTCACCAGTATCACATGAAATATAAATACCAAGCGTTATTATCATGGTGGCATCATCGTGACTACTGGGAAGCATCGTCCCAGGTCACACCTACTATAACTAGAAGCAAGACCGCTTAAGTATCTTAAACTGATGAAACCATTGTGATAAAGTACAGCAGAGTAAGGAGCAAAGATCCAAAAACTTCGGGAAGCTAGTGTGAATAATGATCATTTTAGTAGCATATGCATTTCCTCATTCCCAGAGACTCTAAAAATGTTTACCTAAATGCTGCCTTACAAACATACGGGAACAAGCTTTTCATGTACGAAGGTAAACCTCGATGCGCTACCCTCAACCCTAGGAAACCGGCACGCAAGCAGGGCAGAGGTCACCAGGGGTCTTGTAGCCCCAGCCGGTGCTCCCGGATCGCTGTGCTGGGAGAAACTTGTCATAGGACTGTCATGCCACAGCCATCTTGACCGGCTATTGGAGTGGGGCAGTAACACGTTTTTACTGTTTTCAAGGATTTAGATTGTACGCACCAGTCTCTTTCTTTGTGGATATCTAAATGGCTCTAGTAACAAGAGGTTCATAGGGCCACAGGTGTCTGACGGAGCAGCTAATTATCCGTAACTGTGGCCATGGAATCCGTAAGTTCTGTGTTACTGGTGCCGTTGAACCCTGTTCACTTCTGATTGTGTTGGATCTCATTAAGGGTATTAAATTTCCGTTTTCGTTAAGGTGAGCAACAATTTAGAATGTTTTAGTATCCTAAAGTCAGGTCACCATCCCTACATTTTTTTTTTTTTTTGGTCAAGAATGCAGTCACTCATTTTCTCTAAGCTTCTTTTCTTCAACATCTTATCTGCATTGTAACTTTTTTTTAAATCTACTACACTTCAAATTCTTTGAAAAGAAAATAGCACTAAAGTACTGAGCCACTAAAGTTAATTTAGTTATTTTTTCTTATTGAAGCTAAAGAACTATTTTGAAGCTTTCTGTTCCTTCTGAACAGTTCGCCAAGGTAGCACAGACTGCAGCACTCTGCGTTGTTGTCTGATGATCGGGGCAGCTGGAGACTGGATGTGCCAACGCAGTTTATCCACACCGGTCAGTGTCAGTGGACACCAAGTCCCCAGTCCGTCGGCTCAAGCTCCTGCGATGTAGGACAACATAGCCCTGCTCTCAACAAGTCTGTATTCTAGTCAGGATGAGAAAGCAGTGAATCAGTGGCATAGAGCAACAGCATAAAGGGCCGCGGCCTGCAGTGTGAGTAACAACAGCATAAAGGGCCGCGGACTGAAATGTGAGTGGCTGACCGGCGAGTGCCGGTCCAGTCAGTTCTGAGTCACATATCTCAGGTCACCGTAAATTTATAAAATACCTTCAGAGGCGAGCCAGGGAGGCAAGGCATGCATTCCCTGCACACAGGAGAAGACTCAATTGGAAAGAAAATCTCCTCTTTTTTATGTGTATTTGATAACCAGTCTTTATAATCTAAAAGTACAAATAAGGCACGCATTATAAATCTCACTTATTGTCCTAATGAGTTAGCCAACCTCAAGTATAAACATTTGTCCCCTGCTGTGTCTCGATGGCCTGAGCCACACATCGACACAGTATCTGTTAAGTAAGTATTTGATAAACAAATGAGGCAGTGAATGAATCAGTTAAACAAAGAGTCAGGATTTCCTTCGCTTTCCTAAAACTGTGTAGCTTTTATTCTTTACAGAAAATGGTATATTTGCAACACTATTTTGTTATTCTTTTGAAGCTCAAATTCTGCTTTGAATTATTAAACTTTACTCACGATGAGTTCAGGCACTTAATTTTCTGGATGCCAGTAAGACGGGAAACTGACCTACTCATCTCTCTCCTAACTCTGCACATGTCTTCATTCATTCTGAATGGTGTGTAACCGCTTAGGGAAGCTAGTTACTCCAAGATCCAGGCATCAGGACTAGTAAGGTGACCCTGGTTAAGTGAGCCAGCTCACGTGGTCCCAAAATATCTCAGACTGTGGCTGTGAATTTTGTTACCAATTCATAATCTTACATTACCAGCTAACTCCAGAGACATTTGATTTGTAGTTGTGCTAATTGTAAAGATATCAAGTAGGTAATATACAGTTCTTCATGAAATCTCTGGTGCCATTAGGTATTGAACCATTCGGACCCCTTCACTAATTTTTATTTTCTGTAGAATACTCTCAAATGGTTTTATCTTTTGAAATGTATATTTGTATACTTATATTCTTTTCAAAATAATAGTGAATAAGACAATAAAAGGAAATTTAAAACATTGAGATTAGGAAGGAGGAAATAAAAATATCTCTGTTTGTGGATGCTATAATTTTCTATGTAGAAAATTCCAAGGAATCCACACACATACAACCTCCTATACTTGTAAACTTCATAAAGTTTCAGGATACAAGGAATAATTTTTCAAAATCATTTTTGATTCTGTACACTAGCAATGAATAATTGGGGTTTGAAAAAATTTGTAAACATTTATAATAATACATTTAAGCATTTATAATACAAGAAAGTGAGACACTGAAGTGTACCTCTAACAAAATACACCCAAGATCTGTGTGCTGGAAACCAACAACATTGAGGAAAGAAACTGTAAAAGGCGTAAACAGATGTTCCTGGATTGAGAGACGTAAACAGATGTTCCTGGAATGGGAGGCATAAACAGATGTTCCTGGATCAAGAGGCATAAACAGATGTTCCTGGATTGAGAGACGTAAACAGATGTTCATGGATTGAGAGGCATAAACAGATGTTCATGGATTGAGAGGCGTAAACTGATGTTCCTGGATTGAGAGGCGTAAACCCATATTCCTGGATTGAGAGGCGTAAGCAGATGTTCATGGTTTGAGAGACGTAAACTGATGTTCCTGGATTGAGAGACATAAACAGATGTTCCTGGATTCGGAGGCATAAACAGATGTTCATGGATTGAGAGGCATAAACCCATATTCCTGGATTGAGAGGCGTAAGCAGATGTTCATGGTTTGAGAGACGTAAACAGATATTCCTGGATTGGGAGGCGTAAACAGATGATCCTGGAATGAGAGGCGTAAACAGATGTTCCTGGGTTGGGAGGCGTAAACAGATGTTCCTGGATTGAGCCTCAATTAGATGTTCATGGATTGAGAGCCTCAGTATTGCTTCACATTGACAAGCTCACTCTAGAATTTATATGGCAAGGCAAGGGAACTCGAATTGCCAAAATAATTTAGAAAATAACAGAGTTGGGCCGGGCGCGGTGGCTCACGCCTGTAATCCCAGCACTTTGGGAGGCCGAGACGGGCGGATCACGAGGTCAGGAGATCGAGACCATCCTGGCTAACACGGTGAAACACCGTCTCTACTAAAAATACAAAAATTAGCTGTGCATGGTGGCGCGCACCTGTAGTCCCAGCTACACGGGAGGCTGAGGCAGGAGAATGGCGTGAACCCGGGAGGCGGAGCTTGCAGTGAGTCGAGATCGCGCCACTGCACTCCAGCCTGGGCGACAGAGCGAAACTCCGTCTCAAAAAAAAAAAAAAAGAAAAGAAAAAAAAGAAAATAACAGAGTTGGAAAACACACTACCTGATTCCAAGACTTACTGTAAAACAGTAATCAGTTAGACAATGTGTTATTGTCAAAAGGATAGACAAAAAGATCGGTGGAACAGAAAAGAGAGCCCAGAAATACATCACATGTGTCAGATGATCTTTGGCAAACATGAGAGGAAATCAGAAGGAGAAGAGTTGTGTCTGCAGCTGTTGGGACAATTCGCCGCCCATGAGCAACAGACCCACAACCTCCACCTCACACTTCATGTGAAAATCCACCCAAAGTGGACCCTTGACCTATATGTAAAGCTATAAACCTTTCAGAAGAAAATACACACAAAATATGCATGACCTTGGGTTAAGCAAAGAGTTTTTAATCATGAGATCAAAATCATGATCCTTAAAGGAAAAAAATAATAAATTAGACTTTACCATAATTTAAAAGTTTTGGCCAGGTGCAGTGGCTTATCATGCCTGTAATACCATCACTTTGGGAGGCTGAAGCAGGAGGATAACTTGAGCCCAGAAGCTCAATACCAGTCTGGGCAATATAGTGAGACCGTGTCTCTACAAAACATAGAAAAAAATGAGCTGAGCATGGTGGTTGCTGTGTGCCTGTAGTCCCAGCTGCTCAGGGGGCTAAGGTGGAAGGATTGCTTGAGCTGAGGAGTTGGAGGCTGCAGTGAGCTGTGATTGAGCCACTGCACTCCAGCCTGGGTGACAGAGCGAGACCTTGTCTCAAAAAAAAAAAGTTTTTCTCTCTGAATGATACTGTTAATGAAAAAACAAGCCACAGCCTAGAAGGAAATATTTGCATGTCACACTTTTGATAAAGGAGTTGTTTCTATAGTATATAAGAAACCCCCAAAATTCAACAAGAGAACAACCCAGTTTTTAAAGTAGACAGAAGATATTAACAGACACCACCCCAGAGATAATCCACAGATGGCAAGGAAGCCTGTGAAGATGCTCAGTGCCATTTTCATCAGGGAACTGCAAGTTGAAGCCACCGTGAGATGCCGTGTACCCACCCGTGCTAGAACAGCCGAAATACCAGCAACGTGAAAGGCTGGGGAGGGTCCAGAGCAGCAGAGACTCCCCTTCACTGCTAGGGTGAAGGGAGAATGATACAGCCTCTTCGGAAGACAGTTTGGGCATTTCTTACAAAGGTAAACATGTATTTACCCCATGACCCAGTAGTCCTGTTCCTAGGTATTTCTCCAAGAGAAATGAAAACTTAGATTCATACTAAATCCTATATATGAATGTTCACAGCAGCACTGTCATAACTGCCAGAAGCTGGAAACAACCTTGTGCCCTTCAGCCAGTGGGCAGAAGGATGTCTCCGTGGACAGGGACAGCCCATGCGTGGATGGAAGGACATCTCCGTGGACGGGGACAGCTCCCGCGTGATGGAAGGACATCTCTGTGGACGGGGACAGCCCATGCGTGATGGAAGGACATCTCCGTGGACAGGGACAGTCCATGCGTGGATGGAGGACAACTCCGTGGACGGGGACAGCCCGTGTGTGATGGAAGGACATCTCCGTGGACGGGGACAGCTTGTGCGTGGATGGAAGGACATCTCCGTGGACGGGGACAGCCTGTGTGTGATGGAAGGACATCTCCGTGGACAGGGACAGCCTGTGTGTGATGGAAGGACATCCTAGTGGACATGGCCAGCCTGTGTGTCATGCCACCAGGCAGTGGGATTGTGCTTAGCAGTGAGGGGTTACTGCTGACTCACATGACATGATGGATCATACATTGTGCATTTTGCTGTGCAGCAGAAGCCAGACTTGAAAGCTGGTATTGATTCTTTTTACCGGACACCTGGGAGGTGCAGAACTGTAGGGAAGAGACCCGTCCGTGGTCGCTAAAGGTTTGAGTGTAGAGGGTGACCGGAGAGGCATCCCGAGGGGGTGTGGGTGTGGAAGCTGCTCTGTCTGGCGCGGTGGTGGCGGACACCTGACCGTGCCTCTCTCAGAGCCCGCTGGACGGCACCAGCATGGAGCTAAGGGAGGAGGAATGCAGACAGCGGCCCATGAACCGCAGAACCACACTGTGGGCTGGGAAGAAAGGAGCTCTTTTCAGTGGCCTTGGGAAAGGCGTTTGACTGTGGTTCACTGTAAGGCTGAAGACAAAAAGAACTGCAAACCGTGGGCTGCGTTTGGCATTTGCTTCTTACAGGAATCAATAAGCCCATGCATGGTAGCTAATGAGAAGCAGATTTCTCCCTGTTAGCGATGAAGTTAGAAATGAAGGGCTGGATTGAAGCCCAGATCAGTTTGGGCTTGTGGTTTCTGTGAGATAAATAAATAGATGAAGAAATAAACACGGACATGTGTGAGCATGACTTAGTAAACACACACAGTCCTAGGCCATACACCGAGTGGCTAGAATCAGGAACCAGGCGGTAGTGAGCAAGCTCAGTGTTGCAGATTATGCGGACGAGACCCTGTGCCGTCCCCCACCACGCAGAGCCCTAGAGAAGGGGTTAATTCCAGGGCTGAGGCAAGGGAAATACAAGATGAGCCTGAAACTTCTTGTGGAGCAAAAAAGTAAGGAACTGCTGAACAAGAATCAGTGAGGCTGGTGCGGGAGGCAGGTCTGACGGCGTCAGAGGCTGAGCCTCCCACGGGCTAGCACTGAACACCCTGCACAGCAACCTAGACAGCAGCATGACTAGATGATAACCAGAGAGCACACAGATACCTTCACCTCCACCGTGTGTACGCAGAGAAAGTGCCTCCTCAACCAGAGAGCACACATATCTTCACCTCCACCGTGTGTACGCAGAGAAAGTGCCTCCTCAACCAGAGAGCACACATATCTTCACCTCCACCGTGTGTACGCAGAGAAAGCGCCTCCTCAACCAGAGAGCACACAGATACCTTCACCTCCACCGTGTGTATGCAGAGAAAGTGCCTCCTCAACCAGAGAGCACACATATCTTCACCTCCACCGTGTGTACGCAGAGAAAGTGCCTCCTCAACCAGAGAGCACACATATCTTCACCTCCACCGTGTGTACGCAGAGAAAGTGCCTCCTCAACCAGAGAGCACACATATCTTCACCTGCACTGTGTGTACGCAGAGAAAGTGCCTCCTCAACCAGAGAGCACACATATCTTCACCTCCACCGTGTGTACGCAGAGAAAGTGCCTCCTCAACCAGAGAGCACACATATCTTCACCTGCACTGTGTGTACGCAGAGAAAGTGCCTCCTCAACCAGAGAGCACACAGATATCTTCACCTCCACCATGTGTACGCAGAGAAAGCGCCTCCTCAACCAGAGGATTCCAGTTATAAATGGTGAAGGAACCAGGGCAGTTGGAGGCCCCGCTGGGGCACCAAGGCAGCAGCCACTGTCACGAGGTCTTCCAAGGGAAGTGGAACTCCAGGGTCACAGTTCCCATCACCAGGGATGAGAGAGGCCACCACACCTCCTGCTGTGGAGCCCTGCAGGGGACACGTGTCTCCTCAACAAATCCTCCCCAGTAGTGTCATCAGTAGAAGACATCAGACAAGTCGAAATCAAGGGCATTCCAAAAAGACATGTCCGGAGCTTTGAGGAGCAGCCAGGTCATTAAGGACGGGGAGACAGAGGCGCTGGCCAGATCACAGAGCCCAGGAGACATCACGGCCAGAGCAGCGTGGGGTCCTGTGTGGGGCCCTGGGCAGGAAAAGCACATTTGAGAAAAACCAGGACCTCCACACCATTTCTCTGCCACGGTGCGTGTCTGTGTCTCCATGGAGTGTCGCCCTGGGTGGGCTGGAGGGCGCCATGGCCCCGGGTGAGCTGGACGGCGCCGTGGCCCCGGGTGAGCTGGAGGGCGCCATGGGGCTGTCTGCGCTGCTTCTGCAGCTTCCCTGCAAGTCTAAAGTGATTTCAAGGCAAAATGATTAGAAAACGGAGTCAGAGCCAAGAAAGTCTTCAATTTTCCTAGGATAGATGAACAGAATTGGGCATGGCGCCAGGTGCCTGTGGTCCCAGCTGCCCGGGCTGGAGAATCACTTGAGCCTGGAAGGTCGAGGCTGCGGTGAGCTGTGATCGCACCACTGCACCCCATCCCTCGGCAACAGATCAGGACCCTGTCTCTACAAAAACAGGACTGTGTTTGCAAAGCTGCAGTCTTATCCTTCAAAGTGTGGAGTTCAAAACCAGCCCATGTCTGCGCCTGGCCCTGGCCCAGTTGCGAGCACTCTGTGGCAGCAAGTCCACCTTTAGGTGCACACTCTCTGCTTGGTGGCTCTCATTTAACCTGTCCTGTAATATTTGAACTTTCTGTCCAGTAATATTTGAAGTTCATTTTATATTCTAAGAGATGTATTTAATGAAATTGAGCTTATCCATGTAAGAATGAAGGAATGAGACCCTGAAGAAATCAGTCACCGTAATTTCAGACCATTAATAGAAGAAATAAAAGTGACAGTGGAGTGAGTGTGGCAAGCAGAAGAGCTGTCGGGAACGTCACCTGCCCACCCCTTTGCTGTAGGACCCTACCACCAGCATACTCCGTCGTTGGCACCCTCGTCGTTGGCACGTCTCTACCCTCAGCAGAGCAGGCCAGGCACTGAACGGCAGGAAGCCCACACTTCCTCCCCAGCTTCCCTTCCTGCCAAGGCCAGAGACGCGTGCAGAGCCCCAGTTAATTGGGGCTTCTCTCCCCGGCGCCACCGTGAGCACCGTCCTTCCCTCTCTGTTTGGAGGGTTTGTTCTTGATATGCTTTGACTGCACTTTTTCTCCTCTTGCATCTGCCTATAGGATCTTTCTACTCCACACTCCCAAACTTCTCTCAAATAATTACAATTATGGGAACAGGCGAAATTTGTTGTTGTTGTTGTTCTAGTAAGAATCAGATTGGGAGGCCGAGGCGGGCGGGTCACGAGGTCAGGAGATCGAGACCATCCTGGCCAACACCGTAAAACCCCGTCTCTACTAAAAATACAAAAAAAATGAGCCGGGCGTGGTGGCTCACGCCTGTAATCCCAGCACTTTGGGAGGCCGAGGCGGGCGGGTCACGAGTCAGGAGATCGAGACCAGCCTGGCTCACACGGTGAAACCCCGTCTCTACTAAAATACAAAAAAATTAGCTGGGTGTGGTGGCGGGCGCCTGTAGTCCCAGCTACTCGGGAGGCTGAGGTAGGAGAATGGCGTGAACCCGGGAGGCGAAGCCTGCAGTGAGCCAAGGTCGCACCACTGCACTCCAGCCTGGGCGACAGAGCAAGAGTCCGTCTCAAAAAAAAAAAAAAAAAAAAAATCAGAGAACGTATACTGAGGAGGTAGGCTGGGAGAATAAATTATAATAGAGATAAAAGTGGTTACAGACTCAGGACAGGAGTCCTGGCATTTTGGAGTGGCTGGTCCCATGCCACGGTGCCGATCCTTGCAGAGGGACCATCTTTCACGCCACACGCGCATCAGCGTGCTCTGTGCCCCACAGCACTGAGTGCTTCCGTACGAATAACTGTACACATATGACTTTGAGGTTGGTTAATCTTTCCTTAAAATTTGCTTGATTTGGCCGGGCGCAGTGGCTCACGCTTGTAATCCCAGCACTTTGGGAGGCCGAAGCAGACAGATCACCTGAGGTCAGGAGTTCAAGACCATCCTGGCCAACATGGCAAAAGCCCATCTCTACTAAAAGTACAAAAATTAGCAGGGTGTGGTGGTGCACACTTGTAATCCCAGCTACTCGGGAGGCTGAGGCAGGAGAATCGCTTGAACCTGGGAGGCGGAGGTTGCAGTGAGCTGAGATCGTGCCACTGCACTCTAGCCTGGGCAACAGAGCAAGACTCCATCTCAAAAAAATGAAAATAAATTTTAAAAATTTGCTTGATTTTATTTTTTACAATTTTTGGTATGATAGAAATATACTTTCTGAATCCGTAATATTTAATGGTAAATATAACAGTAGCATTCAGTGAATATTTACTATGCTGCTGGCATTGTGCATATTTTATTTCATGGCTCATTTTATTTCATGCACGTGAGCCACATGCCACTATTACTTCTATTTCACAGAGGAGGGAACTGAGGCACAGAGATTAAGTCCTGAGCCCAAGAACGCAGAAGAAAGGCGTGTGCTAGGCAGGACTCCACTCCAGGCATTCCACACATACGGGGACATCAGTCAGAGTGACAGACATCTTCATCTCTTCCTAAACCAAATGAAGAGGTACCTGGCCCAGGAAGAGTGGCTTCTTCCATAACATGAAACCCATAGTGAATGAATTGCTTCTATGAGTAACGTGTCTGTACCATCAAATATAACAGGATTTTGTTCTCAGAGCTACAGTCTGGGAGCCATTAATAGGAGGTGTACGGATATTTTTCTCAAATTATCTATTTTGTTGATGTTTTTTGTACCCATTCTGTTGTGTTTGCTTTTATTAATCTATAATATCATCTGCTTCAATATGGAACACCCCACAGGTGCAGGTCTGAGGTGCTCCCTGTTGGCAGCTCCTAAAGAGAGGCAGCACAGACACCACTTCGTCTTCCACATAGACACCAATCATTGACCTACATGAATAAAACTGAATACATTTCAGCAAATCAGGCCACAGAATAAGCCTTTTCTTTCTTATGTCAAAATAATTAAATTTCCTTTTACAGTTTTTGAATAAAATGAGCCACATACTTAATTACAGATGAATTTCGTGACCAAAGACCAAACACCTACCATTACCCAGGGAGAGAAATGTCCTTGGGAAATACGTACCAAGAGAACTTATTTGGAGTATATAAATGGTTTAACTTCAAAGTTTTCTGCTTTTTAAAAATCAGTGGTGCTTGGCTGGGTGCGGTGGCTCACACCTGTAATCCCAGCACTTTGGGAGGCCGAGGTGGGCGGATCATGAGGTCAAGAGATCAAGACCATCCTGGCCAACATGGTGAAACCCCCTCTCTACTGAAAATGCAAAAATTATCTGGGCATGGTGGCAGGCGCCTATAGTCCCAGCTACTTGGGAGGCTGAGGCAGGAGAATTGCTTGAACCTGGGAGGCAGAAGTTGCAATGAGCCAAGATCGTGCCATTGCACTCCAGCCTGGTGAAAGAGCAAGACTCCGTCTTAAAAAAAAAAAAAAAAAAAAAAAAAAAAAAACAGTAGTGCTTCTTCGTCACAGTGAATTTGAATCTTCCTTTTCATATTCACGTGTGAGGGCTCAAGCTCCGTCAGCATCTTCACACACTGACTCTTGCAGCCTAGGAAAACACTTAACATATGTCACCACACTTGTCTTTTATAATTAAACTACAACTAGAATTATAATTCATAAATCTGCCACTGGTGGCCTCCTGCAGGAATATAGCCGCATTTCCAGCGTCCGTGCCTCTGTTCTGTGATGGCTCATGCCTGTGTCTAAAGGTCTTCAGCAGACTCAGGCAGGTGCAGGTTCAGACAGGCCCTGAGCACAGCCTGTCACCATCCTCCATCTTCCCTGCTGTCTTCTGTGTCCCCTGAGCTTCCGTGAGGGTTTGTCTTTCCTCTGTGGCTCTTTAAACCACTTCCTGTCCTTAGGAGAATCTCCCCCGTGGGTGGGGAAGCCCTAAATCAGGGCAGGACTTTGGGCTCTGATCAGCAGACTACACTTCTTAGCACCACCAGCCTCCAGCAAGAACCTGAGGAAATCACGGAACTTCTCGAGTCTCCTCGTCTGTAAATGGAAACGACGTCTGCTCTGTGTAACTGAGAAAATAGATGCGAAGGTGTCAAACAAAGGCCTCACATAAAGACAGGGCCTCTCAACACGTGTCACTTTCGACAGCTCTTTAGCACCAACAAGTCAGGGCGATTGTTAATGACTCAGCCTCTCTTCTTGGACTCTAAATTAATCTTCAGGGATGCAGTGGGACAAGCAACCCCGTGGGCCAGAGCTCCCCTGCCTCCTGCCCCCTCGTCCCCTGCCTCCTGCCCCCTCGTCCCCTGCCTCCTGCCCCCTCGTCCCCTGCCTCCTGCCCCCTCGTCACCTGCCTTCAACTTCGCAGAGTGAAGGGCCTGGCGCAAGGACCCATTCCATGGGGTTATGTATGTGACATGTTCTCCAGCGAGGGTTTAAGGGATAACTTTTTACTTCAGTTGAGATGTGCCATCCTTACTGAAGAACTGTTACGTTCTGTATCTTTTGATCTGAAAAAACCAAACAGTAAATATAGAAGTATTTGTTGACAAGAAATAAGGGAAAATGTTTTTATTGCCAAGAGCCTTTCCCCCTGGTTCACTGAAATGTTTGCTTGTATACATCACTCCTGGCTTAGTAGAGCCAACAAGACGGCAGGTCAAACAGAAGACAACATGAACGTCTAACCTCAGGCACCAGTGGACACGTGTGGGACCCAGGCAGCTTCTTCAGGATTCGGGTGTCAGGAAAAGGCGCCCGAAATGCTGGTAGACCAGGTGGCTGGGGTGGCATGGATGGGGCTTATGGACCTGGGTCTTTCAGAAGTGACCCATAGCTCACTCCTGGAAGGCGTGAGTCAAGCAGGTGGTTCTGCGCACTAACGACGCTCTTCCACTGTTTCCCTAGGGAAGATCCTTGTCCTTCAAAACCTTCCTCATCTGGGTTTTAATAAGTATTTACCAAGGTAAGACGAGATCCTTAGTTTACTGGACTAAAGATTTTTTTATTTTGGTCTTTTTGTTAGCAATATTGTTTTTACTTGCAGATTAAATTCCAACAGCTTAAAATGCCATCAGCAGTTAAATACTCCCTTCTGTTTATCTTGTAAATCAATATTCCAGCAACATGGGTCCTTTTTTTTTTTTAACTGATGCATGCCACCTAAAAACTGACTTAGTTTTTAATTAAATGTTAATCCAGAAAGATTTTAACAAGCACTTACCACATTGTATACCCTGCACAATGGCTTTCTTTCATAGAGTGATAAAAAGACTTTGAGAAATCTGAGTTATGTAAGGAGAAGCCATTAGCTGCCCTTTGTTTAGTGTTCAGATAAATGGGAGATTGTTGCAAGTATAACTAACAGATCAGATATATTAATTACATGCAACACATAATTATTTACACTAATTGAAGTAGAGGTGTGGCTTCGTATCCAGAGATTAAAAAGTTTGTCTGCCTCGATTTGCCATTTCTAACTGATGTAGCTAGGATCCCATCTTATTTTGTCCATAATCCAGAGTTTAAGTGACTTGTTCATCAGCATGAAGCATGGGCATGGCCATTATCCGCCTTTTTTTTTTTTTTTTTAGACAGAGTCTCGCTCTGTCACCCAGGCTGGAGTGCAGTGGTGTGGTCTCAGTTCACTGCAACCTCCGTCTCCTGGGTTCAAATGATTCTTCTGCCTCAGCCTCCCCAGTAGCTGGGATTACAGGTGCGTGCCACCACGCCTGGCTAATTTTTTGTATCTTTAGTAGAGATGGGGTTTCAGCATGTTGGCCAGGCTGGTCTGGAACTCACGACCTGGTGATCCACCCGCCTCAGCCTCCCAAAGTGCTGGGAAGACAGACATGAGCTGCTGCGCCTGGCCTATCCCCTATTTTTAAGGGTCTTGAGTGACGTTGCTGGTTCAAGGCTGTTTCCTCTAGCTGGCTTACACCCTGCTCGTGTGCATGGAAAAAGCTCCTGCTGTTTTTCAGGCGGCATCCTCATGTATGGGGCCCTGGTGCTCTTCGAGTCTGAGTTCGTCCACGTGGTGGCCATCTCCTTCACCGCACTGATCCTGACCGAGCTGCTGATGGTGGCGCTGACCGTCCGCACGTGGCACTGGCTGATGGTGGTGGCCGAGTTCCTCAGCTTAGGCTGCTACGTGTCCTCACTCGCTTTTCTCAATGAATATTTTGGTAAGTTGCCTTGGAATTGTTTTTTGAATCGTTCTCTATTCATGATTTTGAAGTATTTTCTTATTGTTGCTTCTGAATACATTGTGTTAAGTTGTGGATCATGGTAAAACCCATATCAGAAAGTGCCTGCTCTTACTGTCCCTGCACCACGGATGAAGGCGCTGAGCCCCGTCGGTCACTGGCTGGCCGGTCCCCTGACAGGAGGCGCTGAGCCCCGTCGGTCACTGGCTGGCCGGTCCCCTGACAGGAGGCGCTGAGCCCCGTCGGTCACTGGCTGGCCGGTCCCCTGACAGGAGGCGCTAAGCCCCGTCGGTCACTGGCTGGCCGGTCCCCTGACAGGAGGCGCTGAGCCCCGTCGGTCACTGGCTGGCCGGTCCCCTGACAGGAGGCGCTGAGCCCCGTCGGTCACTGGCTGGCCGGTCCCCTGACAGGAGGCGCTGAGCCCCGTCGGTCACTGGCTGGCTGGTCCCCTGACATGAGCAGCACAGCCACTCGGGAGCAGTTGGGACTCAGACCTGCGGGAGGTGAACACAGCCGCGTGTGCACTTGTCCTCGTCTCAGTGCCTGAGTGTCCATGCAGTGGTGAACCTGTACGTAGGAAAATGTGAAATGTTCCTGTTCTTACATAAAAGAACTCTCAGAAAATACCCGTGGCTCATAAGAAATGGTTATTTTCAAGTTATAATGTGCTAGTTATTTTTCTTTTGAAAATTGGCTCTTAGAATATTTTCCTGTAAGATCATGAATTAACACACTCAAGGACACGTGAACACACTCAGTGCCACAGTGAGCTCACAAAACGACAAAGACATGCATCACGGGCGTGGGCAGGACTCACCACGACTTTGAGCCTCAGCTTTTGCATCTGCAAACTGGAGACGGTATCACTTCCCATTAGGGGCGGGTCTGAAGATCAGTAGTAACACGCTTACATACATGTGAATGAATGTGCAGAGCTCCTTTCACACCTGCAGAACATGGCCAGCCCTCCAGCGCGTGCGCCTTCTGTGCTGAGCTCCTCTCAGACCTGGATAGGTCTCTGTCTCCTAGGGGAATGCCAAGGTGTGTGCTTCTCAGACACAGGAGCCTTTAGCTATTGGGTTTCAGTGATGTTTAAACAGTTGTATGGTATCAGGCAGGGAAATGAGATGTTAAAACCACATTGAAAACGCAGCTTGCACTGCCATTTTATTGCTTTTTAATGTATTTCTTATTCTTTTGCTAACCCCTTGAAATATCCTGGTATCTCCTTTAATCTGTCCTTTATTTTCTTTATTACTGTTTTGGAACAGGTATAGGCAGAGTGTCTTTTGGAGCTTTCTTAGGTAGGTAAAGTTATCATTTCTTTCAAAAGTGTAGAAATTTAGCCAAACAATATTGATAAAGATACTTAACTAATAAGAAAAACAAACCTTCCTCTAATTCAGTGTTCCTCAGGAACTCTCTGATGTCACGTAAACTGGTGGCCATGTGCTTGCTCGGCTAGTCATGGGCTGAGTGCTGTTGGCTTGCCTGTTCAGGGGCTTGGTGGCCCTGAGTGAGGGGAAGGGGCCGGGCATCCTGCCATCTGCTGAGGATTGCATGAGCCCCTAAAACATATTTGCCTTTTCAGTTGTAGGGGCTGAGCTGCTGGAAAACACTTCCAGGGTCTTCAGAAAATGAGTACACACAAACTTAGGAATTCCCCTTCATACAGAGATCCAGCGCTTCCCTGTGTCATTTATTTTACAAAGGCCTCTAACTCTGCTCCATAGATCTTTTTATCCCATCCGGCAACAGTCTAAAGGGATTTCCACTATATGTAGATTCGAAGTATGTAAATCTCCAGTTTCTCATCTGCCTCTTTTCATGCGGAATTCAAGTAGCTAGTCATTAGCAGTACAGCTTGGTCCTGGTGAGTAGATGGTTCTTCTGTGGAGATGCTGGGAGGGTGACAGGCGAGAACATTCTCTGGGTGGGCCGGGCTCAGAGCCTCTAAGAGCAGACCGGTCTGAGTATTTGTGTTGCAGATGGAACTGCCAGCTGCCCTCTGTTGCCCCCAGCCCCTCATAAAGTCAGCTCTACCTTAGAAACACACACACACACACACACACACACACACACACACACACACAAAACAAAACAAAAAAATGGCTAGCCTAGATCGTCCAAACAAATCCCACAGGTTAGGTGAGCTGGTGTCTCTTCCCTAAGCACCACAACTAGTACTTCAGTGCCTTCACAAATTCTGCCACAGAGTGTTGTCCACCCATTCAGTGGTGTTTGGTGACATTAGTCATCTGCAACCATTTTTTTTTTTTTTTTTGAGACGAAGTCTCACTCTTGTTACCCAGGCTGAAGTGCAGTGGCACAATCTTGGCTCACTGCAACCTCTGCCTCCTGAGTTCAAGTGATTCTCCTGCCTCAGCCTCCTGAGTAGCTGGGATTACAGGTGCCTGCCACCACACCAGGATAATTTTTGTATTTTTAGTAGAGACAAGGTTTCCCCATGTTGGCCAGGCTGGTCTCAAACTCCTGACCTCAGGTGATCCACCCACCTCAGCCTCGCAAAGTGCTGGGATTACAGGCGTGAGCCACCATGGCCGGCCTACAACCTTTTTTTTTTTTTTTTTGAGATGGAGTCTCACTCTGTCCCCAGGCTGGAGTGCAGTGGCGTGATCTGAGCTCACTGCACCCTCCACCTCCCGGGTTCAAGCAATTCTCCTGTCTCCACCTCCCCGGTAGCTGGGATTACAGGTGTCCACCACCACGCCCGGCTAATGTTTTGTTGTCTTTTTTGTAGAGATGAGGTTTTCCTATGTTGGCCAGGATGGTCTCGAACTCCTGACTTCAAGTGATCCGTCTGCCTTGGCCTCCCAAAAGTGCTGGGATTATAGGCATGAGCCACTGCGCCCGGCCTGCAATCTATAATGCTTTGGTTTTGTTTTTTCCATTAAAAGAAGAATGAATTATGCCCGGTATGCAGGTCAAACAATTCTGCAGTCAAGAAAACCTGAGATTTGGAGCTGGGCCCCTGTAAATGCACAGTGATGTTTCCGTGGCAAGCTTAGACCGTCTGGTGGCCTGGCCAGGTCTGTGGCTGTGGCCATGAGGGCCCAGGACTTCTTGGTCAGCTCTTACCTTTTTCTCTGTTTCCTGCCAACAGATGTTGCCTTTATCACCACCGTGACCTTCCTGTGGAAAGTGTCGGCGATCACCGTGGTCAGCTGCCTCCCGCTGTATGTCCTCAAGTACCTGAGGCGCAAGCTCTCTCCTCCCAGCTACTGCAAGCTGGCCTCCTAAGGGGCTGTGCACCCCCAGCGGGCTGGCCCCAGCACCTTCTGCCCTTCCCAGCACCTTGTGCCCTTGCCAGTGAACGCAGGGTTTGCCATTGCTACCAAGCAAGCACCACAAGAAAGGGAGGGTACGCCAGGCGAGCCCAGGGCACAGATGCTGAGACAGCCTCTCCTTCTCAGTGCAGGGACGTCACCCCTGCCAGGCAAGCCCAGGGCACAGATGCCAGGATGGCTTCTCCCTCTCAGTGCGAGGCTTCACCCCTGCCAGGCAAGCCCAGGGCATAGATGCTGAGACAGCCTCTCCCTCTCAGTGCAGGGACGTCACCCCTGCCAGGCAAGCCCAGGGCACAGAGGCCGGGACGGCCTCTCCCTCTCAGTGTGAGGCTTCACCCATGCTAGGCAAGCCCAGGGCACAGATGCCGGGATGGCCCCTCCCTCTCAGTGCGGGAACGTCACCCCTGCCAGGCAAGCCCAGGGCACAGATGCTGCGATGGCCTCTTCCTCTTAAGTGTGGGGCCTCACCCCTGCTTTTCTTTCTTTTTTTGTATTGTCAAAATTGTATTTCCATATTGAAGCAGCTTGAGTTTCTACTGAAAATGAGCCCGAATTATTTCACTATTACTGTAAAGGGTTCATCTTACTCTGGCATTCTGAGAATTAGACTGAAAGTTTAATTTCTGCAGTTCCCTCATATTCAGATTCTTTCTTTGATGTTATAACACAAAGTCATTCCTACTCAAATGTAATAAAATTGAGGCTCCACGGAGGCCCGTGTCCACATCAGCTGCAGCTCCCACTCAGACAGACGGCCTGCCCCACAGCCTGCCCTTTGCTGAAGATACCCTCGCTTTATACTTGCATTTCGCTTTTCAGTAAAAACAGTCAAGTTACTGAGTTCTCACATAAAGAGCTCTTCTCACACACTCTAAAGGCAAGTTGCGTAAACAGTGGCGTTTCCGAACGCAATTCCATTGCGGCCACCAATGTAAATCATTGCCCAGAGACTTTGCTGCTAGCATGCGTGTCCTTCCCATCCTTTTTCTATTTGCAAAATCACACTCGAACACCATTTCTATATATAGAGATCAGCTGTCCTGTAAAACTCAAATCCCCTAAGATGGCCCACTTGCCTGGTCATGGGTTTCCTATTTTATTTGGCTGGAAACAGGCACCGATTGAGGTGGATGAAAGCCTGTGCGGCTGCCCCGCTGCATTCATGGTGTCGCCCAACCAGACCCCTCGCTTCTGGGAAGCTGGGAAGGTCTTTGGGGCCAGGAGTTCGTTTTCTCAGTTGTGTCCTGTGCCTGGGGTGTTCCTCGAAACCGGTGTGTTGTGCCGTCGTCTGCAGCCATGCCTGTTCTTGGAGGCCTCAGCAGAAGTTGGTCAAACGCCAGGCCTCTTGTCTCAAAGGAGAGTTTCTCCGTATTTTCCACGCAGGCGGCAGCCTCCGCCAGGAGTTTCACCTGTTCATTTTCTTCCGCGTCGTTTCCCATCAGGGTGGGCCCCGTCACCTGAAATGCTGGCGGAGCTGTGTGCGTGGGGTTCCGAAGGCGTTTCACCAACCAGCGGAGGGACTGCCCAGCACCCACCCGCCCTCCCCCGCAGCTTTTCAGAGGAGAAAATAGGCACAGAGAGCAATCAAGCTGCCTTTCTTCCCGATACCGCATCAGCGCCTGTTGAATGGAATTCCTCTGCCGTCATCTGTCGGCGCTGGAGCATCCTGAGTTTCCGGACGGGCCCGGCCCTGCGAGGGCGCGATTTCCTGCGCTCCCACAAGGTGTCGCTGGCGTCCGCTCGGTGATGTGGGCGCGTCTGGTCGCTGCCGGAGGCTGCCTGGGAGTTTCCCTTCTGTGCCCCGAGTTGGTGTCTCCTGGAAGTCACGTCCTGGCTGGGGCTGACTTGGATTTCACCTGTCTTTTCGCTTCTGCCGCAGCAGTTTGCGTTAGGGGCATTGGGACGGTAGAAATCTTAAGTCCACAGCCAGCAGCTCAGGAGATGGGGTCACACACTCAGGCCTCGGGGGTGGAGGCCAAGGGCAAATCAGAGGCTGCTCCCCCGTGCACCTTTAAAAGTAAACCACCCACCTGTGAAACTGACTAATAGAATAATAACATTGTCGATAACCTCAGAAAAGCTGAACCCCTGAGCCTTTGGGAATAACACTGCAGTACAGCTTTCAGATACAGAAACGACCAGCCTTCGATCAGTTGGATCCTGATTGGGAGACAGTTGAAGATTTGTCTCAAGAAATCGAGATGTATTAAGGGCAGGTAGAGACTGGAGGAGGAAGGGGTCTTTTCCTCCGTAAACGAAAATCACCCCCTGCGGGGGCTGCTGCTGTGAGGGTTAAATGAGATGCACAGGGCGTTCCCAGCAGACGACGGGCATGCAGCAAGGCAATCAGAACGGGGTCTGTGACACGGATTTTCTGCTAAAGAAAATAATAGCCCACTAAAGGGTCATTAGATCGGCATTAGATCTAGTTCCAGCTCTAGTTCAGGAGCCAGCTCGGGTCAGGCGAGGGGTGGAGAGGCTGTGTTTCCACCTGCTTGCGGCGTAACCTCATCGCTTTTTAGGTTCTGGACCTGTGTCAGCCCTAGAAATTCTGAGCCGGCCGTACAGCCCCAGAGGCCTTCAGGAGGGCGCCCAGCCTGGGGAGAGCATTCTGCATGTGTGGAGTCGGCGGTGCTGCATGAGCAGGAGCCCATTCCTCGCTTCTGCGTGTCATGGGCAGCGTCCAGTGCCGCGCTGGCCCCGTGTTTCTAGGTTTACATGTAGAGGCGTGACCCTCACGGTCCTGTCCGCGGCCCGGAATAGCTGGTCACAGGAAGGTGCGTGCTGCGGAAGAACCAGCAGGGCCCGCAGCCTCGGGAGACTCCTTGGAAAGGGGAGGTTGAAGCCGAGACCGGGAAGATACAAGCAAAGCCTGTCATCAGAGCAGCTCATGCTCAGACCCGAGACTGGGGCCTGGTGCTCTGGGGTGATGAGAGCAGAGTGCCAGCCGCTCAGCAGGGGCGGCAGGCAGGCGAGGATTCGCTACTGCTTTCCATAGTCTCATCCGATTCCAGTTCAGTGACGGCCAGGCCTTGAGGGCCGCACTGCGTTCCTGGAGCCCATAAGTCTGTACCCCCGATGGCCACCACCAGTGCCTTCCTCTCCTGTGAGGGCCCAGCAGACAAACTGGTAGCAAGACCCCGACAGTGGACCAAACAAGCTGGCCTTACCTCCCTTCTGTGATGGTCATGGGCAGGCCCAGATGCACCCTCCCTAGGGTCGGGGACTCCGCTGGGGTCAGCACCTCCAAGGGCCCCCCCGGCACAGCTGAGCAAACCCCTTGGTCCCACTCAGCAGCAGCACCCCCAGCCCCCCAGTCCACTGCACAGGGCCAGACTCGGCCTGTGGGCACCGCCCTCAGGCCTGTGTGTCTCTTTACAAAGATGCCTTATCCTGGAGACTTCCAGGTTAGTTGCAGAAATCATGCAGAAACCACGGAGCTCACACAGCAAACTGTCCCCCACCCACCCCGCTTCCCCAGCACATATGTCCTGGGCCACAGAGGGGACGCCAGGCCCCCCTTGCTGGGCTGCAGGTCCTGCCACTGCAGATGGGTGTCATTTCAGGCGGTTCCAGAAGGGGGAGCCAGAAGCCACGAAATGGCACCTGCGAGGCCACCAGGGTGGACATCCCAGCTCTGGCTCGGATTTTGGGGGTTAGAGAAGTGGATGGCTTGGGGATTCCTCTGAATATGGTGTCCTGTTGAGCACCAACAAGCAATCCCTGAAACGGCGTCCCCAGGAAGGCCAGTTTGCTCTAGCTGAAGAGTTTCCAACCGTCCCACGAGCACTTGTACAGAGGAGGCATTACTTGTGTCTGGATGGGAATTGTGTCCCCCGCAGAGGGCTGCAGGGCAGCCTGAACTCCCAGCGCCCATCCCAGGTGCCAGTAGGCCCCTAGGGTGGGCCTTGGGACCACGGCCAAGCAGAAGCCCAGGAGGAAGGGGGTCCTCCTGCCAGTTCTGCCGAGTCCTAAATGCTTACTGCTAATGACAGGATTTTCCAAAATGGATTGTCCTGCACCTGTGGGCCTAGAAGGGAATCCAAAAATCCTCCAGCCCCACCTCTACCTGGGTCCTGAGAGTTCTGGGACCAGAAGTCTCCAGGCGCTGAGCTCGTCGGCGCTGGGGGTGGACGTCGCCCTGGCTGTGACCCAAGATGCGAACAGAAGTGTTGGGGTCCGGATCTAGAAAGATGGGTTAGCACAGACATCGTTTGGATTCTAACAGACCATGTCCTGGAAAAGACACAACGTGGCCTTTGGAATATTCGCCCCTCGTTAAGGAAGAGAGGGAGGCCCTGAGATCAGGCGTCGCTGCAAGTCAGAAATCTGGATTCTTAGGTGAAGTCTCCGTTTTAAAATTGGGCTCCCAGCACTTGTTGGTGTCATTGGGTTGCCTGGGATACTGTGTGGGACAGCTGAGGGGCACCGTCTGCCGTGGCCAGTTCCCCCGTCACCGCAAAGCCCAGCAGCAGTCAGCCTCAGACCTTCTTCCTGTCCTGAGAGGCCCTCTCACAGCTTGCCTCAGTTTCTCCCTGGGATCAAACACGGCTGTGTTTGAAGGCGGGAAGCCAGCAGGGCTCTTGCCCTGGAGTAATGGGATGTCATGATTCTCACTGATTTCCTTGAGGAGACCTTTCCTCAGAGGCTGCGTTGCCAGCCCCGTGCAGAGCAACCCGCGGCCCTGTAGACCCTGTTCCTTCCTTGGGGCATCCTGCTGCGGTGAGGCCTGGCAGGATGACTCCTGACCTCCCCCATGGGCCCAGGAAGAGATGAGCAAAACGAGGGCAGTCCCGAGTGTGCCCCTCCTCTCCCACCTGCAGCTGACCCGGGCCAGGCTGTGCAGGAGAGCTCGGGCGAGGAGAAGGAGCTGCACCACCAGCTTCCATTGCAGGCGCCCTCTGCCCTCAGGGACACTTTTAATTGTCTGCATTTCGGTTTGTCTGTACTGGGTCCAGTTGTAGTCCCTCAGAAGTTGTAAACCTAAAATTCACTGTCTGTAGGTGCTGGGGAGAAAATGCTGCCCATTCTAAATGAAGGTTTGTTCCTGTGCCCACACTGTACGTCCAGCACGATCACAGGAAGCACTCCGCCAGAGGAGGAGAGTCTACGAGAGCTCCCAAGTTCTCCCCAAAATAGCTCGGGCGTCCATGCACTACCTCTGGGCTCTGGGACTGCCCCCTTCACTTCCATAGGCAATGGGGAGCCCCATGCAGACAGTGTGCGTTAACCGGGGTCCTGGGCCACATGTTGATGCTGACTCCCAGGCACAGATGCTCGTGTGGACCCTGCAGGGCCGGTGGTCAGGGGCTGTGAGTGCCCAGTCCAGGATGCGCCAGGCTTCCGGGCCACCTCACCCTGCTCCTCTCCTGCTGACCCGCCAGGATGCACCAGGCTCCCCGGCCACCCCGCCCTGCTCCTGTCCACCCTTCTTCTGTCCCACTGCCCTGTGTCCTCTTGACCTGAGCCTCGGCTTGTCCAGCTGGGGCCGTCCAGGTGGGAGTGACTGTCTATGACGAGAGAACGAGAGAGAACCGGGTCCACAGGACAGGAGCAGGGTGCCAGTACGGGGACGTCACAGCTACGGTCCCCTCACCAGGGGCACTGGCTGTTTCTAGGAACCACCTGGACTGATGCCAGCCACGGCCCCTGCGAAAATTCTTGCAGTAAGAGGAGAGCAGGGTGGGCCGGGAGAGAATCAGGCCCTGGGCTGCGCCGTCATCGCTCAGCTCTCAGCTCTCAGTGACCTGAGGACCGGGAGTCCAGACCCATCGTGGGGACTGTGCAGGGGGCCCAGCCGGGGCAGGGGGTGTGCAGGGGGCAACTGTGCCAGGGAACCAGCAGAGACATGGCTAACAGTACAGCCTGGCTAAGAACCATGGGGTTGTGCACTTAGGGAACCGCAGCAGCCCTGACACTGACTCATGGGGCCGGTTGAGCAGGGAGGTGCCGGCAACAGGTGAGCTGTGGGGCCTGGGGACCAAAGCCAGCCTCCCTGGCTGTGCGGGCTGGGAGACCTTGCAGGGCTGGGGCACAGGGAACCCGAAATGCGGAACCCTAAGCACGGTCTGTGTTGGAAAAGCCCATCCTGGGCTGGTCTGGGCATCCTGATCCTGGGTCATGCCCACCTGCACCCGTGGGGCTGCAGCCTCTCCTCTGGGGCCCGGCTCGGTTGCCTCGGCTCTTCCAGGCCCTCCCCGGACCCTGCCCCAGTCCACAGGCCACCCGTGGGTTCTGAAACGCGCCCCTCAGTGTGGACTCAGGAAGACAGGCCATCCCCTGCAGCCCTTCCCAGAGCCTGCAGCTCCAGCCCCACACGAGTTCTCAGGAGCACTGCGCAGCAGCAGTGACAAGGAGGTGCCCGCCCCACTGCAGGTTGCCCAGAGCTCACGGCCACCCAGATCATGCACCGGGGGACCTGCAGGTGTGTTGCTCCCAGGTGTCCAGGCTGGCTGGTCACTCAGCTGCACACCTCTGCAGCCCCGTGACAGTCACACCGCCCAGAAGGGAACACCCCGACCTGCAGCCCCCTGGCAGGCCCACTCTCCAGGCCTAGGCCAGACCCATGGCAAAGATGGGGGCACCCTGTTCCCCTCTGCCCCAGCCTCCTGTGAGGACTGAAAACCTGAGAACACAGGAGTGGTGAGGGAGGTCCCTCAGCGGTGACCAGACACCACACCTGCCGTGGGGAGAGAGAGAGGGACAGAGACAGGAGAGAGATGGGGAGAGAGAGGGAGAGACAGGAGAGACACGGGGAGAGAGAGAGGAGGAGAGAGGGAGAGACGCACTCCTTGTCCCTGAGGCACCCTGGGGACCCCAGCGGGGTCACCTGCAGGGACCCCAGGCTCCATCCACCAAGAAGGGGCGTGTGGGAGAGCACCAGAAAGACCACAGCCCCCAGGAAGCTACACACACAGTCACCACGCCATTAGAGAGAACAGAAAGCAGAGAGCTGGAAGAGCTGCCTGCCCACCACCGGTGCTCACAGCAGCCAAAGGGGAAGGCCACTCGAGTGTCCGTGGACAGAGGAG
This sequence comes from Homo sapiens, assembly GCF_000001405.40. Lineage (NCBI taxonomy): Eukaryota > Metazoa > Chordata > Mammalia > Primates > Hominidae > Homo > Homo sapiens. The sequence continues at coordinate 79,384,462 of NC_000018.10, forward strand.
GGACCCACAGTGGGGCCCAACCCATCCACAGGGATGTGACTCAGCCTTAACAAGGAAGGAATTCAGACACGGGCCACACTGCAGATGTACCTGGAGGATGTCGTGCCGAGCTGAAGACGGCAGGCACAGGAGGACAAGCCCCATGCCAGTCCACTCACTGGAGGCCCCGGAGTTGTCAGATCCATGGAGACAGACAGCAGGTGGCGGCCAGGGCTGGGAGGGAGGAAAGTCCGTGTTTCACGGGCAGAGCTTCAGTTTGGGAAGATGAGAAAGCTCTGGAGATGGATGGTGGAGATGTTTGCACAACGTGAATGCACTTTACAAAATGGCTAAGATGGTAAATTTTATGTTATGGCTATTTTACCACAATTAAACCCCAAAGGGACTGTCCGAGCGGGACGGAGCCAGCCGAGCCTCAGGTGCAGGTGCTGGGCAGCTCTGCCAGGCACTGACCCGCAGCCCCACCCCCACCCTTGCTCCCGGCCTGCAGTGGCCACCTCGGTGTTGAGGGTTCATGTGCCCTCGCACTTTGGCAGATGCCACTTCCTGTCTCGCAGAAGAAGTAAGGCCCTGACCGGTTTATAAAGAGCACCCATCTTCTCCGGCACCAGACGGCCCCAGCCTGGCATCTCGATGAGTGAAGCGTAATGAGCCAGAATTGCAGGATTAAGCTTCACTTGAAACTCACTCCGGTTCAAAACTTAATGGAAAAAATGCCTGGCAAAACTTGTTTGGAGCTTTATTGAACCAAAACACTTTAGAAACCGTTGGGGAAGCTCAGTGAACCCAGGCTGTGGTCCAGCCCCACGCTTTGTCTAGGGCAGGTTCCGTTCCCTCAAGCAGGTGATGGGAATCCCGGACTGGAGCCTGAGGCTGAGCAGCCAGAGGCCACACCGCCAGGGCCAGGCCACACCGCCGGGGCCGGCCACACCGCCGGGGCCAGGCCACACCGCCGGGGCCAGGCCACACCGCCACGGCAGGCCACACCGCCGGGGCCTGCCTCATCGCCCCACAGTCTGGAATGCTCTGCACACGCATCAGAAGGAGAGTCGCTGAGCATCACAAAGGAAAATAGAAAGCGCAGCCTCACTGCCCAAGGCCGGGGCAGAGATGACTTGCCTTGTGTTACTGCCTAATTAAACAGATTTGGGTAAACAGATTTGGGTAAACCAAGTAGTTTAAAGAAAAATGTTGGAATATTGCCATTTGAAAAGTATTATTATTTTGCAAGAGGAAAACAATTGTGAGTTCACAGGGACAAACCCAAACTCTTGCCAGAAACTAAAAATGTGATTTATTTACCTCTCGACCAGCGTTAGCAAAAAGAGCAGGCCTGCAGGATCAGGACGCGGCTCTGGGCCCTCCTGCCTCAGCCCTCCGGCACTGTGAGAGGGGCACACACCCGGGGTGGGTGTGCTTGTCCTGCGAAGTGCAGAACAGAGAAGAGGCTCCGAAGCACAGAGCGCCTCTGCCCTGGGCTTTGCACACATTCCTGACTTCTTAAGACACAGCTGTGCAGGACCATTGCATCTCCGTGAAGCTGTCCTCATTGGCCTCAGGCTGACCCGGGCCCCTGGCACTCGAGGGCCAGGGAAGGGGTCATGTCTCCCTGAGACACACATGTGGCATCCTTTCCCCGCCCCCGTGCACACCAGTGGAGTGTCAGCTCAGCCCTGTTTGTGCTTTCTAAGAGAAATCGAGGTTTAAAGGGGACTTTTTTTTGCCTAGCGTGGTGTGTGAGGCCCAGATGGCTGCAGCAGCTGTGCCGGGCTTGCCCGGCCTCCTCACCGGGAGCTTCCCTCTGGCTAGAGTTGCTGTTTCATCTGCCTGTGTCCCTGCGGCCCCACCCCCATGGAGGAAGCGAGGACCCTGTTCAGCCATGGCCTTCCTGTGAATTAGGCCTCCTTCAGGTGCAAGTGACAGAATCCACATTAAACTCGATTGAGCAGAAAAGGGAAGTTGCTTCCTCACCAAGGTGAAGACCCCAGGGGAGGCTCTCAGGTCCCACTAGACTCAGGGGCTCAAGCAGGGCATGGAATCGGCCTCTGGAGTCCCTGTCTCCATGGCAGCCCCGGGGTCCACATCTTCCCCAGGAGGGCACTCTTCAGGCCCCGGCTTCAGAGGAAGAGAACGCCATTCCCTGCGGCTGTGGGGCAGCAGCAGGCACACCTCCCTGGCCTCGGGTGGGCTCTGCCCCTGCGTGGGCTATGGCGGGAGTGGGAACATTCCCGTGACCCCCCTGGAGTTTAGGCCAGGCAGTGGAGGTCCTCGAGCAAAGGTCATCCCACAGGGAGTGCTCTGTCCAGTAGGAGCATGGCGCCCATGTCAGGGCACTGGCCTGGAAGGGAGCGTCTTAGTGGAGGCTGTGGGTGCTGCCAGGCCACCTGAGAGGGGACATGCATTGTAGGAAAGGCCACAGCGCACTGTGACAGGTGTGGTATCCTGGAAGGAATGAAAAACACTGCCCGGCCAGGCGCGGTGGCTCATGCCTATAATCCCAGCACTTTGGGAGGCCGAGGCAGGTGGATCACGAGGTCAGGAGATCGAGACCAGTCTGACCAACATGGTGAAACCCCGTCTCTACTGAAAATACAACAATTAGCCAGGTGCGATGGTGGGCACCTGTAATCTCAGCTACTCGGGAGGCTGAGGCAGGAGAACTGCTTGAACCAGGAAGGCAGAGGTTGCAGTAGCCGAGACTGTGCCATTGCACTCCAACCTGGGCAACAGAGCGAGACTCCGTCTCAAAAAAAAAAAAAAAAGAAAAAAGAAAACCACTGCCCTTTGGGTTGGTTTCCTGGGGCTGCCATCACAAATGACCACAAAGTGGGTGGCTTGAATGGCAGAAACATGTCCTCAGTTCTGGAGGCCAGAAGGCACAGTCGAGGGTCAGCAAGGCCAAGTGCCCTCTGGAACCGGCCACGGAGGTCCCTTCCCTTCCTCTTCCAGCTCGTGGTAGCCCCAGGTGCTCCTTGGCTCGTGGAGCCATCATTCCAGTCTCTGCCTCTGTCGGCTCACCACATTCCCTTTGTCTGTCTTCTCCTCCTGTGAGGGCACCAGTCATCATTGGGGTCCCCTTAACTGACACCATCTTAACTAGTTACAACTGTAGAGATGTCACTTACCAAATTAGGTCTCATTCCCAGAGACCAGGGGACTTCAATGAATCGTTTTGGAGGAGGCAGTTCAATTCACAACAGCATTGTTCTGAAATAATGATTAAGCTGTCTTGAGCCATTAGCAGGTGCCTCTCATTGATCTACCCTGAGAGGTGAAGGCCGTTACTATTGGCTCCCGTAGGTGTACCGGGGACTGGAATCCAAACTCGGGCTGTGGGCAAGCGCCTTCTCACACGAGAGCTGACGTGCTCTGTGAACCCGTCCCCGGGAAACTGGTCAAGTTAAAAACCCCCAGCCATTGACAGTCTCTGGAAATGGTCCTAAGGACACGCAGCAAGTGAAGACACATCTATTGAAAAAGACCTGATTTTTTAAAAAACCATCTTTACTAGGAAAGGTGAATGTATTTGATATTTGAACCAAAGCCACCCCCTCCTCCCCTCCCCCTGCCACTCCACCAGCAGGTCTGCTGCAGCTGAGGACACAGGTGGGTGGGGGAGAGTGACTCTGGGAGGGCGGGATGTCGGTGTTTCTCATCCTGCCCCATCTGCCTGTTGCTGGGGCTGCTAGGTCCTGGGGAGTCTGGTGGAGGGGTGGGGGCTCCCTTCTTCCCGGTCCCCACACTCATGGGTGGGAGGCTGGGCCTTGGGTGTGGCTCACTGAGAAGACAGGGTGCAACTACCCTTGCCCCCGCTGACAGGGCAGTGATTCCAGGCCAGGGGAGGCCAGTGGGGTCTCAGGATGCTGCCCCCGTCAGCACTCAACTCCTGGAGGTGGAGGCGTCACTCACACTGAGGCTCGGCACTGTCCCCATCCCCAGCTCCAAAGCATTGGCTCAGAGATTTTGCCTGGAGTGAGAAGCAGTAAGTAAAAGAGATAGCTTCTAATCTCCTCCCAAAAGAAACGACTTCATTTTCAGCAGAACATGGGAGAAGGTGAAAGCTTAGGGTCCCCTCGAAAACATGGAGGTTGTCATCAATGGCATTTGGGACATTCATGGATTTAATGAAGATTTAGCCTAGATTTAGGAATGTGATAGCTGTGAGGGGCCTCCAGGGGTCAAAACAAATATCACACATGGACATCAGAAACTCTTGCTTCAAAGAAGGCACTATTTAATTGGAGTAGTTTGTAGAGTAATTTATGCCTCCAGATATTGTTAAAAACAATAGAGCAATCCAATGGCAGCCGTGGAATTTAACAGCTGGGTATGGTCAGGGAAAGAGAGGAAGAGATCTCTATCAATGTGGTCGGGGAAAGAGAGGAAGAGATCTCTATCAATGTGGTCGGGGAAAGAGAGGAAGAGATCGCTCTCAAAATCCTGCATTCCAGGGTGACTCTGGGCACAGGTAAGACTCCTCTCCCTAAGGAGCAAGCCAGAGGCATAACTCTACTGGTGGAGGGGGCAGTGTGTGGAATAGCTTCACTGCAGTCATCTCAGAAGTCACAAGACAAGTAAATAAGCAAATAACAAGCCCCACACAGGGGGACCAGTATCCAGAGCTGCTATAATACATTGTCTAAAATGCCCAGTTTCCAACAAAATAGGAGGCATGCAAAGAAACACAAGAGTATGACCCCCACATTTAAATTTTTTAAAAAGCAGACAACAGAAACTGCCTGGGGAATGACCAGATATTGGATTTAATGGGAAAAGGCCAAAATATCCCTTATATGCTCAGAGAACTAAAGTAAATCTTGATTAAAGGAAGCAGGACGACAATGTCACATCACGTAGAGACTGTTGATAGAATGTATAAAAAATAACCAGTGGAAATTCAGGAGTTGGAAGGCGCAGTCACTGAAGTGAACCATTCACTATTGGGGCTCAACAATCGATTTGAACTGGCAGAAGAAAGAAAGTGAATTTGAAGATACATCAGTAGAGAGTATGCAAGCCCCGAACAGAGAGCAGATAGAATGAAGGAGACCAAGGGGAGCCTCGGAGAGCTGAGGGGCACCAGGGACGCCCTCCAGGGCACCAGCCCACACAGGGGGTTCACTAGAAGGAAAGGAAAGAGGAAAAAAGGGATGCAAAAATATTAAAAGAAATAATGGTTGAAAATATCGCAGATTAGTTTAAAAAAATAACCTACAAAACCAGGAATCTCAATGAACTCCAACTGGGGCAAGCCTAGAGAGGCCCACAGACCAACACATTATGAGTAAAAATGCTGAAAGTCAATAATAAGGAGAAAATCTCAAAAGCCAAAATAATAAAATAAGGTATCACTTACAAGGGAACCCCAATAAGGCTAACAAGTGACTTCTAAGCGGCAACGATGTGAGCCTGAGGCAGTGGGATAACAGCCAAAGGAAAGGAGAGAGGAGGAGAGGGGAGGGGAAAGGAGGGGGAGGCAGAGGGAGGCAGGGAGGGAGGAAGGAAACCTATCAATCCCAAATCCTATGCGCAGCAGAGCTTTCTTTCAAGAATGAAGGTGAAATAAAGACTTTTTCCGACAAACTGAGAGTTTGTTGCCAGCTGACCCACCTTACAAAAAATACTAAAGGAAGTTCTTCAGGCAGTGAGCAAGAAACTTCAGACAGTAATTTGAAATCACATGAAAAAAACAGAGTGCCTCTTAAGGTAATTACGTAATTTCATAAGACAGTACGAATACATATTTTTCTCTTTTTATAACTGGTGTGAAAAGTGATTGTATAAAATAATGTATATAAAATATAATGTTGGGCCTATAACTTATAGCAATGTAATATATGTGTAGTGTATTGCTAATAACAATACAAAGAAAGGGAATGAGAACAAAGCTATATTGGACTAAAGAAATAACTACAGATGGTAAAATAATGGTTATCACAATGTATTCTTAGGTTTGTAACATTACTGTTTACAATGTAGAATGTATAAAAGCGGGAAGGGAATGGAGCTAGCTACATAGGGATAGTGTTTTTGTGTGTCACTGGAGTCGAAATGTATATGGTACATACTAGAGCAATCACTAAAACAGTAACAAAAAAAGTTTAAAAACTCAGTAGAAAATAATTCACTTAATGCAAAGAAGTCAATAAAGAAATAAATGAGGGGAAGACATAAGAAAAATAGAAAATGAAAAGTAAAGTGGAATAGAAATGAAAAGTAAAGTTCAATAATAACATTAAATGTGAGTGGATTTAACAACCAATCAGAAAGCAAAGGCTGTCAGACTGAATTAAGAAAACATGACCCAACTTTATGCCGTCTAGAGGAGACATACTTTCTACTCAAAGCTACACACATAGACTACAACGATGGGAAAAGACGACACACCAACAGCGACTTCAGGAAAGCTGGAGTGGCTGCTAATGTTAGACAAAATAGGCTTTTTAAAAAAGGTTTTATTAAAGAGGAATGTTTCGTAATGATAAAAGCACTAATCTGTGAGAAAGATACAACAATGATAAACATACGTGCAGCTAATAAGAGAGCTCCAAAATCTATGAAGCAAAAACTCACAGAATGAGGGGAGAAGCAGTTCTACAACAGAGAATGGGGACTTCGATACTCCACTTTCAATAATGGATACAACAACCAGGCAGATAACAAGGCAACAGAAGGCCTGAACAACAGTATAAACCAATTAGACCTACCAGATATCTATAGCTAGCACACTCCACCCAACGACAGCAGAATACACATTCTTCTCAAGCGCACAAGTAACATCCTCCAGGATGGGCCATGTTCTAGGCCATCAAACAAACTCAGGTGGTTTGAGGCCAGAGGCCTCTCTTTTAACCACCACACTAGGGCCTTCGGAGGAGGCAAGCAGAGAGTTGTCAAAGAGGCCCTCAGGACTGGGTGCAGTGGCTCATGACTGTAATCCCAGCACTTTAGAAGGCTGAGGCACAAGGATCTTTTGAGCTCAGGAGTTCAAGAAATGAGCACTTATCCACTGGGCGCGGTGGCTCACGCCAGTAATCCAGCACTTTGGGAGGCTTAGGCGGGCGGATCAAGAGGTCAGAAGCTCAAGACCAGCCTGACCAACATGGTGAAACCCCGTCTCTACTAAAAGTACAAAAATTAGCCGGGCGTGGTGGCGCACACCTGTAATCCCAGCTACTTGGGAGGCTGAGGCAGGAGAATCACTTGAACCCGGGAGGTGGAGGTTGCAGTGAGTGGAGATCACACCATTGCACCCCAGCCTGGGCAACAGAGCGAGACTCCGTCTCAAAAAAAAAAAAAAAAAAAAAGAAAGAAAGAAAAAGAAAAAAAAAGTGAGCATGTATTTTGCCAGAGTCTGGAGATTAGAATTAAATTAGCAAACCAGAATTATAGAAAAAGCTATTTACTTTTAAGTAAACAGCTGAGATTTTTTTTTTTAAGTCAGTGTGAATGAAGCTCACAGCCATGGTTGGAGCTGAGAAAGAAGGATTTCCCTTTAGTTATGCACCTGTGTCAGCACCTTCTGACTTTCCTTCTAAAGTCTGGGGTGTTCCTGAGGATCCGTAAGTTTGGGGTTCAGGGTTTCTACAGCATGCTGTTACTTGTGAAACATCTCTTTAACCATGTCCCAGAGTTGCCCAGGAGTTTAAGACCAGCCTGAGCAACATAGCAAGACCTCATCTCAACAACAACAAAAATTAGAAATAAATTAGCCAGGTGTGGTGACATGTGCCTGTAGTCCCAGCTACTCAGAAGGCTGAGGCATGAGGATCACTTGGGCCCAGGAAGTTGGGGCTGCAGGGAGCCCTGTTCATGCCGCTGCACTCCAGCCTGCAAGACAGAGCAGAAAAAAAGAATCAGGATCCTGGGCAGAGGGAGGAGAGGGGACCGGGGTCCAGCAAGCACTTGGGGATTGACTGAATGGCGTTGGGGAGAGATGACTCCAAAGTCCTGGAGTGGGTGAGAATGACTGCGAGTGGCTTTTAGGTGGGGAGGTTCCTGCCTGGCCACTCCGGGAGGGGACGTGGGGCTGAAGGGTATCAGGTGCCGTGCTGAGCAGTTTGGCCTTGATCCTAATGCCCTGGACACACGTCTAGGGTAGGAAAGTTGACTGATCCATTGGTGATCTGAGTTTTTAGACATGGTGGTAGTCCATGAGGTGGGTGTTCATGCTAAGAGTTTAGACAGGGAAACCTATGAAGCCCTTAGCAACCCTCCAGGGAAGGGGCGTGGTTAAAGAGATGTTTCATAAGTAACAGCATGGTATAGAAACTCTGAACCCCAAATGTATGGGTCCTCAGGAACACCCCAGACTTTAGAAGGAAAGTCAGAAGGTGCTGACACGGGTGTATAACTAAAGGGAAATCCTTCTTTCTCAGCTCCAACCATGGCTGTGAGGTTCATTCACACTGACTTAAAAAAAAAAATCTCAGTTTACTTAAAAGTAAATAGCTTTTTCTATAATTCTGGTTTGCTAATTTAATCCTAGTCTCCAGACCCTGGCTAAATAAATGCCCATTTCTCCAGATGGTCTCAAGAGTCTCTGGACATCGTGGGGGCCCTTCCCTGTTGGTTGGAAGGTGCCTCAGGAAGAAGGGGGTGGATTCTGAGTTGAGTCAAAACCTCAAAGACCCCTGATGGGAAAAGCTCTCAAGTGACCACCGCTGTGGGCCAGAATGCAAAACTGCAGGAACAGAACATTCGCAGGAACAGAACACAGTCGTATTAAGTGATTTTCCCGAGCAGGAAGTGGCATCTGGCCTGCGGTTCAGTAGGGGGAGGAAAGGGTGGGCGCACCTGCCCCTGGCTGGCGCACCTGCCAGGTAGCCCCACGCGGCACCGCGTGTGCCGAGCGCCCCTGAGGATGGAAAGCCCCACGCGGGGCAGGTGGCACCCACCCTCCGAAGACGGGACGGGATGGAGCGTTGAGCTTCGGGGCAGCTCCGGCCCGGCCCGCGCTGGAGACGCCCGCATCTGCCAGGATGGCGTCTCATAGCCCTGGTGCTCACACATGACGCCAGGAAGCCCCAGCAACAGTGACCGCCCAGGCTCTAGAAAATATTGGACGGGGTGGATGAACACCCAAGTGCGCTCCAGGAGAAGGGATTTGGCACCCCAAGGGGCTTTTAAAACGGTAAGCTTCTAGGGGTGTCTTTGCCCCCAATAATCCATAGAAACAACAGTCATCTAAAAATAGTCTTGTTTTCTGTCCTAAGCTCCTTTTAACTTTGTTAGTCATCACCAATCCTAAAATAAAACCCGTGTAACGTCTCCCCTAGTAGCGGCTATAAACAAACCTACGAGGAGGCAGGAGGAAGAGGAAAGGGGCGCAGGGCGCTCGGGGAGCAGAGCCGGGGGCCCGCGGTGGCCGCAGAGGCCGGGCCGGGGCGCAGAGGCCGGGCGAGCTGGCCGCGCTCTGGGCCGCCGCCTCCGGAACTCCCTGCGCCTGGCGCGCGGCCACCGTGGTCCCGGCAACGGCATTAAACAGAGGGAAACAGACCCGGGATTCCGTCACCCGGGCGGGGGGATAAGGACGGCTTTGAGAGCAGACAGGAAAAGGGAGCTTTTCTGCATGGGGTGAAAAAATTATTTATTGAAGGAGGAGGAGGCGGCAGCGGAGGAAGGGGAGGGGCGGGAGGAGGAGGAAGAGCCGGCCGCCCCCGCCCCGGCCCCGGCTCCTCAGGAGCCAAGGGCAGCCTCGCCAGGTCGGTCCCGGGCTCGAGGACCGCGGCTGGGGTCGAGGGGCTCAGTCTCCCACGTGACCGGCTGGGCGCGCCCCGCCAGACCCGGCCTCGGGATTCCCTCCTCCCGGCGAGTCTCCGCCCGCCCCGTCCTGGAGGTGGGGAGAAGGAGGGCGGGGCGGGGGGGACGGAAACTCTCCCCGCCAAATCCTGGCCCCAGGCCTGGGGACACTCGCGGCGGGAAGATTTGGAGGGGAGGGGAGGGGGAGGGGCGTGGGGGCGCGGCCTCGCTGGAGTCCCCCTGACCCCCCGACCCCCGCCCACCGGCCTGGGCGTCCTCCCGCGGCCCCTCCTCCCCTCCCGGCGCCCGGTGCTCTGGGGCGCGTGCCACGCCTGGCTCGGCGCCGTAGGGGCCCCCGCAGGTAGAGACCCCTGGAAATGGCCTCGACGCCGCAGGAGCGAGGCGGCCACCACCCCGCTAATCCGGGCACGTCTCTCCAGGCCGAGGCCTGCGGTGGAAAAGCCGGGGTTCCATTTGTGCTGAGTCGGGGCGGCCGAATGGAGCCAGGCCTCGGGACGCGGGACGGACGGGCTCTGGCCGCGCACCTTCGCGGGCTCTGCAGCGCCCGACCGCCTCCCCCGGCAGGGAGGAGGCGCTTGTGGGGGGCACCCACGGGGCACAGTGATCCCTGGGGGTCTGCGGACCTCCTGGGCCCCGCAGCAGACACGAGTTTAGCCTTTGGGTTTAGTTTAAATCACATAAGGGTGTCGTGCAATCGATTTATGGTTTCTACACACCAGACACTTTAACCTCCAACCCCCCCCATCCAAAGCCAACAAGAAAATGCGGTGCCGTGTTGGCAGCTGAGCTGCGCCCGAAGAGACGCAGGGAGACGTAAGAGAGGAAAGTGTGAGTGGCCGGGGGGCCTCCCCCCGTCAGAAGTCGCGCAGTCGCGCCCATAAAACGCCCCCTCCGGGCGGCTAGGGCAGGTGAGCGCGTCCCCGGGCCTCCCCACGCCGGCCCCTGCCACAGGCCGTCTAGGTCGAGCAGATATTTACAGAATAAAAATGACAATAACTCGACGTCCCGGGACGGCCACGCAATCTGTTAGTAATTTAGCGGGATGGGAATTTCCTTTCTAGGGCCTGCCAGTGAAGCGCTTTTCCAAATTTCCACAGCGGGGGAAGCCTGCGATTTTACATAATGACTTCAGCATGCCGGGCTTTCTCGACACCCCTCCCCGGCCCCCGGCCCCCGCCCCCCGCCCCTTTTCCAGCAGGGCCGGGCTCCCTCCGGACACCCGCGTGGACTCAGGCGTCCCGTCTGGCCCGTTCGCCCCCGTTTCCCCCGCCAGCCCCAGCGCCCCCCTGCCCGGCCCCCGGATTCCCCGTTCCCGCCCCTACGCCCCCATCCCCTCCCCGTGCGCCCCTCCCCGTGCGCCCCCCTCCCCGTGCGCCCCCCCTCCCCGTGCGCCCCCCTCCCCGTGCGCCCCCCCTCCCCGGGCGCCCCCCTCCCCGGGCGCCCCCCCTCCCCGTGCGCCCCCCCCTCCCCGTGCGCCCCCCCTCCCCGTGCGCGCCCCGCCTCTTGCGCCCCTGCCCCCAGGCGAGCGGCTGCCGCGGCGCGGGGAGGGGCGGGCGCTCGGCGACTCGTCCCCGGGGCCCCGCGCGGGCCCGGGCAGCAGGGGCGTGATGTCACGGCAGGGAGGGGGCGCGGGAGCCGCCGGGCCGGCGGGGAGGCGGGGGAGGTGTTTTCCAGCTTTAAAAAGGCAGGAGGCAGAGCGCGGCCCTGCGTCAGAGCGAGACTCAGAGGCTCCGAACTCGCCGGCGGAGTCGCCGCGCCAGATCCCAGCAGCAGGGCGCGGGCACCGGGGCGCGGGCAGGGCTCGGAGCCACCGCGCAGGTCCTAGGGCCGCGGCCGGGCCCCGCCACGCGCGCACACGCCCCTCGATGACTTTCCTCCGGGGCGCGCGGCGCTGAGCCCGGGGCGAGGGCTGTCTTCCCGGAGACCCGACCCCGGCAGCGCGGGGCGGCCGCTTCTCCTGTGCCTCCGCCCGCCGCTCCACTCCCCGCCGCCGCCGCGCGGATGCCAAGCACCAGCTTTCCAGTCCCTTCCAAGTTTCCACTTGGCCCTGCGGCTGCGGTCTTCGGGAGAGGAGAAACTTTGGGGCCCGCGCCGCGCGCCGGCGGCACCATGAAGTCAGCGGAGGAAGGTAAGCCCCGCGCGGCCTCCGCCCCCGGACCCCTGCGCCCCCCACGGCCCGGGCCGCGCCCCCCGACCCCGCCCCCGTCGCCCGCACGGAGGGGTCCGGGCCAGAGAACGAGGTCGGCCGGGTCTGTGCGCCCAGGGAGGGGCGCGGCGCGGACCGGGAACGGCGTCCCCCAGCTCCCAGCAGCCCGGTTCCGAGCGCGCCTTCTGCCAATAGGTGTCTCCTCTGCCCCAGCGCTGAGGGCGCGAGGCGAGGCCGCCGCGGGTCCCGCCGAGGAAGCGGCTCGCAGGCCGGCGATTTGGGGACGGGCGAGGCTGGGCCGTCAGGACCACAGAGGGCACGTGGGAGGGAGGAAGGGAGGCTTCCTTGGGAGTGAAGGATGCCCCGTGTCTTCCTGAGCGAGGCAGAGCCACCCTCTGGCGCCAAGATCGCGGTTTGGGGGTTCTGCGCCCCCCACCCCCACCCCGAGCTCGTGGCGGCGTCTCCCTCGCGCCGCGCCCCTGAATTCCCCAGGGCCGAGCCCGTCACGCCGGCTCCTGGACCTGCAGGACCAAAAGATCCAAAGCGCGGCCGCAGCACAGCCCCGAATTTAAGCCATTTTGAAATCCTATAGGCAGGAGTTCCAGCCAGAGAAGATGTTTCAGGCAAGTTTGAAAAGGAACCGCCAAGTTTCGAGCTGCTTCTTTATAGTGAAAAAAAGATGGCACAGTGTGGGTCCCTGAAACCCGGTGTGGGGGGCGCTGAGACCCCCCTGCGGCGCATCTCACATTCCAGTCCCCCACCTTAGCCCGTCCCCGGCACACACCCCTGGCGATGCCGGGTGGGCTCCTGCAAGTGGCTTTGAAAATACCCTTGCAGAGGTGTGAGCATACGAGTTAGGGATTAGGGATTGCAATGCTAATGGAAATTGGAAGACGCTTTTCCAAATTCCTTACCAGCTCTGAAATATTTTATATAATTTATTTAAAGAGCGCCAGCACACCTGCCAACATATGTACTTCATAAGGGCAGACGTCCTTCCGAGCGCTGCCGCTTCCTGCGCGACCCTGATAACTGCGGGGCTTGCTTGAGAACCGGGCTCCCCCAGCTCTGGAAAACTCGCTGGTCTTAGCAGAGCTGAGCACAGGGCCGTGAGCTCCACGGAGGGGGGTCCGTGTGGTCGGTGCCCTGACGCTTCACGGGACGGGAGGTAGACACCACTTCATCCCAATGTTAGAAAATGTTGACATGTTTAAACCATGTCCCGTGTCAGTGTTTTACACAATGTGCTCTTGCTAGTAGCAGAGTTTAAAAAATTTTTTTTTGTTGGAGTTTCGGTTTTAAATCCTGGGACACTTACGCCGCAGTGTTCATTATCACTCCCTTTAGAAAGGCAGGTCTTTCCAAGTTCAGATCTCTGTACCTGAAGAGCCGGTGGCCGACCTGTAGTAAGGAGCCCCTTTCTTTTACGCAAGGAAAAAACACGACGGGGCAGTGGCTAGTTTTCGTGTTTCCTACTGAAGAAAATAAGCTCGAAAAGGTCCCTGCTGCAAGGCAGTGCGCCGGGCAGCGACGCCCGACCGACATGGGTGTATTTTATGAGGGCTGCAGAACTGGGCCAGCCGGAAAGTGTGATCTAGTCCTTGATACACACAGGCCGGCAGCATGGGGACACGCGTGGTTTCCACACCAGCCATCGCTGAGACCACCGGGAAGAACTCTGAGTCCTTCTGAGTAGGCCCCACGAGGCCATTCCTGGCCCATCTGAGGACCTGGGCGCCTCCCCTGCGTCCCTCGGGTTTCGGGACCATCTGGGTGGAAGCTCATTAGGCGTCGTGGTTCCTGAAGGCCCCGGGCTTGCTTCCTCATGGAGAACGCAGAGAAGTACAGGCCTGTAAGTAGCCACCCAGTCAGAAGTCGCTCCAGACACAATGCCCCACGGGCTGGGGCCAAACAAAGCTCACCCTGTTCTCTGCCACTTAACTTCACAGCGTTGTTTCCCAGCTCAGATTAGAAAATGGCAGGGCGCTGGCACCCCGCTTCATCACACCCAGCGGGGCTTCTGTCTCCGCAGACATCCCCAGCCTCTGGGAGGATGCGTCCAAGCTAAACATTTCCATGGAGACACCCAGTGTCTGTGGAACGGGCAGCTTTGAATCTGGACCAATAGCTCTGAACCATTTGCAGGAAGGAAGCCCAGCACTGGGGCGGGGGAAGGGGGGGCTCCTAGGAGCAGCAGGGGAGCCGCCCCACCGACCCCTTCTCTGGGATGGAGACCAGTGCAGTCCTAGGACAGCAGCAGTGAGCCTCCATCCCTGCAGGGCCCGCGGCCTGGGGCCACCAGCAGGCGGGACAGTTTAGCAAAAAGTTTTAGTCTAAACAGATGATAAGGGCTGTCATTTGTGTATAATTTTATGGTGGGGGTAAAAAGGTGGCTGGAGTTTTAAAAACAATGTACAGGCCGGGCGCCGCGGCTCACGCCTGTAATCCCAGCACTTTGGGAGGCCGAGGCAAGCGGATCACGAGGTCAAGAGATCGAGACCATCCTGGTCAACATGGTGAAACCCCGTCTCTACTAAAACTACAAAAATTAGCTGAGAGTGGTGGCGGGTGCCTGTAGTCCCAGCTACTCTGGAGGCTGAGGCAGGAGAATCGCTTGAACTCGGAAGGCGGAGGTTGCAGTGAGCAGAGATTGCACCACTGCACTCCAGCCTGGGTGACAGAGCGAGACTCCGTCTCAAACAAACAAAAACCTGTACAATGGAAAGAGAATGAAACGTTGTGGCTTCTCAACAGAAAACAGAACTTCCACTTGCCCAAGGTCGGCAAAAGCAGCAAAACTACAACAAAACAACGCTCCAACATCCATCCCAAAGTCAGAAGTATTATTAGAAACTAAATCAGGCCACACGGAACGATGGCTTATCACTGGAGAAAACCAGCCAGTGAAAGGGTCGCGGGAGAAGCCCGGGGACGACCCTGGGACTGGAGGGTTTCTCGCCTCTGGAAAAGGCAGTGCCCGCGGGGCAGGCCAGAGGGAGCGCTCCGAGGAGCTTTGGGGTTGCCAGCCTTGACACGCGCACCCCTCCGCCCGGGCCGGCTCCCCTCCGCCCTCAGACTCCCACCATCCTCCTACTATTCCACATGTCGGGTGTATATGGTGCGGAGAGCCCGGGGGAAGTTAGAACACGCGGCGGGAGAGGCAGGCCCAGGGCGGCCTCAGCTAAGCAGCCCGGCTTTCCGGATCCCCGCCGCGCACAGGCTCGGGCCGCCTAGGGTGGGACCCGAACTCGCCTTCCCGCCCCGCTCAAGGAGGTCATCTTTGGAGGTGCCCCTAGAAGGACCGGCGGGTTTCCCGCGGGGCGGGGGCGCGCAGGGCGGGTGTTTGGAGGCTGGGGACTCGCAGGAGAGGCCGGTGGGTGCCGGGCCTCCTGCAGGGGGTTGCAGGCCGAGGGGCGCGCCACGAACCCAGCGGGAATCCCTGCGCTTCCCGGCACCGTCGGGCTGAAATCGGGGTTCCTAGCGTTGGCGGCCTCGGGCTGGGACCTCCCCACTCCCGGGGCTCCGCAGGGCGCGCACGTGGCGCTCGGGGGTCACCGTTGCAGCCGCTTTCCCGAGGAGGCCCGGATTGAAAACTTCTTTAAAAAAAAAACTTAAAAAAAAAATTCCGTCGCCCTGGGCGCAGCCTTAGGTACCTGGTGCCGCTCGTGGGGTCCCGACGCCCCTACCCCCGGGTCCGGAGGAGCCTGCGCCGGGCCGGGACCCCCAGGGCACAAGAGGCCGGGGGACCCCTGCGGTCGCGCGCGCGCGAGGGGGCGGGGGCGGGGGGGACACGAGTTTATTTAAAAACTCGTGTCCGGGGAGTTTATTTAAAACTCGGAAGCCGGCGGCCGCGAGCCGGTTGTTTATGTAAACCCGGAAACGCCCCGGGGGGCGGGGGCGGGGCGGGGACGGGGGGAGGGGCGGGGGTCACGTTACGCGGAGGACGCGCGGGCAGCGCCGGGAGAACCGAACCCCTGGCGGCCGCGACCCCGGCTCCCGCCCCGGCCCCGGCCCGACCCGCCATGACGGGGCTGGAGGACCAGGAGTTCGACTTCGAGTTCCTCTTCGAGTTTAACCAGCGCGACGAGGGCGCCGCCGCGGCCGCCCCAGGTGGGTCAGTCCCGGAGGGCGCGGGGGGCGCGGGGCCAGGTCGGGGTTTGGGGGCGCCCAGGCCCCCTCCGCGTCCTCGTCGCTCCCCGGGGACCCCAGGAGTCCCCGGCGCGCCCGGGACCGAGGGGCTACGGCGGGGGACGCTGCAGTGCGGGGCGTCCTGGGCTCGGATGCGGTTCCTCCGAGCGCTCGCGGCGGGGTCCTGGGGGAAGAGCGCAGCCCGGACACGGGCGTGGACGAAGTGGTCCCGGACAGAGGGCTGGTGGCGCTGCCAGAGGCGGAGAAGCCCCAGCTCCCCCAGACACCCTCTCCCCGCCCCGCGTCCCGCCCTCCCGACCTCCCCGACCCCCCGACCCCCCCCCCACCCGCCCCCCGACCTCCGCCTCAGCCATCCTCCTCCCTCCCCCCAGCCACCCTCCCCCTGACCTCCCGCCCCTGCCGCCGCCTTCTGGCCCTTCCTCCCCACAGTCACCCTCCCTCCCCGCCGCCGTCTCCCCACGCCCCGCAGACCCCCCCAAGCCTCCAGCTTTCAAGTTTACCCGGAGCTACCATGACCCCAGCCTTTTCTTTCATTTTCTCTTCTCTGTGTCAGAAATAAGGGTTTCAGGTAAACAAACCACAAATAACTCCCCACTCCCGAAGAGCAGCGAGTGAGTGGGGTGGGCACCCCTGGGCCTGGGCCCCTCTCCCGCTGCCCGGGATCTCTTCTGTCCAGGTCACCCCAGGCTGGTCACCGTCCGCCCCTGTCTGTGCCCATTCTCAAGGCCTCGTGTCTGCCCTCCCCGCGCGGAGGTGAAGCCGGAGGAGCTTGGCAAGCAGGGACCTCCGCCGAGTCTGTAATGAGGGTCATATTTTCCGTATCGTTCACTACTCTCTTTTAAAAACTCCAACGTCTTGATCATTTTTTGAAAATAAGCGCTCCAACCAAACCTGTGCTGCCTGCGGTTCTCGACTCACCACTCCCCAAATGTCTTCCCTGCCTGGGCCTGGGTTCTAGGTCTTTGGGGTCAGTGGGAGCCAAGGCAGATGAGGGTGGGAGAGAGACCCGCCGGAGGCCCTTCCCACCCGGGCTGCCTGTGGCCCTGGCGCCGCCTTCCAGAGCTGGTTCCAGTCCTCCCCGGCTTGAGCCAGGACATTTCAGCAGAAGAGTTTTCTACCTGGGTGTGCCATGCGAGAGTGTCGCCCCACTCCCGACCTCTCTTTATGGGGTGAAAGTCGGTCCCATGAGAGTGTGGCCACCAGGGTGGCCCCTCTGGGATCTGTTGGGGTGGAGGCTCCCACACCCGTGCAGTCATCGGGGGTCGGGTGGGACCTCCCAGTACACCCCCGGTCGTTCACAGCGTGAATCACTGACTGTGGGCCTGCGACAGGCCCAGTGCTGCCAGAACCCAGGCCCTACACCCCAGTCAGAGGCCCAGGGGGCCTGCAGGACAGTGTACGGCCCTGGGCCCTCGGCCCTGGCTGAAGATTTCACTGCTTTGCCTCCTTGAAGAAGCACAGGGGGTAGTTATCCCCATGGAGCTGGGTCTCCCCGGCCTCCCAGGCCTCCAGGGTGGGCTGTGCCACACTGGGCACTGTGTCTGGCTTGGCACGTGGTCAGCGCACCCCCAGTGACAAGGGCCACTTCCGTGCCTCCGTGCACACGTGACTGTGCGCGACAGCAGCCTCGGGAAGGACACCGCCGGCGGCGGCATCCTCCTGTGACTGCACAGGTAACTCCAGGCTTATCCGGGAAGACGCACAGGAGGCCAGTCTCTGCCCCTCGAGGCCTAGTCTCACAAGGACGCCACAGTTTATACACCATTTTGAGGTGGGCGGGCTTCCTGCTGGCATCGGATATGGGGACCCTGGTGAACATGGGGTCTCTCCTGACCCAGAAGCAGGTGGCCGCCTTCCAGGTGGGTTCAGGACACAGTCCTCCCCGGCACCCACCGGGCTCATTCCCCCAAAACACTCCTTGAGCAGAATGAGTGAAGCCGTGAACCTCACCCTCGCAGGCACCCTGGGCCCTCCGGAGCTGCGCCCTTCCCCGGGAGCCCCGCAGAGCTGGGCTGCTGGCTCTCCAGGCGGCTTGTGAAAGCTTTCTGCTGTGTCCTTGCCCCTCCAGAGACCACCGTGGTTTTGGGCTTTAGGAGTTGGGGCTCCGAGCAGGAGAGGCGAGAGCTGAGAAGAGCCCCTTCCTGCTTTTACGGTGTCAAGAAGTTGCTAGGAAGGGTTCTTTATGTATCTCATATGTTACGTGTACATATTGTGTTTTCCCGTGAGACACCGTGCTGTTTTCTCCTTTCTTTTTATTACCATTATTACTGCATTTTGATGATGATTCAATGGTGTTAATTATTTATATCACATTGTTAAATGATTACATTGACTCTCCAGCTTTTGACGGGTGATAGAAACTACTTCACGTTGTTTCTGGGATGAACCTGGATATAAATGAATACATGAATAAGTCTGAGATCAATTGCAAAGCAAGGCAAACTGGGTTTTATAGATTAGACTAAGCACAGAAAGTCAAGCTTTGTTGTAAAGGACGTGGCCGGCCCTGAGCCCAGGAGGCAGTCTGTCAGCCGGATCCCCTGAGAAGGGGCTGTACGTCCTGGCAGAGCTGAGGTCAGTGTACCGGGGTTGGGGGCTGCAGCCGCAGGGTGGCTGACTGTGGCCAGGAGCCTGGCCCACGCCGCTGTGGCCCCCACCCCTTCCATCTCGCTGGACTTAGGTCCAGGCTGCGGGCACAGGTCCCGCGTCTTCACGGGGTGCTTTGAGGGAGGGGCTGTGTCTTGTTCTTTATTTCGAAAGTGCTCAGCAGGTGCAAAGAATAGATATTCAGTAACCATTTGTTGGGACAATGAAAAGAGAATATTGTAAATAATTTCCCAGGCGGGATGGGAGTGGCGTTTGGGCTTCCAGGGTCTGGCTTCTGGCTGTGTCCACCCAGGAGCAGGCCCCGGGCTTCCCTCTGCAGAGAGGAGGTCCCGCTCCCTTCTGGGGCTCAGGAAATAGCTGCTTCGCTGTCAGCTGGGAGGCGGGCGTGCCCTGCTTCCCGCCCCAGGGCTCCTGTTTTCTAAGTTATTTTGGCCAGCTTGGCTGCTGCCAGCACTGTCGCCGTGGCAACTCAGAGGAAATTGGCCAAGGCCTCTGTGTTTGGGCTGGAGCCTCTCTGGCAGTCGGGGCCACCCTCCGAACCTCTGTGTGCCCGGGTCTGCCACTGGCCTGTGCCCACTGCTGGGGCATTTAATGGTTCCCTTGTGGAAAGGCAACATCTTATGCAGAATTGAAGCTTTGGAAGACTTTTATTCTCAAGTCCATTTTCACCAAATAGGATTTCTCTTCCCCAAGAGGGCCCGGGGTGTCCGTGGCTGGTCGGGGGCTGTGGCAGGAAACCCGTGGCAGAGACGCCTGGTGAGCAGAGAGGTCCCAGGGGAGAGCTGAATTAGGAATGCTCTGTTGTTCAAGTTCAGTGTTTTAGGAAAGCGTTCCTGCTATTACCATGCACAGCTCATCCCCTGACGTTCTAGAGGTGTTTCCGTGGAGGGTGGAGTTACCTGGCAGATTGGAATATTTCAGTTCTGTGTCGTGTTTTTCAAAGGAAGATCTCAGCTAGCCATGAACAACTTGGATATTTTTTAATTCCTTGAAAACAGAATTCAAAAAGGATGCTTTAAAATGATGTGTGCGTCGGACCAGGGGGAATATTCCAGTACCTCTGAGGAACGATGTCCCAGGTTGGGCCCCGGGCTGGACGAAGGACCCTTATTAAGGCGTTGGCGTGCTTATTTATGGAACATTAAATACCGTTTGTTTGCGCTGTGACGAGGCCATCCTATTTGCCTTTGTAAATCTTTCTCGCTGGCAGATTGTTGGGGGAACGGCGTCTGGGAAGCTGTTGCTGTCTGTCATGCCGCGGGCCTGACCACGTCCCGGTGCCACTGTGAGGCAGCGTTTCCCAGGCCTGCTAAGCACATTGCTTCCAACAGCAAGGTCTTGGCGTGGATCGCCCTGCTTCGTTTTGTTTTATTTCCAATACATTCACAGTTGTCATCTGGCCTCACCCACAGCAGACTCCGTGGCTGTCTGGAGAGGTGACAGCAGTGCCTGGGGGTCGACCTGTGGTTCAGCCCCAGCAAGTGCTGAAGGGAATGTTCCTTAAAATGAAAAATAACGTCGTCTGTGATGGCCGCCTCTCAGAGTTTGTGAAAGATGAGAGATCTGGCTGTGGCTGGAGTTGGTGATTCTTGTCAGCAGTGCTGGCCTGATGCGCAAGGCAGAGGCGTGGCTGTCCTGCCCTGCGCACAGCGAGTGAGGGAGTGGCTGTCTGGGAACTGCGTGTCGTGAGGGGCAGGTGCCCTGGGGCTCAGCACGGCGGGGTCTGCAAGGTTAGAATGCTGTGCACCTGTAGGGAGCCCTGACCAGAAGTATTTCATGTATTAATTTAATGTCAGGCACCGATACAGTTTTTTGTGGTTGTTCAGAAACGAGAAAGGTGTGTGGTTCTGAAGTGAATTATTTCTCAGAGTGAGAGAGATCGCTTTTAACAGCTCTGACATGTGGAACTTGCTGAGGCCAGTGGGACTAGGCTGGCCTGAGAGCCGGGTGCTCCCCGCGTGGCCGTCTGTCCTAGCACCCCCAAACCACCTGTGTGTCGTGGGGCACCTGATGGCTGAGCGAGCCGGTGAGGATCAGGGGACTCAAAAGTGAGGAGGTGGCACTTTCAGCAGAGGGGCCATGCCATGACCTTCCGTTAAGGGATTTTGAATGTGCTCTCCGCGATCATTGCTTAGAATCCAGCTGTCTCCCTGCTCACCTGCACTGTCATTTAGTGAATCCTCCTTGGCAAAGAGCCAGGCCCTCCGACACGGCAGCCAGGGAGTGGGGTCACCGAGCTCTGTGGTGGTGTCTGACGTGACATGAATCAGCCCAAGCGCCTCAGAATCGTCAAGAAAGTTACTGGGAATATTTTCCCTTCATGTAAATATGATCCCTTTGAATAGTTAAATAACTCAGATTTGAATACGGTTTAGGTGGGTCATGAAACCAAATTCATTGGGAGCTGGGAGGGAGGGGCTCACAGCCAGGACAGTGGCCCCCGGCGTGTGGGGCTTGGCCTCTGGGGGCAGCTTGACCCCACACCTTGCCCTTCTTCTAGGAGGAACAAGGGAACTTTATCCACTACCCGCCCTCCAAGGACCTGGGCGAGGGATCCTAATGAAATTCAAGCATTTGAGCTTTCGTTTTGTCATTTGTTTGATCAGGGAAAACGCATGCTTAGGTGAGCCCTTTTTGTTTTTTAATAAAGCTTTATGGTGTTTCTTTGCCTCATCGAATCAGGTTTTATTGCAATACTTCAGTTTAAATAAAGGCCCTCGGGTGCCCCAGGCGTCCGTGGGCCTCTGCATGCACTTCCTGCTCTCGCTGTGGGCGGAGTCTCCTCCTCTTCCTCACTTCCCCTCACGCCTGGGCCCCCGTCACAGAAACGTCAAGGGCTACGGCCCCTGAGGACTTGCACACAGAGACCTGTGAGGTCCGCCTCCCCTTTCCTGCCCCGTTTCATCTAGAACCTTCCGGTGATCTGGCTCTAGTACCCCGTGTGGCGCAGCTCTGGGCTCCGTCACTGGCTGAGCAGCCAGTTCAGGGCTGAGTCCTGTGGGAGGATGGTGGGGAGGCCCCAAGACTTGCTCTGTTAATTGCTAGGGTTTTAAAAAATTCTTCAGAATTACCTTTCTACCAGCAAATGGTAGTTCAGCTGTGGGATCAGCTGTCTTGGAAATAAATACTCTTTTGATTGGGAAACAGGAAGTGTAGGAATCTGTACATGAATCAATTGCAGTTAAGCCCCCTTTGAGGTCTGGACAGTGAGGGGAAGTGTGTGGAGCAGGTGGGGCCTGAAGAGCCGGTTGAAGGCCACGGATGCCTCCGAGAGGAAGTCGGGGTGTGGGAGGGAGGCTGGGCCCCCGTGATCGGATCCACGCTGCCATCGTGTTCCCTCAGTTCCGCTGCTGTGCTTTCGGGTCTCCTGGAGTTGATGACTGGTGTGAGATGGAAGCTGGTTCCTAACATAATGTTGTTTCTGCTCCAACAGGCGAGAGGGCTTCTAGACAAATAAGCGGGCCCAGCAGTAAGTGTGGGTGTGAGTTCCTGGGCCGGTGTATGTAATGTGGCGTTTTTGGCTAAGGAATATCTTTTGGACAACTTTTGGTGAGAATGCAGAGTAATGAACAGGTGGCTCGGCGTGGCACCTCAACGGGAACCCCCCAGGAGCCGCAGGCCTGCGCTCGACAAAACCCCCTCGTGGGTCCCCCACCGCGCCTTCCTTCTGTCCACCGTTGGACTGCGTCCCTGTGCTTCCCCCGAGACCCCCAGCCGCAGAGCCAGCCACGGCTCCGCGGGTCTTCCGCAGCGCTCCATGCGGGGCAGACGTCAGGGCTGGCCTGGCACGGTCACCCAGGCGTGTGGGGCGTGGGGCACAGGGCGACCTGCCTGTGTGGCCTGTTGTCCAGCGGGTCTGATGCAGCCGGCTCAGGGGCTTTGCACGGGCCACGGAGGGGCCACCGTGACGCCCAGGCGGAGCTCTCAGAGGGCTACAGTTTGCCTGGCCCAGAGCCCCCCAGGTATCACCAGCAGATCAGAGGACTTCAGATTCTCCTCGGAAACCTCACCTTCTCCCGGAAGCTGCTTTCCAGGCTCATTTTTAGAAAGTTGGTCACAGAAGTTTTAGCGTTGGGGCCTGGTGTTTGCCTGAAGCATCCAGTGAGCATGGAGCCTGGGGGCGGGGGGCACAGTGGATGCCAGTGAACATGGGTGGTCAGTCCCAGAGCTGGCGTCTTGCAGCTGGGGCAGATCCTGGGGATGGTGTGTGTGTCCTGACCAGAGGCCAGGCTGGAGGCTGGAATTGGCGTCAGGATGCCCAGCTCCAGCTCCACCCCAGTCCCTGCCTGTGGCTCTGGGGAAAGAAAGACCTCCTTATTGATTTATTGATTTATTGATTTGACAGGGTCTTGCTGTGTCGCCCAGGCTGGAGTGCAGGCTGGAGTGATCTCAGCTCACTGCAACCTCTGCCTCCTGGGCTCAAGCAATCCTGCTGCCTCAGCCTCCCAAGTAGCTGGGACTACAGGCGTGCGCCACCATGCCTGGCTACTTGTATTTTTTGTAGAGATAGGGTTTCATCATGTTGCCCAGATTGGTCTTGAACTTCTGACCTCAGATGATCCGCCCACCTCGGCCTCCCAAAGTGCTGGGATTATAGGCGTGAGCCACCGCGCCTGGCCACCTCCTTGATTTATTGACATTACTGTTCTCTCTCCGGTGCAGGAGACTGCGTGGCTCCCGTCCTCTTGAGGGCATTTCTTTACGATGGGGAAGGCGGGACTGGGGCCTGGCTAGCACCATCCCCAAGGCGCTCAGCCTCAGCGGAGGGGCCCTTCCCATACGAAGACATCCTGAGCAGGTCTCACCTCCCACCCCTGAGAGCTTCTGGTCGCACCTGTGAGGTGTGGCTCCATCGCAGCTCTGTTTCTTTTCTCTTTGTTATGGCTCTGCCCCCTGAGTGTCTGGAATTTCCAGAAAGCAGCTGTGACTCCTGGGATTGAGGCCACGGTGTGTCCTCTTACCAGGCTGCCGTGCCGTGTTTCCCACCTACCTGGGGCGCTAGAACCATTTCTGTTAGTAAATACAGTGGGTTTGTATTGGTATTTTGAGACCCTAGATTTTTTTGGCATTTATCCGTGTTGGTTTCTGAACCACGACTTAGCGGAAAGACAGCACTGTCCTTGAATAAAGTATCTTCCAGCCAGTGCAGTTGCACCAGGAGATGAATATAGAATTTCCATGTGCTTGTTTGTATTATTTAGAGGCCTGGGAATACCCACCTCTAGGCATGTAATCATGAGGTTCCAAGATGTCATAAAAAGTCTTTTCAAATCAGAAATCCAGAGGCACGTCTTTCCTGTTAAAATTACTGATTTCCCTAATAATGATTTTAAAAAATATTTTATTGAGTGTAATTAACACATAATGATTCTTAGGACTAGCTGTGTACCAGAATCTTCTGTTTTGTTCTAAAAGATGGATTCGTAGGATATGAGCCAGTATCAGAATCTCCATGAGGGGGATTTCACAGTCTGTGTTTTCATCCAATCCTTGAGGAGTTTTCTTTGTAGCTGGTGATTAGGGCACCTTGACAGTGATAAGCCTGTTAAAATCTGTTTACATATGTAGGTCCTTAGATCTAAAACACATCCACCATCCATCATCATCCATCCATCATCAAACCATTACTCCTCCATTCCCTATGCATCCATGCATCATCATCTGTCCATTATTCCTCCATTCCCTATCCATTCATTCATCATCCATCCATCCATCATCCATCCATCCATCATCAAACCATTATTCCTCCATTCCCTATCCATCCATCCATCATCCATCCATCATCATCCATCCATTATTCCTCCATTCCCTATCCATTCATTCATCATCCATCCATCCATCATCATCCATCCATCATCAAACCATTATTCCTCCATTCCCTATCCATCCGTCCATCCATCATCCATCCATCATCATCCATCCATTATTCCTCCATTCCCTATCCATTCATTCATCATCCATCCATCCATCATCATCCATCCATCCATCAAACCATTATTCCTCCATTCCCTATCCATCCATCCGTCATCCATCTATCCATCATCATCCATCCATCATCAAACCATTGTTCCTCCATTCCCTATCCATCCATTCATCCATCATCCATCATCCATCCATTATTCCTCCATTCCCTATCCATCCATCTATCATCCATCCATCATTATCTATCCATCATCCATCCATTCCTCCATTCCCTATCCATTCATTCATCCATCCATCCATCCATCCATCATCATTCATCCATCCATCCATCATCCATCCATTATTCCTCCATTCCTCGTCCATCCATCCATCCATCACCATCCATTTATCTATCCATCCATTCATCCACCATTTACCTATCATGCCTCCATCCCCAATGCATCATTCATCCATCCATCCGTTTAGCTGTCCATCCATCCATCATCCATCCATTCATCCACCCACCCATAATCCATCTCTTTATCCCTCATTCCTCCCTTGTTTGTCCATCACCATCCATCTACCTACTCTCCATCTACCCATCATCCCTTCACCCCCCGTCCATCATGATCCATCCATCAGTTTCTTTACCTGTCTATCCATCATCCATTGTCCACCCACCCACCAACCATCCATCCATTAAACAAATTGAACACATTTTATGTGCCAGGCACAGTCTTTGGCTCTGAAAACAGCGGTGAGCAGAATAGACTAAGGCGTCCAGATGTTCTGTCTTCATGGAACTTAGGTTTCTGTTTGTCAAAGAGATGACAGTGTGGGATGAATGAGTAAAAACAGGCTGTTAGATTGTGATACGTATTTAGGAGAAAAAATAAACTAGAGAAGGATGGCCCACGTGTTGAGTTTGGGGTTTAAATGAAGATGGGGTGGTTGAGGAAGGTGGTTTTTGAATGAAGAGCGGAACCCGTGAGGACCCAGTCGCCTCTCTCTGGGAAGGACGTTCGGATGAAGATGGGGTGGTTGGGGAAGGTGGTTTTTGAATGAAGAGCGGAACCCGTGAGGACCCGGCCGCCTCTCCCTGGGAAGGACGTTCGGGGGCTTGTGCTGCTGTTAGGGGAGGAGGGGAGGTGGGCAGTGAGGGGCTCACGGGAGCCTTGTTGGCCAGGTGGGACTGGGGCTGTCACTCCAAGTCGCCCGGAGCTGTCCGGCAGCGTGGTCTCAGGGACGTTTGCTGAGGCCCGCTCCTTGGGGTCCGTTGGTCGAGGCCGGGGGTTGCTGGCCGGCCCTGAGTTCATGGGTTTCTGCTTTGTGATGCCCAGCCCCTCATGCTCCCATCTGCTTCTTTTTCTCTCTAGAACACTATGGCTATGCATCCTCCAACGTCAGCCCCGCCCTGCCGCTCCCCACGGCGCACTCCACCCTGCCGGCCCCGTGCCACAACCTTCAGACCTCCACACCGGGCATCATCCCGCCGGCGGATCACCCCTCGGGGTACGGAGCAGCTTTGGACGGTGGGCCCGCGGGCTACTTCCTCTCCTCCGGCCACACCAGGCCTGATGGGGCCCCTGCCCTGGAGAGTCCTCGCATCGAGATAACCTCGTGCTTGGGCCTGTACCACAACAATAACCAGTTTTTCCACGATGTGGAGGTGGAAGACGTCCTCCCTAGCTCCAAACGGTCCCCCTCCACGGCCACGCTGAGTCTGCCCAGCCTGGAGGCCTACAGAGACCCCTCGTGCCTGAGCCCGGCCAGCAGCCTGTCCTCCCGGAGCTGCAACTCAGAGGCCTCCTCCTACGAGTCCAACTACTCGTACCCGTACGCGTCCCCCCAGACGTCGCCATGGCAGTCTCCCTGCGTGTCTCCCAAGACCACGGACCCCGAGGAGGGCTTTCCCCGCGGGCTGGGGGCCTGCACACTGCTGGGTTCCCCGCGGCACTCCCCCTCCACCTCGCCCCGCGCCAGCGTCACTGAGGAGAGCTGGCTGGGTGCCCGCTCCTCCAGACCCGCGTCCCCTTGCAACAAGAGGAAGTACAGCCTCAACGGCCGGCAGCCGCCCTACTCACCCCACCACTCGCCCACGCCGTCCCCGCACGGCTCCCCGCGGGTCAGCGTGACCGACGACTCGTGGTTGGGCAACACCACCCAGTACACCAGCTCGGCCATCGTGGCCGCCATCAACGCGCTGACCACCGACAGCAGCCTGGACCTGGGAGATGGCGTCCCTGTCAAGTCCCGCAAGACCACCCTGGAGCAGCCGCCCTCAGTGGCGCTCAAGGTGGAGCCCGTCGGGGAGGACCTGGGCAGCCCCCCGCCCCCGGCCGACTTCGCGCCCGAAGACTACTCCTCTTTCCAGCACATCAGGAAGGGCGGCTTCTGCGACCAGTACCTGGCGGTGCCGCAGCACCCCTACCAGTGGGCGAAGCCCAAGCCCCTGTCCCCTACGTCCTACATGAGGTGAGCCGGCAGCGCGGGGCGGGACGGGGAGGCGAGGGGAGGCGCGGGGCGGGGCGGAACGCGGGGAGCGGGACGGGGGGCGGCGCGGGGCGGCCGTGTCTGGGGACGAGAGTCAGGACCTGGGTGGGCAGGTGGGCTCCTCGTGGAGCTGGGAGGCAGAGTCTGTCCCCATGTCTGCCTCCTCATGCAGACTTTTCCTTGTGCGCCTCGCCTCTGCCTCCGTCTGCGCGTTTCCCATCTGAAGTCTCCAGATCCTCTCGGGCCCTGCTGATGGCCTCGTGTTCGCTCAGTCTCTGCAAACACCCATTTCAAAGAGGGTGGCCCTGCTGGCGGTCAGGGCTTCCACGTGGGAATTCCGGGAGACGCCATCCGCCCCTAAGGAGGGCTCACACACGCGCAGTTTCTTCCTCGGGGAATTGCACGTGCCTGGCCCCCCTCGGTGGTTGCCTGCTGCTCCCGCTTCCTCCCCTGCAGTAATTGCCTTCCCTGCCTCGGGTGCAGATGGGACCGCAGCTCAACAGTGCCCCAGAGCACCCAGTCCGCCACGCTTTGGAACAGCACGGCCTCCTGCTCCCCAGAGACGCCGGCTGTGGCATCAGGCTGGGGGAGCTCACGCGCCTTCCTTCTTTGGGTCCCAGGTTGTTGGTTTTTCTTTTTAACCGTGTGAGGGGCTGCTGGAATTCCGCTGGGTCCACTTAACCAGCTTGGTGTTTTTATCTCTAACGAAACAGCTTTCCCAGCTGGTGGGCTGTGAGTGGCCCCTGAGAGTGCTTTCTGCTCTGGGATTTTTATCTGAGGCATGAAAACGTCCGTGCAGGAGGTCGAGGGCAGTGCCCCATGGCCCGTGACGTCAGGGCTGCCGCTGTGTCCTCAGGAAGAGGCGTTTGCCACGCGCAGCCCGGGGTATTCCAGGCTGGGTGTTTTCCTGTTTTTGTTTTTTTTTTTTTTTCGTCCCTCCCCACCCCCCACTCCTTTTTTATTAGCGAGCACTCAGGGGGCGAGACCCCGCAGAGCGGAGGGCAGGTGCAGCCCCCATGCCTGCAGGGTGAGGAAGGCAGGCAGTGAGGGTGCTCTGGGAGGACCCGTCTCTGCTCTGCAGTCTCAGGCCATGCTTCAGCCATGGCTGGAGCACGCATGGACAGAATTAGAGCTACAAGCAGTAACAAGCCTCCAGGCTGGGAACGAACCCACCCAAACCTCTCTGAAGGCTTGTGGCAAAGAAACAGTGTTAGAGCTGACAGTTCTTTGAGCAGCCCCATGGCTGATTCTGCCTTTCTACTGGCGTGATACTTAGAATCGTCGTCAGCTGAGGTTTCGAGAGAAAGCAAGGATTACCCCTGAT
The DNA here is from genome assembly GCF_000001405.40 of Homo sapiens. Taxonomy (NCBI): domain Eukaryota; kingdom Metazoa; phylum Chordata; class Mammalia; order Primates; family Hominidae; genus Homo; species Homo sapiens. The sequence continues at coordinate 79,412,844 of NC_000018.10, forward strand.
TTTTCTTGACTTGCAGTGGGCGCATTTACCTTTCTATCCCAACTTCTGTTTTTAATACATTAAGGTTTAAAAGGCTGGCGTATTCTAGGTGATCACAACGAGCCTGTGTCAGGACCCGGATTGTATTTACAATAAAAATCCCATTCAGTTGGAGGCATTGGGAAAATTTAAGAACTGTTTTTGCCTGCTGTACTATCACTGTTATTGTTTAAGTAAAAGTACAAGCGTAGTGGCACTGACTCTCCAGCCCACAGTCATGTACAACGCGCTTCATGGTCTCCAGGCTTACGGACGGTGACAAAGTCGTCCATCACCGCGGAACTTCACTGAACTGGCGAGATAAGGGAAGAGTGATGTCATCAAGGTCCCAAGACTGGGACTTGGCATGAGGAGTGTCGTAATGCAGTTGTGAACCTTTGGGTGAACCCCACGTATTTGTTTCCTGGGGCTGCCCTGACAAGGTCCCGCAGACGGGTGGCCTTCATAGCAGGAAGGTTTTCTCGCGGGGTCCTGAGACTGGAAGCCGAGATCAGGGGCTGTTCTTTTGGAGGCTGTGAGGGAGCATCTGCCTGACCTGTCTCCCTGGCTTGGAGGCGCCGTCTTCTCCCCATGACTCCTCATCTCTCCATCCACCGTGCATGTCTGTGTCCAGATGTCCCCTTTTGTGAGGACACTGGTCCTGCTGGGTTGGGGCCACCCTGGTGGCCTCATTTGAACTTGATCGCTCTGTAAAGACCCTCTCTCCAGACACAGCCCCACGCTGGGCAGGACTCCATTATGTGAGTTTGCGGGGAGCACCGTTCGGCTGCCTCAGCCCCGGTCTTACTGTCGCAGTAAAAATGGCAGGCAGCCTTTGAAAGCGCAAGCTCGTCCTGGTTCCTTCTTCGTCTCCTGGGCGGCAAGGTGTCCGCAGGGATGTCGTGTTCTGGCAGGCACAGCCCCTCCTGTCCACCTTGGACCTGTGTTTGGTGTGGAGGTTGGAAAGCATGGGTGGCTGTTTATTTTTTCCTCTGCTTGGGGGTTTCAGGAAGAATTCCGTGCCCACGTGACCCTGTTAGCTTTATCTCCTGGCTGCAGAGCGCCCAGTTAGGTGTGATGCCTGTAACATTTCTGAGTGTTCACACAAACAAAGCTCAGTAAATATGTCCCAAACTCGCTCCTGGGGTTTGCAGTTAACCTTTTCCCACTGTTCTGGTTCCACATCAAAATATGTTTCCTGGTTCCTTGTGCCCTGTTTCCAAGTGACCTCGTCAGCGGGTGCCCTGGGGCAGCTGGAAGCCACGGCAGAGATGAAATGTTAGTTTTTTACCAGCGAGGTGGAGAGGCCAGACTTCCTTCCCCAGGAATGCCTCTCCGTCGGTCACATGCAGCAGCTCTGGCAGGCGTGGAAAATGTCACCAGGATCTCAGGCTGCACAACTAGAAAGCTGTATTTTTAATGATCTCCAAAGTTTGGGATGGAGAATGCACGACATGCCCATCTTCTCCCCACCGTGGTACAGAACTGCTGCTCCATTAATCCTGTCCCTATGCCAGAAGGAGCTTTCTGGTGGAAAGTGTGCTGTGTGCATCCTTCCCAGGGACCGTCTAGGATTGTTGTCCTTTGAGGCCTTTTGTTGCTTGTTCAGCACCTGTGGCCCCCAGTGCTATGCAGAGCCTCTGAGAGGCCCACAATGGTCAAAGAACGATACTGAATTCTTGCTGCAATTGAAGCCATGATAATGTTTGTGAAGTTAGTAAGAGTAGGTGATAGAACCTTGATAGTTTTAGAGTTTGGAGCCATTTTAGAGCTCAGCGGAATGATGTGTCTATTGTCAAAGCTTGGGGGGACTGGCACAGGAATCACAGGCCACCTGCTATACCCCCTAAAAATTAGAATCTTAAGCTGTGAATTCTGGCATCAGAAAGGAGTGGTTTTCTTCCCGCCTTGCTTCTTTCCAGGGGTAATGACGGTGATCATAGCAAGTGGCCTCCCAGGGCACCTTTCCGTGTGCTGTTGAGGGTGCAACAGGAGGCGTTGCCGGGCTGCGTCTGGAGGAGGCCAGGGCGAGAGTGCACGTTGAAGGCTGTGCGGGTTATTTATAAATAGTGGTTCTCAAATGGTAGCTTTTAAAGATTTCATATTGACCGACAGGAACTAAAGTCTACGTGATTGCTTCCTCATTCCTTCATCGTTCGGCCTCCTCCACCTGGGCACCTGCCACAGGCCATGTGCGTCCATGTCCAGGTCTGTCTGTGCCGACATCTGCTCTTTGGGCATCAGCCTCTGGAAAGTGTCCCTGTCAGAGTCTCCACGTGTCTCACTCTCCGCACCCAGACAGTCTCTGGAGTTGCCTTTGTAGAGGCAAGGTTGTAGGGGAATTGGAAAGGCGGAGGTATTTTGACTGAATTTATTGGTAACTTTAACAGCACAATTCTTGAATTCAATTTCTTTTTATTTTATTTATTTATTTTTTTTGAGATGGAGTCTCGCTCTGTCACCCAGACTGGAGTGCAGTGGCACAATCTCGGCTCACTGCAAGCTTTGCCTCCTGGGTTCACGCCATTCTCCTGACTCAGCCTCCCAAGTAGCTGGGCCTACAGGCGCCCACCACCGCGCCCGGCTATTTTTTTGTATTTTTAGTAGAGATGGGGTTTCACCATGTTAGCCAGGATGGTCTCGATCTCCTGACCTCGTGATCCACCCGCCTCGGCCTCCCAAAGTGCTGGGATTACAGGCATGAGCCACCGCGCCCAGCCCTTGAATTCAATTTCTACACATGAAACATTGCCTCTTAGAACTGAATGTTTAAAAAGAATTTCTAAGGAGTGAGGTAAAGAAAAAGAATTCCTAAGGGGCGAGATAGGCTAATAAACAATGTTTACTTAGAGTCCGCTTGGTTTCAATGATCAGAAATAGCCGCTAGGTTGGTGCAATAACGTATATTCAAATCTCTTGGCCAGGCGCAGTGGCTCACGCCTGTAATCCCAGCACTTTGGGAGGCCGAGGCAGGTGGATCAGCTGAGGTCAGGAGTTCAAGACCAGCCTGGCCAAATTGGCGAAACCCCATCTCTATTAAAAGTACACAAATTAGCTGGGCATGGTGGCGGGCGCCTGTAATCCCAGCTACTCAGAAGGCTGAGGCAGGCGAATCATTTGAACCCAGGAGGCGGAGGTTGCAGTGAGCTGAGGTCGTGCCACTGCACTCCAGCCTGGGCGAGAGGAGCGAGACTCCGTCTCCAAACAAACAAAAAAACCCTGTTTATTTCAGACATTAAGTTTTGGGCTGCAATATTGAAGATTTTAGCATATCGGTCACTTTTCTGCTATGCATAGTATTAGTTTCAAAAGGTCTGAGAAAACGTTCACTCTCTTGTGTTTCATAAGTTATCTGAAAGTTTCACAGTTTATCACAATTTGGAATAAGATCAGCTAACCCCCAGCACAGTAACAGGTGGACTCTGTCTTCTCTTTCGCAGACACGAGTCCTCTGCCAGGCTCAGTAGCGATTCCTCCTGCGTTTGAATGCCCTTTGCTCTTGTGGCTCTGGTACCTGAGGGGTTCGGGCCCCGGCAGTGTTGGGGGAACAGTGCAGGCTTTTGACAGCTCCCAGGTCCTGTAGTGGGGCCATCTCTGGGCTCTGGAGCCAGACTGTCCGCGGGCGCTGGTGGGCCCTTTGGGGTGATGGTGAACATAGTCTCTAAGGCGTTGTACCGAACCCCAGCATAGCGAGACGTGTAAGGTGGTAGCCGTGGGGTCTTCCCCGAGCTTCCCGCTGCCATCACCTCCTGGGAAGACGGATAGCAAAGAAGCCGAGGGTGTCGAGTTGCCCCATGGTTTGTAAAACACTGGCATGGGCTGGAACGGCTCAGGACTGACTGCCACTGCGTCTCCCTGTAAGCCCCTCCCTTTCTGGGGAGGGAAGCCCCCCAACAACCCACAGCCAGCCTCGAAGCCACGTCGCCCTGGCTCTGGTTCCCGCTAACCCTTGCTGGGGAGTCCCCCGCACAACCTGTCCTGCTGTTTCCTGCTGTTTCTGGAGCTAGACAAGCCTCAGCTGGCCTCCTGGCTCCCGGCATGGGTGTCAGGCCCTGGGGAGTCTCCAGTCCCTCCTGTGGGTACTGGGCTGGGCTGGCTCTGAAGGGTCTTGAAGAACGTGGCTGTGTGCCTCCCTGGCATTCGCGGTGGTGGCTCTGGAGCTTGCGTTTGGCTGAGCAGGCCAGCAGGTGACTCGCGCAAGCCAGACGGTCCCCAGGAAGCCCTCAGCTGTGGTGGGAGATGGGAGATGGGCTATGGTGGGAGATGGGCTGTGGCGGGAGATGGGCTGTGGCGGGAGATGGGCTGTGGCGGGAGATGGGCTGTGGTGGGAGATGGGAGATGGGCTGTGGTGGGAGATGGGAGATGGGCTGTGGTGGGAGATGGGCTGTGGTGGGAGATGGGAGATGGGCTGTGGTGGGAGATGGGCTGTGGTGGGAGATGGGAGATGGGCTGTGGTGGGAGATGGGAGATCGGCTGTGGTGGGAGATGGGAGATGGGCTGGGCAGGAGATGGGCTGTGGTGGGAGATGGGAGATGGGCTGTGGTGGGAGATGGGCTGTGGTGGGAGATGGGAGATGGGCTGTGGTGGGAGATGGGAGATGGGCTGTGGTGGGAGATGGGAGATCGGCTGTGGTGGGAGATGGGAGATGGGCTGGGCAGGAGATGGGCTGTGGTGGGAGATGGGAGATGGGCTGTGGTGGGAGATGGGCTGTGGTGGGAGATGGGAGATGGGCTGTGGTGGGAGATGGGCTGTGGTGGGAGATGGGAGATGGGCTGTGGTGGGAGATGGGAGATCGGCTGTGGTGGGAGATGGGAGATGGGCTGGGCAGGAGATGGGCTGTGGTGGGAGATGGGAGATGGGCTGTGGTGGGAGATGGGAGATGGGCTGTGGTGGGAGATGGGCTGTGGTGGGAGATGGGAGATGGGCTGTGGTGGGAGATGGGCTGTGGTGGGAGATGGGAGATGGGCTGTGGTGGGAGATGGGAGATCGGCTGTGGTGGGAGATGGGAGATGGGCTGGGCAGGAGATGGGCTGTGGTGGGAGATGGGAGATGGGCTGTGGTGGGAGATGGGAGATGGGCTATACCAGGAGATGGGCTGTGGCGGGAGATGGGCTATGGCTGGGCCTGTCCTCTGTGGTGCTGTGGATGCGTCCTATTCAGGAGCTGCCTACCAAGTTTCATTGCGATGTTGGAATCTGTCCTTGGTCCCTGCCACCATGGGGTGGGTGGAGCCCCCAGCACCCTGCCTTCTTCCTCCCCTTCCTGTGGGTCTGCAGGGCTCGGGGTGTTGATGGAGACTGTGGGGGTCGGGGGAGCCAGCAGTTTCGTTGTGTGATGGCAGGAAGAATCCGCGTGCTGCCCCACCATGCCTTGCGACGCTCTGTGGTAGGGAGCTGTCGGGTCACAGTCAGGCGCTTAACGGCCACCCGACTGTGGACGCAGCTGAGGCCATTTGTCCAGGGTGGCCTAGTCACAACCAACAGAACTGGACTCTGCCATGATGAGCAGACCCCGCAACCTACACTCCAGACTCCACCGGTGCTGGGACCCCGACTCCCAGGAGACCTGGCGAGCTCAGCCCTCTTGTCACAAGGCCTGTACGGGGTGGGGGCACGTGTCACGGGGACCCTCGGCCCAGACTGGCCTTCTGCTCTCGTCACCAAGATGTGGAGCCTTCTGGGGTCAGAGCCCAGTCGAGGGGCTTTACGCAGCCTGTGGTGTCCTTGGAGCCACAGCTCCCTGGAGAAGGCACTGCGTCTGCCAGCCTCCGCTGGTGAGGGGCTCAGAGTTGAGAAGATCATGCCTCCTGATTGCACGAGCACCCTGGTCTTGGCTCATTTGCTCCTTCTTGAGCCGCTTCGGTAGCATTTGGCAGCCCACGGTTTTCTGCCTGCGTTGTTTAGTTTGTTTCTGCTGTTATGGAGTTCACAGCTGACACTTGGAGGGCGGGGTTTGCAACACCAGTTTCTGATGGGAAGGACTGGTGTGAGGGTGTGAGGAGGCTGCGGAGGCCGAGGGCCTGTGCGTTCTCCCAGGCGTGTGTGGAAGGGCTGGGGCATCTTCTCCCTGGTCCTTCTCAATGTTACTCTGTCCATGTCTGTTGTTAGCCATGAGGAGGAGAAGGCACTCTGTTCCTGGAAAGGAGAAAACAACGTGGCTTTTTGCTCAGATATTTTTTTTTGAGCCAGGGTCTTGCTCTGTTGTCCAGGCTGGAGTGCAGGGTGTCATCACAGCTTACTGCAGCCTCGACCTCCTGGGCTCAGGTGACCCTCCCACCTCAGCCTGCCGAGTAGCTGGGACCACAGACGTGCGGCACCACACCTGGCTAATTGTTTAAGTTTTGTGGAGACAGAGTCTTGCCGTGTTGTCCAGGGCTGATCTGGAACTCCTGGCCTGAAGCAGTCCTCCCGACCTGTCCTCTCAAAGTGCTGGCATTGCAGGTGTGAGCCAGAGTTTTACAGTCAGATCATGGAGATCTGAAATGTTGCCCCATCTCACCGAAGACCGAGTGCCCGGGAGCCCCCCTAGGAGGGTCAGAACCTGCCCGGGAGCCCCCTAGGAGGGTCAGAACCTGCCCGGGAGCCCCCCTAGGAGGGCCGGCACCTGCCTGCCCGGGAGCCCCCCTAGGAGGGCCGGCACCTGCCTGCCCGGGAGCCCCCCTAGGAGGGCCGGCACCTGCCTGCCCGGGAGCCCCCCTAGGAGGGTCAGAACCTGCCTGGTTAGCTCAGATGCCCCCGTGGAGACAGCGTGAGGGCGGCAGGGAGCTGGAAACCTTCCCAGGTTCCCAATTTTGAGATTTCCTAAGCTGCCTGTGGTCCAGCTGGGAGGAAGTGTCTGGTCCTGATGTGCGTCGGTGACCACAGACAAAACAGGATTTGCTCCTGCGCCAACGTTGGCTTTTGAGCAGCGGGATAGGTGGGCCTGGTGGTAGGTGCTTCGGCAGCCGGGCAGCCGCAGGGACTTCCTCCCTCGGGATTAAACCTGAGTCGGGAGTTGGAGGGCAACAGTTATTCACATTCAAAACCAGATCTTAAGTGCAAATTAACGTTTTTTGGATTCTTGAGCAAAATGTTTTCTACATTATGATGGGATTTTCTTTTTTATAAGTGCTTCTAGAACATCTCTGGAAGCTGGGTTAGACGCACAGGGCTTAGTCGGCTTTGGGGAGAGACAGTAGTTGTAAAGGCCACACCGGACGCCGTGTGCACCTCCCAAGGTTTCCCATGTGAGACCATGTGGCCTGCATGCTGCGTTCCATCAGCACTGGGCTGTGCGACAGATGTGTTTCCAGGCGAGGTTGCTGCAGAGGGGAAGAGGGGGACGTGTTTCCAGGCGACGTCGCTGCAGAGAGGAAGAGGGGGACGCGTTTCCAGGTGACGTCGCTGCAGAGAGGAAGAGGGGGACACGTTTCCAGGCGACGTCGCTGCAGAGAGGAAGAGGGGGACGCGTTTCCAGGCGACGTCGCTGCAGAGAGGAAGAGGGGGACACGTTTCCAGGTGACGTCGCTGCAGAGAGGAAGGAGGGTCGCGTTTCCAGGCGAGGTCGCTGCAGAGGGGAAGAGGGGGACGCCTTTCCAGGTGACTTCGCTGCAGAGAGGAAGAGGGGGACGCCTTTCCAGGTGACTTCGCTGCAGAGAGGAAGAGGCAGACGCATTTCCAGGCGAGGTCACTGCAAAGAGGAAGAGGGGGATGCGTTTCCAGGTGACATCGCTACAGACAGGAAGAGGGGGATGCGTTTCCGGGAGACGTCGCTGCAGAGGGGAAGAGGTGGATGCGTTTCCAGGCAAGGTCGCTGCAGAGAGGAAGAGGGGGTCGCATTTCCAGGCAGCATGGCTGCAGAGAGGAAGAGGAGGACGTGTTTCCAGGCGACGTTGCTGCAGAGAGGAAGAGGAGGACGCGTTTCCAGGCGATGTCGTTGCAGAGGGCAAGAGGGGAACGCGTTTCCAGGTGACGTCGCTGCAGAGGGGAAGAGGCGGATGCGTTTCCAGGTGACATTGCTGCAGAGAGGAAGAGGAAGATGCTTTTCCAGGCGACGTTGCTGCAGAGAGGAAGAGGGTGGGACGCATTTCCAGGAGACGTCGCTGAAGAGGGGAAGAGGGAGGCCCCTCCAGCAGGGCCACCTAGATGTTTGCTTTGCCCCGCGTGGAGTCATATTCCAGGAACCCCCGAACCCACCTGCAGCTTGATTCTGCTCCTCAGGGCCAGAGGTTCTAGTTTATGGGAGGAGTGTTTTCTCACTGGAAACATGGAGCCCACACACACTTCTACGCTGGAAGCCGTGATGTGTGTCAGGAACGTGTTCTGATGTTGGTGTGCAAAATCAGTATTGTGCCTTTGTCCCCTCTGACCCCCATCACGGCAGTTCTGAGGCTTGTGGGGCACCCCAGCTCCTCTCCCTCTGCACAGGCCACTGTTCCCAGAACTCGAGGGTTCCCTGACACCAAGATGACATGTGGCACAGACCTGGAATCACGAGGAAATGCCCGTCCTCCTCCCACGGGCAGACAGGTCGAGTGTGTTTCCAGAGACCGGGCCGTCCGTGGGGCAGTAGCGCCTGGATGACGTCTGCTTTCGCCTGGAGCCCTGGCTGCAAGGGGCGGTGCCGGGCAAGGGCCACCCCAGGGGTCTGGGAGTGCAGTGTCGGGCCTGTGGAGGTGGAGAGCAGGGATCAGCCTCTTTTTGTGGATGAGGAAATGGAGACACGTGGAAACTTCTGGTAAGAAGCTGTCAAGCCTCCAGGTTTCGGTTCTGGACAGGTGCGGGGCAGGTATTGGAGCACTTTGGGCTCTGAGGTCCACGTGGCCCAGCGGCCTCCAGGAGTCAGCTGCAAGGCGGAGTCCCTGTCCACAAGCTGCGTTGCAGGCACAGAGACCAGGAGAGGGCTGTGAAGCAACTCTGTGTTTACTGGGCTGAAGCAGCAGCTCTTGGCAGTGCCGCCACCATGGGCTGTGTCCTGTCCCCGTGGCGACATCACAGCTGAGCGCGAAGCTGGAAGCTTGGGCACGTCTTGGTGCTGGGTCTTCTCCGACCCCGAGGGCCAAGGGTGCTCTGTAGCTCCAGGCGTCAGAGTCTGAGCATCCTTTGTTTTGGCAACATCCAGGACAGGAGTCTTTGGAGAGTAACACATCCTTATTTTGAAAGATCCCTTTAGGTGATTTGAGAAACCGCTGTATTTGTTGTAGCTCCAAGTATTACCCGTGAATCACCTAGGCTGCTCTTCAGTGAACATCCAGAATGCCGTCAGTTCTTGTGAAACCCCCAAGTTTCCCGTAGGTCCAAGCTGAGAAGATTGAGTGAACTCTGAGAGCTGAGCCGGGCCGTCTTGGCACCACTAGAAACGGAATCAGTTCCATGACTGATCTGTGCCCCACCCCACATTAACTTGTGCAATATGACATTTCTGGTTTTGGTTTTTGTTTTATAAGCCATCCATGGCAAGTGCAGTCGGAGGCCCCCCACTGCCAAAACTTCCTGTGAGTAATAATGACAGATGGGCCCTGACCCTGGAGACGTCTGAGAAGGTGTTTGGGGTCCGAGAAGAGTCCGCGTGTGCAGTGACTGGAACCTGTCCCTGGTGTGAACTTGGGGATGAGTGGGTGACGGGGGTGGTGGGGGCCTGGGGCACTTCCCCGCCCTCCGGACCACACTGTTGCTCTCCAGCCACGAGAAGATGCAGCGGCCCCCGGCTGCAGCAGCTACTGTCCCGGAGGGCAGGGGAGTGAGGGAGAGGGAGGGTGTACGGCATGGGGCCTGCTGCCTGGGGCGCTGGGATCCCACAGCGAGGCCCTGTTCCCACTGCCCAGGGGCACTGAGATCCCACAGGGAGGCCCGGTTCCCACTGAGCTTGGGTTCCCAACGGGCTCCTTTTGCTTCCCAAGCACCCTCTCCCACCCTTGAGCTGCAAGGAATGTTTCAGAGCCATGGAAGGTGCTTTCTCCCATCTGTAGTTTTTCTGGGAGGGAGAAAGGCTGACATCGGGGGCTTTGTAGAAAGCGTGCTCTGGCCCACACGTTAACATTTGGGAGGAGGCCTACAGGGAGCTGTCGGCTCTGGGCGAGGGCTGGGGGCTGCCTCGGGGGCGGGGGTTCAGGGTCTTGAGCTCAGCTTCTCACCCATCCGGGGCAGGGCAGGGCAGATAGAGGGGTGGGGACAGTGTTGGGGGCTGCTGGGCCTGGGATGGCAGGGCCTGTGTCCAAAGCTGTTGTGAGGCTCACGAGATACAGGGGTGGACCTGGGAGGGTTGGGGCGCGTACAGAGGGGATGACTTCGATTTTTCCAAAGAACAGGGAAGGGTCTGTGTCCTGGTCGTACTCCAATCCCGTGTGGTGGAGCCACGGGACGCCATCAGTTTTTATGAAATCCCCAAATGTGTCCTTTAAAACAAAACCTCTGCACTCCGGCCTCACAGCCCAGATCCCGCGCGCTCCCGGTCTGTGGCTTTGACTTTGGTTTGAGTTCCTGGGCTGGGCTTACCTGGCTGGCAGGGCCGCAGCTGTGGCACTCCCTGTCTGGGGACGGAGGCTGCCCATGCACCCGGCTGTCCACCTTCTTCCCAAAGGCGGCGTCCTGGGCTCCCTCCCATGCGGACCCGGGATCCACTTGCCCAGCCTTGGGGAGGACAGATGGGGACAGCAGATCCTGCCCCAGGGTCATTGCCCGTGGCCACATCGGTCCTGGGAACTGTGGGTAGGCCATGGGCCGCTGGTGCCTGCACCACTGTCCTGGTGGAAGGGGCTGGACCTGGGACTGCCTGGGACAAGAGGCCAAGGCACAGATGGCTGCAGGGGCTGCCCCTGCATCCTGAGCCTCACCCGGCGGGCAGGAGGGCCGGGCTGGGTGTCCCCATCTTTCTGTTCCCACCCTGGCCCCAGTCACCTGCTTCTCATCCACCGATTCCATCTTTCCTGCTGGCTTGTGAGGCCCGTGCCCTCCTCTGGGCCGCCTTCCCTCCCATGGGCACAGAGCTTGGGTCCCACGTGGAGAGGAGGCCCTGCCCGCAGCCTCAGAGTCAGGCGGCCTTGGCTTCAGGGAGGGTTGGACGGGAGCCAGCCCATTGGACAGTAGCCCGGGGCCTCTGGGTGACCCTCCAGGGTGGGACAGCAGTGGTCCCAGGCCCCCCTCTGACTCCTGAAATCCTAAGGTTGCCCGGGCCGCCGAGCCCTCCCTCCACTCCCCGGCCTGCTGGGCAGGATTTTGTGAAAGGCCTTGTCTTGGGTCGTGGAAGAAAACCACGTGGTCTGTGGGGTCATCCCTGGGGCAGGCTGTGGGAGGGTGAAGGCTGCGTCCAGCGGCCAGGCCCAGCCAGAGGTCGGGAATCATGTCGGGGGTGACGCACAGATGCCGCCGCACTATCACCGAGAAACGCGGCGTGTGCGGGCCCACCTGGCCTCTTTAGGCCGGGCTCCGGGCTGCCCTCCAGGAAGGCCGACCTCTCCTGGGCGGGCAAAACTTTCTCAGGGCCGAGTTCTGCCGGCACAGGTCAGGGGGCAAAGCTGGCCTCCGAGGAGCCTCTGACCGCTGGCCACTGTGTGGTCTTGGGGCAGCTCCAGACACACAAGCCCAGAAGACCCAGAGGCTGCCTCACGTCGGAGAAATGCGCTGATCGTCTCTCTCTCTCTTTGTCTCTCCATCTCTGTCTCTCTCCGTCTCTGTCTGTCTCTCCATCTCTGTCTCCCTGTCTCTCTCTCTGTCTCTGTCTCTCTCTGTCTCTGTCTCTCCATCTCTTTCTCTGTCTCTCTCTGTCTCTCCGTCTGTCTCTCTGTCTCTCCGTCTGTCTCTCTGTCTCTCTTTCCGTCTCTGTCTCTCCATCTCTGTCTCTGTCCCTGTCTCTGTCTCTCTGTGTTTCTCTGTGTCTGTCTCTGTCTCTCTCCGTCTCTGTCTGTGTCTGTCCCTGTCTCTGTTTCTCTGTCTCTCTCTGTCTCTCTGTCTCTGACTCTCTGTGTCTGTCTGTCTCTGTCTCTCTGTCTCTCTCCATCTCTGTCTCTGTTTCTCTGTCTCTCTCTGTCTCTCCATCTCTGTCTCTTTCTCCATCTCTGTTTCTCCATTTCTCTGTCGCTCTGTCTCTCTGTGTCTCTCTCTGTCTCTGCCTCTCTGTGTCTGTCTCTCCGTCTCTGTCTCTCTGTCTCTCTGTGTCTATCTCTGTGTCTGTCTCTCTCTCTGTCTCCATCTCTCTCCATCTCTCTCTCCGTCTCTGTTTCTCTCTCTGTTTCTCTCTCTGTCTCTCCATCTCTGTCTCTCCATCTCTCTGTCTCTGTCGCTCTGTCTCTCTCTGTCTCTGCCTCTCTGTGTCTCTCTCCGTCTCTGTCTCTCCATCTGTCTCTCTGTCTCTGTCTCTCTGTTTCTCTCCCTGTCTCTGTCTCTCTGTTTCTCTCCCTGTCTCTGTCTCTCTGTTTCTCTCCCTGTCTCTGTCTCTCTCTCTGTCTGTCTTTCTTTCTTACTCTCTTTCTCTTTTAACTAAGGGAAAAGCCGTCACACAACCAAATGGCCATGAGGCCCGCGGCTGCCGGCTGAGGAGGGCTGCGGGAGGACCCTGAAACCCTCGCCCTCCTGAAGCTGCTCCTGTGGAGTCCTGTGGGCGGGTGTGGCCCTGCCGAGTTCAGAGTCTGTCGCTTCGTCTGTCTGGAAACTGCAGGAGTCATGAGCAGCCTTCACGGTTTTCACCTAAGCAATGAGCACGTGCGGGCTTTAACCCTCGGAAAATCAGAATTAAAGGATTTTACCCAAACCACTTAAACAAAGGAACTGCCTCTGCTCTGGGCTTCTGCTGCCGAGGGCGCGATTCCGGGATTCTCATCGTTCACCGGCGGAGTCGGGGCGACTCATGAGGAGAGTGTTTTCAGATGCTGGGGACGTGGCCTTTCTAAGGGAGAGGGACATGGCAGGGCCTCAGGCTCAGCTCTTTGGAAACTGAAGCCCATTCACCAGGTGGGCGGGGGAGGAGCTGGGCAGAGGTTGAGACACAAGACCTGAGAGCAGAGCAAAGTTTCTCATTTTTTTGGTTGTACAAATAACAAACACCGTTCACTGTAGAAGACTTTTAAACACAGATAAACCACGATAAATGAGTCCTGCACCAGCGTGGCAGCTCACACCTGGAATCCCAGCGCTTTGGGAGGCCGAGGCACCAGGATCGCTGGAGCCCAGGAGTTTGAGACCGCCCTGGGCAACATGGAGAGACCCCATCTCTACACAAAATATAACAATTAGCCAGGTGTGGTGGTGCGCCTGTGGTCCCAGCTGCTCGGGAGGCTGAGGTGGGAGGATCCCGTGAGGCCACTGCACTCTAGCCTGGGTGACAGAGCGAGACCCTGTCTCAGAAAAAAGAATTCGATAATCCTGCGATTGAGAATCAGACAGTGATCATTTCAGGATATGTCTTTTTTTTTTTTTCCTCCCCCTCTGTCCCAGCGCAGACGGCATCTCTGTCGCGAGCTTTCGGCTGAAAAAAAATCCCTCACGCCCTTCCCAGGCGAGGGAGACACAGGTTCAGGGGCATGAACGGCTCCTCCCGTGGAAAGGACTGTGTGGCCGGCTCCCCAGGCCACGGGGGCCACTGTCCTCCATGCCACGTCCCATGCCGCTTCCACCGCAGCGTGAGGACAGCAGGACCTGAGCCACGAGCCACACTGCTGTGGGACCCGTGTCGGGACTCGCAGGGCCTGGCAGGTGTTTCCATTTGACCTGTGGGCTCACACTCGGCAGTTCTGGGCCCCCTGGTGTCCACCTCCATGGGAGCACCGTCCCCGGACCCCCAGAGGGGCGGCAAACACAGGAGTCCTGGGGAGTGTTGCCGGGGCGGGAAGCCCGGACCCCCCTGTGACTCAGCTGCAGCCTCTCTGGGTGTTGCTGCGGGTGTGGAGGTTGCATCTGGCTCAGTGAGAAGCATTTTTAAACTTGATTCTGCAGCCACTGCAGATTCGCGGGAAGCTGGGGGGAGGCAATGCCCCACCCGGCCCCCGGGGCTGCCCCATAGCAGCCACCATGCCCTGGCCCCAGGCCCCAGGAGGAGGATCCTGCCGGGAGCGCCTTGCATTTTGCCTAGGACCTTCTTAACTCTCCAGACTCATCAGGGAAGCTCTGCAGGAGCTCAGGATAAACAGGTCCTTGGCTTGAAGCCTGCCGGCATGGGTTGGGAATGGTGGGGGCTCCATGTCTGCAGCAGCCACGGCAGAAGCTGTGGCCACATGAGCTGGGCTCTGGGTGCGGCTGTGGCCATTGAGGAGGGAGCATGTCCCGGGTTCTTAGGTTAAGTGCGTCTTGGCAGGGGGGCCCGGGGCTGCAGCCCTTCGTGTACCCACGTGTCCGATGTCTCTGTGCCATGCCGTGACGTTGTCCTTCACGTAAAGTTTTCAAGACCCACGTCCCATTGTCTGTGAAATCACAAGGTTTTACTTTATGGACTGTGTGGAATGGACCCAGGGAAGGGGGACCAGTATATGCCCAATTTGCCAGCATGTGCAACAGTGAACTTCCCTGGACAGCTGGCCTTGGTGTGGCAGTGGGTGCTGTACGGCTGGCCTCTGTGCAGTGGGTTGGGGGGAGCTGGATGGCTGGCCTCTGTGCGGTGGGTGGGGGGGAGCTGGACGGCTGGCCTCTGTGCGGTGGGTGGGGGCTGTACCACTGGCCTCTGTGCGGTGGGTCGGGGGAAGCTGGACGGCTGGCCTCTGTGCAGTGGGTGGGGGGAGCTGGACGGCTGGCCTCTGTGCAGTGGGTCGGGGGGAGCTGGATGGCTGGCCTCTGTGCAGCGGGTGGGGGAGAGCTGGACAGCTGGCCTCTGTGCGGTGGAGGCTGGACGGCTGGCCTCTGTGTGGTGTGGGGGCTGGATGGCTGGCCTCTGTGCAGTGGGTGGGGTTGGGGGGGTGCTGGACGGCTGGCCTCTGTGCAGTGGGTGGGGGGGTGCTGGACGGCTGGTCTTTGTGCAGTGAGGGGGCTGGACAACTGCCCTCTGTGCAGGGGTCGGGGGGAGCTGGATGGCTGGCCTCTGTGGGGTGGGTGTAGGGGGAGCTGGACGGCTGGCCTCTGTGCAGTGAGTCGGGGAGGGGGGTGGCTAGACAGCTGGCCTCTGTGTGGTGGCAGGGCTGGACAGCTGGCCTCTGTGCAGTGGGTGGCGGGGGGGTGCTGGACGGCTGGCCTCTATGTAGTCGGGGAGGCTGGATGACTGGCCTCTGTGCAGTGGGGGCAGGCGCTGGATGACTGGCCTCTATGCAGTGGGTCGGGGGGCCTGGACAGCTGGCCTCTGTGCGGTGGGTTGGGGGGGCCTGGACGTCTGGCTTCTGTGCGGTGCGGGGGCCGGCCTCGGGCCGGTGGGCAGGCTGGAAGGTCAGCCAGGCCCTGTGGTGTCTTTAGTGAGAAACAGGAAATAAATCAAGGGGATGTTGTAGAAGTTTTACCGCTGCTGGTTTAGAAGTGTTTGTTTTTATTATTTGTATATAATGTGTTGTTTTCAGTCTTGCACTGGTGTTTTTAACTATCGTGTAAAGATGCAAACAGCAGGCCAGAAAACTGCCTTGATATATCACATTGGCAAAGACCAAGCGCACCCCGGACCCTAGTGGGTGAGCCGGACCCATTGGCAGTGGCCTTTGTGGTGCCTCCAGGGAGCCTCACGATGCTCACGCCTCTGACCAGTGGTTCTGCGCTCAGGGCATGACCGGAGATGTGGTCTGGGAGTTGGTTGTGTGGATGTTTGCGTTGCCAGCGTTTACAACAACAGAGGGGAACAGCCCACAGCCCAGCAGTACAATGAGGATGGTCCTTGTGATAAATGGGATGCTGTGATTAGATTGTTTCTGAATAAGCTAAAATGCTCAAAATGTGATCTTTCTTTTATAAAAAGGCCAGGTATGGTGATACGTGCCTGTAACCCCAGCACTTTGGGAGGCTGAGGTGGGAGGATCCCTTGAGCCCAGGAGTTGGAGAATGCAGTGAGCTGTGATCACACCCTCTAGCCTAGGCAGCAGAGCGAGACCTTGTTCTAAGAAATAAAAAGAGAAAAAGAAAAGACAAAGTACCAAATTATGTGTCTCATTTTCTTAAGATGTATCATTTTGTAAAAATGTTTATAGAAATACACCCAGTGGGCTGGGCACAGTGGCTCACGCCTGTAATCCCAGCACTTTGGGAGGCTGAAGCGGGCGGATCACCTGAGGTCAGGAGTTCGAGACCAGCCTGGCCAACATGGTGAAACTGTGTCTCTACTAAAAATACAAAAAATTAGCCGGTGTGGTGGTGGGCACCTGTACTCCCAGCTACTCTGGAGGCTGAGGCAGGAGCATTGCTTGAACCTGGGAGGCGGAGGCTGCAGTGAGCCGAGATGGCTCCACTGCACTCCAGCCTGGGCCACAGAGCGGGACTCCGTCTCAAAAAAAAAAAAAAAAAAAATGGAGAGAGAGAGAAACAGAGAAAAACACCCTTTGGCTCTGTGGGCGTCGGTCACCGTCCAGACCGGGTGGACGTTCGTCGGTCACCATCCAGACCAGGTGGATGTTGGATGCAAATTTCACCCGAGCTTTTTTTTTTATTTTTTCAGTTGTGTTGAGTGTCACTTTTTTAAAAAATTGACTTATGTTGAAGATGAGTTTGAAGTTGTTGGAATTATCTCAGTCCTGAGCTTAGGGCTTCAGCAAGCGAGTTGCCGTTCCGGGGGATGGGCTGGTCAGAGACCCCCGACTGAAGCACGCCTGCCCGAGGCTGCCCCAGGCGTCGTCCCCCAGAAGGAAGCACGCGGAGTGGAGTGGGGTGGAGAGCAGGCAGCAGCGGTCCCGTCTCCGCAGCAGTGCAGGCTCCTTTCCCGCTCATTTGGGCTCTTTTGTCTGAACCAGAGACACAGATTTGTAGAGCTGCCAAATTCATGCTGAAAATTTCTAACCAAAACCAATCATCTTAATTGTCTGGATTATGATATTTATTTTGTAAACCATTCTTGCTGTAAGCCATGCACACACTGTGTCACTAAATCTGCAAATGATTCCAGAGCCAAATGCAGTCCTGCACCGCGGCGTCGGGTCAACGGCGGACTTCACCTATGAGGGTTCTCGTGAGATCGTGAGAGCGTAGTTTTACTGCATCTTTTCCATGTTTAAATGTGTTTAGATTCACAAACTGTGACCGCTGTGGGGCAGTCACCCACGGTGTTCAGTGCAGCCACATGCCGTGCAGACGTGTACTGGGGAGCCGTGGGCCACGCCACGTGGCTAGGGTGTGCACTGGACACACCGAGTCGGTTCACACGAGTTCCCACGACGACAAAATGGCCTAAGGACGCGTTTTTCAGAATGTGTCCTTGTCATAAAGTGACACGTGGCTGCGTTTACACAAACTTATTCTTATGTAATAGTCAGCTGCAGAGTGGTTTAGACTGCCTTATCTTTAGGAAATGTGTCTGCCTTTAACCAGACCAGCGGTGGGGGGAGGCGGCTTTTCTTTTCTTCTTTCCTCCTCTCTCCTCTCTCTCGCTGTCTCTTCTCTGTCTCTTAACTTTCCTGGGAATCCAGTGAGCCCAGTTTTTTCACTGTGAATTTTGTTTTTGGTTTGTTTGTTTTGAGATGGAGTCTCACTCTGTTGCCCAGGCTGGATTGCAGTGGTGCAATTTCGGCTCACTGCAGCCTCCGCCTCCCAGGTTCAAGCAATTCTCCTGCTTCACCCTCCCAAGTGGCTAGGATTACAGGCACTCGCCACCATGCCCAGCTAATTTTTGTATTTTTAGTGGAGACGGGGTTTCACCCTGTTGGCCAGGATGGTCTTGGTCTCCTGACCTCAGGTGATCTGTCTGCCTCGGCCTCCCAAAGTGCTGGGATTACAGGCATGAGCCACCACGCCCGGCCATG
Source organism: Homo sapiens (assembly GCF_000001405.40). Classification (NCBI taxonomy): domain Eukaryota; kingdom Metazoa; phylum Chordata; class Mammalia; order Primates; family Hominidae; genus Homo; species Homo sapiens. The sequence continues at coordinate 79,430,686 of NC_000018.10, forward strand.
AATTTTGTTTTTCATTTGTTTCTTTTTCAATTCATAGCAAAAGATAGGTGCAAGGTGCCTGAGACGGGCACCGCCTCGCATCATCTGCGACTTTGTTTGGTGCCTGCCTGTCCAGGAGCAGGTGTGGCCACTGCAGAGGGGCCCTTCATTGCCCAGCCCTGCAGCTGCCCCCTCTCCCTTCCCCAGAAACTCACAGCTGGCCGCGAGCTCTGTGCAGAGAAGTCTTTCTCTGGAGGCTCTTGTCCTTCCTGTGTGGAGGCCTGGGTCCAGCCGCCTTTCCTTCTGCCTGGCAGCGTTAGCTGATACTGGGTGTCCATGCTGATCACCTCACGTGGGAAACAGCTCTGACAGTACAGCCCATGAAGCTGCGTCTTGGAGATTCCTCTGTCAGGGAAGCTGTCGTGGCTGAGTTGGGGTCCAGCAGGCACCCGCAGGGCCCAAAACCCCACAGAGCGGAGGTGGGTGGTGAGCCTGCCAGGTGCATCTTTGGATAAATCCATTTCTGAGTTTTCAAATTACTATGAAGCTTCCAATGTCACAAAATATGTAGTCTTGTTCTTGCTAAGGAACATTTTAGGTGTTTGTATTTTTAAAAATTACGTAGTTGATTCCATTCAAGCTGCCTCCTGGGCTTTTTCCTCTTTAAACGAGTCTTCTATTCTGCCCATCGTTTTTAGTTTGTTTGTTTTGAGACAGAGTCTTGCCCTGTCGCCCAGGCTGAAGCACATGCGATCTTGGCTCACTGCCATCTCAACCTCCCCTGGCTCAGGCGATCCTCCCCGCTCAGCCTCCTGTGTGGCTGGGATCCTCCCCACTCAGCCTCCTGTGTGGCTGGGATCACAGATGTGCACCACCACGTCCTGCTCATGTTTTTATTTTTTGTTTCGTAGAGATGGGGTCTCTCCATGTTGCCCAGGCTGGTCTCGAACTCCTGAGCTCAAGTGATCTGTTCCCCTTGGCCTCCCAAAGTTTTGGGATTACAGGCATGAGCCACTGCGACTGGCCTTGTTTTTGTTGTTGTTTGTTGTTTTTTTTTAGATGGAGTCTCGCTCTGTCGCCAAGGCTGGAGTGCAGTGGCGCGATCTCGGCTCACTGCAACCTCCTCCTCTTCGGTATAAGCAATTCTCCTCCCTCAGCCTCTCGAGTAGCTGGGACTACAGGCCTCCGCCACCACGCCCGGCTAATTTTTGTATTTTTAGTAGAGACAGGGTTTCACCATGTTGGCCAGGATGGTCTCAATCTCCTGACCTTGTGATCCACCCGCCTCGGCCTCCCCGAGTGCTGGGGTTACAGGCGTGAGCCACCATGCCCGGCCCTTGTTTTGTTTTTAAGTCACTTTGGGTTCACAGTGTGTCCTGAGGTGTGGGGGCCTTCGGGGGGCTCGGGAGGCAGTTTCCTTTAACTTGCAGATGCCCCTGCTCTGCGACTGCATCGCATGGAACCTGCCCTTCTCGAGAAGCTGCCCCGCATGTCCCATGTCTCTGGGGCTTGTACTTAAAACTGACGTAGAATGATGGTCAGCAGCTCTAGGCAATAATTGAGTCCTGGCCAGAGGGGCTGGTTCTGAAGATGGGGGAGTCACAGGCCCTGTGTGGAGGGTGACCTCAGGAGCCCCGGCCCACGGTGCTCGGGGTGAGCCTGTGTGGTGAGGACAGTCGGCGGGCCCTGGGTCTCTGCCCACACGGAGGTGAGGACGGTCGGCGGGCCCTGGGTCTCTGGCCACATAGCGGTGAGGACAGCCGTTGGGCCCTGGACTGCCTCTGCCCACGCAGGGTCTTGCACCTGATCTGATGAGCAGTGCTGGTCCAGGGAGGGTCCCACCGCATCCTCCGCCTGCCTTGGCCCCTGCAGTAGGCAGTGCTGGGGAGACAGACTGAGCGGGAGAGGAGGCTGGGCCGGGGCTGCAGCGGCCACAGAGCCTTGGCCCTCCCAGAAACGGACTCTGATGGCAGAGGCGCCGGCCTCTTGCACAGGGTGGAAGGTGGTGCCTGCGTGGATGGTGGTGCACCGGGGCAGGCCACCCCCTAGATGCAAGAACCCCTTGGGTGCACCGTGTGGCCCCCAGGAGTGTTGAGACAGTCTGCCTGGGCCTCCTACAGAACACAGTTGGGAAGACACGCCGAGGGCACGGGCAGGACCTCACCTTAGCCTTTCACACCAAACATTCATCTCCTGAAAAGACAGGGGCCGTGGGGCCCCCAGCTGGGCTGTAGGCTCTGAGGACAGCCCCAGCACCTGTCACCCGCCAGGTCATGCAGCTCGTGTCCCTCTGTGCAAAGTAACCGAACAGCCTCCCACAGCCCTCACCGTCGTACCCCGCCCTGCTGCGTTTGCTCCCACCGCCCTCCATGGACGCCGTGTCCCTCCTCCTGGCCCTCAGTCAGGGCCTTCTGTTTGTCTTGCAGCAATCATGGAATTTGGGGGCTGGCGGCGCTGCGCACATCACAACTTCCAAACCCACTATTTTATAAAGGGCCCAGTCAGTCACCTGTCTCATGGCAGCCACACAGCTGGTTCATAGCGAGGAGAGGTTTGAGCTTCCTGGTTCTTAGGCCACAGCCCATCCCTCTTAGATTTTAAAACAGATTTTCAATGAGTTCTAAAACCTGTCTTACTGGAGGGTTAAGTAACTGATAGAAGCCTGTCATGAAGGAAGAGAAGCGTGTTAAGGTTGTGCTTGGAAAATGTTTCCATCTTAGAGAACTGGCCGGGCCGTGGCCACAGGTCACGATGAGTAAGCACTGCATTGACACAGGCTTCTCCATCTCCATGTCAGGACGTGCACTCGCCGATGAAGTGTCCACCCAAGATGGCGACGGGTGAGCACGGGCACGTGTGGCCCGGGCGAGGTCTGTGTGGTGCTGAACGCCTCCTCTGCTCTGTTCCCTTCCAGCCCGACCCTGCCCGCCCTGGACTGGCAGCTGCCGTCCCACTCAGGCCCGTATGAGCTTCGGATTGAGGTGCAGCCCAAGTCCCACCACCGAGCCCACTACGAGACGGAGGGCAGCCGGGGGGCCGTGAAGGCGTCGGCCGGAGGACACCCCATCGTGCAGGTAGGCACTGCGGCCAGACTCGCACGTCACTTGGTGCTTTTGTGGTCAAAAAGTAACTTTGGAGCCACAGCTAACTGTGCTTAGACTCTCCCAGCCAGGCCAGCTGAATGCTCTGTCGTGGTTAGTCCCGGGCGGCTGCTCACCGCCTCTGAGCTGGAATGGGAGCATGCCACAGCTCCTCCTGCTTCCACACGTGCAGGCCCTCTCTCGTTGTTTTCAGATTTGCCCGAAGCAGCTCTCGTATCCGTGGATGCTGCCTGTGGTGTGGATGTTTTGGGGGTTGATTCTCCCCTCTCTAAAGCCTCTGAACTTGGAGGCAGGAGTTCTCACCAGCAGCACCAGCCTCGCCTGGTGGGGGACCCTCAGAAATGCAGGTTCTGTGGCCCACCCAGGCTTGCAGGATCCCATACTCTGGGCTTGGGTGCTGGGGGGCACCAGGGCTCAAGGTGCTCCCCGAGGAGAGGAGGAGTGGCTTCCAGAGCGGGCCTGGGCCTGGCAGCCACATCCCTGCCGGGGTAGGCCTGGGCCTGGCAACCCTGCAGCCGCGTCCCTGCTGGGGTGGGCCTGACTCCCCCGGGCTGTGGTGTGGCTTCCTCACCTTCCTCACACCTTGCGGGAAAGCCACGTGGAGTTAGGCTGTCGAGGGAGGGGTGTAATGACCGCGCCAGGGACGGGCAGCGTCTGCACAGAGCCATGCTCCCTCTGCACCCCAGGTGTTGATGTGGATCCCGGGTAGCCGTGGGTGTTGGCATTTTCTTCGTTCCACCTGTTACCTCGTCAGCTATAGGCCCCAGGCCCTAGATCTGCTGCTTTGGCAGCCACAGAGCAGCAAGTGTGTCCAGCCCCAGGGCTCCAGGCTACGCGGCAGCACAGAGGATGTTTTCCGAGCACACCCCAACAGCAAAAAACCGGGTGCCCCAGCCCCGTTATTTAGGGAATGATGCAAGCCGGAAGGGGTGTTCAGCAGAGTGCCTCGTATTTTTATTTTCTTCCATTTAGATAAATAGTGGAGAGAAGGTGGCCGCAGGGACAAATGGCTGTTTGCCAACGCAGCAGCCGGCGGCAGGGAATTAGCGGGCAGGGCGCTGGGGTGAGGCGTTTTCGCCAGCACTTGCAGATGATGTTAATGTGATGTTTGTGGCCTGTGTGCTTGATGCCAATTAGTACCTCCCTCGTTGGTGCTTGAAGCAAGGAAATGCGGGAGACACCTGAGCGCACAGTGGCCCGTTTGACATTTAAAGTCTCCACCCTCCCAGGTGGGAAAGGTCAGACAGCGCTGCACCACGCTCCGTCACTGCAGGCCTGCACCTCCCCATCCCTGCCTCGGTTTTTACTGACCGAAAGCTTGTTATTGCTCAGTGGGAAGGATATTAGATAGGACAAGAAACGAGGCTGTGAAAGGAGGAGTGGAAATAAAGCAATAGAGAAATAATGGCCCAGTCCACCCTATTTGCTGTAAATTATGTCGGTGAGGGGCACTGACGTCGCCCTTTTCACTGTATCTGGATGAGGGGCGGGTGTAGGAATCGAGGCTGTTACTTGGAGGGTAAAGCAGGACCATGAGTGTGGAGAGAGCTCTGAGGTTTCTGTTTGTTTTGTTTTTTGGTTTGTTTGTTTTTTTTTTTTTTTTGAGACGGAGTCTCGCTCTCACCCGGGCTGGAGTGCAGTGGTGTGATCTCAGCTCACTGCAACCTCTGTCTCCTGGGTTCAAGTGATTCTCCTGCCTCAGCCTCCCGAGTAGCTGGGACTACAGGCAGCCCTGGGTTTTAATGGATGTATTTTCACCTGCCTGTGAGTAGCGCCGGTGCCTGGTGCCGCCCGTCTCTGCGGACACAGCTCAGTGCTTGGGTACTCTCCCTGCGTCTTCTGGAATCTTCTGGAATCCCGTCTCTGGTTCTGCCATCTGGGTGTCTTGGGCTGAGGGTGCAGAAATCTATCAATACAGATGCCACTGAGAGGATCCAGGTGTTCTGGAGGACTCAGGAAACTTGAAACAGTAATTAAAAATATCTTTAAAATGTACCCTCAACAATTATTCCAAATCAAGTGGCCCGTGTGTGCGCAGCAGCGACACGGGAGAGGCTGGCTCTGCGTTTCCACAGAAGGAGCCCTTTCCATTGAAACGCGGGAGAAAACGGTCCCCTGCACGGAGAATGTCAGGAGCTGTCAGCATATCTCATTTGTAGAAATTAGTAATTTAAAGAGTTTTGTGATGTATCTGTGGCAGAGTGGATTTCTGTCTCTGCAAGTGTGAGGTAAAAGCAGCTAAAAAGAGGGGGTTTTGGGGGTTAGTTTTCTCTTTCAGTTGGTGGACCACAAATTGGATAAAAATAGAATTTGTGCATAATTTAAAAACAAACGAGAATAGAAAGCTCTCAGTTGCCGTGGAAGCTCCTCGTAACCGCAGACGTGCCCTCGGTGCCGTCGGGTTATTTTAGTACATCCTTTGACGCGGCCCCTTTCCCGCTTTTCAGAAACGAGGCTCATCGCACTGGCCTGGGGGCGCGAGGACGAGGCCGTGGGTAGTGGGCGCTGCGGGCGGCTGGTCAGAGCCACTGGGAGCCGTTGGGAACAACTGGCGCGGGAGTTTCCTGCATTTGAGAAATGCTGTTCTCTTCGTTGTGAATCGTCTGTCCGCTGCATCTCAAAAAGCTTGTCCAGAAAATTAAAGCCCGCTGTCTCCTGCAGTGCAGCTGAGCCCTGGAGGGTGGCGGGGGGCCGGGGGATGTGGGTGTCAGCTCTCGCGGCCAGGGGCACGCTGTGCCCCCGCGCCCGGTATCCCCGTCCTCCCGCACCCGGCGTCCGCGTCCTCCCACGCCCGCTGTCTCCGTCCTCCCCATCCCCATGTGTTTCGCAGTTGGGAAGTGAAGCACGTGAGCAGAACGCAGCACCTTCTCTCCAGGAAGCATTCGGAGCATGGACTCTGGGTTAGGAAAGGGTGTTTGCTCCTCTGGATAGGTGCTCGCTCTTACTTGTGGGTGCTGAGGGGCGTGAGGGGGTCCGGCATCCGGGTACCTGTGGGCGCTGAGGGGCGTGAGGGGGTCCGGCATCCGGGGCTTCTCCCATTTAGGGCCTTTCCTTCAGAGGGAAGGAGGCCAGCCCCCTCCAGTGAGCACTGAGCGTGCCCCCTGCCGTCTCTGTGGGGATGTCATTGTTCCCACGCCGGGGAGAGACCACCCCAGGCCAGCCCCTATTCTTCTGGCCACATTGCCATGATCACACCGTCCGCACCCTGAGGCCACCCCCATTACGGCTGCCACGGCGCTAAAAACACCAGCATCAAAGCAACAGGGCCGTGGTTTAGCCTGGAAGAGCGGGGCCCTGGAGCCGTCTGCGAGGGGGTCTGGGTGGTTCAGGATGGCCGGCAGCCCCTGGTGGACGTGGTCCCTGCGGGGTCTGGCGGGACCTCGGCCATGGTGATGGGTGCGCCCCCTCTGCAGGGTGGGGCCTGCGGGTAAGGACAGTCCCGCCCCCTGTGCGTGTGAGGGGATAGTGGAGAGAGGGGTCTGGCGTGGGCCTCACTGCTCCTGGGAAACCAAAGATGAAGACGCCTGCTTAGGACTCACCTTGCCCTGGTAGAACAAGTGACTCAGACAGAGCCTCCCAGAGGCTTCTGGCCAGGCAGGGAGTGACCAGCAGCGCAGCCAGCCTCAGCTCCTGCCCACACAGCCCCCTTGTCACCGGCTCCTCCTGCCCCTGCTCCAGCACCTTGGCCACCAGTTCTCGGTGGGCCGGTCTGGATCTGCCGATGCCGGGACCTCGCCAGGCCGCTGGTTGCAGGGGAGGCTGAGGGGGCGTCCGCCTGCTGTCTGCTTCTCACCAGCATTTCCAGTGAGGCATGAAAGTGATGCGTGGCGGATGTTTCCCTCTGGCCTCAGCTTTCCCCCAAATCCCAGCTCACACTGAGTGTCCTGATGGTGGCACCTCGGGCAGCCGCCACCCTCTGCCCTCCACCCTCTGCCCTGACGGCAGGCTCTGCCTGAGGGGGAGGGTCTCTCTGTACACACAGTCTCCTCACCCTGGAGGGCCTGCTCTGCTCTCAACGGAGCTGGAACCAGGAGTTCGCGAGTGCTCTGGGTGGCTGCTGGCTTTTCTCCTTGTCTCACCTCCTCATCCGCACACAGCCTCTGCCCTCAGCGCTGCTCACCTCGGTATGTAGGCAGCCGGCATCAGGATGGTCTGGGGTGAGACAGGCAGTGTTCTTCCCCTTCTCTGGCCAGGGAGGGTGGAGAAGCACCCGGGCACAGCCATTGAGGCCTTTTCGTGCAACTCATTGCCTTTCTGGGCGTGAAGGTGGAGGCTGGTCCTCCACCTGCGTGTTCTCCATCTGGGGGACTGTGGTCCCGGAGGAGACCTGGAGTCCGGCTCCCCGCTCCGTCCGAGGAGGAGCTGAGCGGCGTGAGCAGTGCCCGCCCTGGTCACTCTGCCTTGCTTTCCTCCTCTCTGTTTCTGGTTGTGCCTCCTTCCTTCCCTCCTGCTCTCTTTGCCGTGGACTGCAGCCCCCTCGCCAGATGTGTTCCTCACATGAGTCAACCCGTCCTTGGCCTGCGTCCTCCACTGCTCGTGGCAGCTACACTCTCCCGGAGGTGGCCGGGAAGGGCCCAGGGCCTTGAGAAGATGTCTTTGCAGCACGTCCCCGGCCCTCGGCCTCCACCTCCATGGCACCCACCATCCCACGGGGGCACGTGGACCTCTGTGGGATATAGCCTGACCTCTGACCCAGGGGTCAAATAACTCAGGTCTGTTTACCAAGTCACCAAAATAACCTGCCCGATAGCATCTCACCCATCACACGGGAGGCCGGGCTCGTGTGAATAATTAATAGGTCACTGGAATGTGAAACGAGAAGCCTCGGCCCGTTCTGAAACAGCATTTTAGGTTTGCAGCTTATAATATTGTCAGTTAGGAGAAGGGCCAACTGAGTCTGCAAAGAGGTGAGGGCGGGTGGTCTGGGATCCTGCCTCAGCCGCGCGGGTGAGAGGGGCGGGCGGGTCAGGCGAAGACTCAGAGTCAGGAGGCCAGACTGGCCCCAGGGAGGGCTCCTGGCCATACCCCAAGCTCAGGACGCAGGGTGGGGCGGGCCCGCTGGTGCCCACAGTGGCCTTGGTGGGCCTCTCCTTCCATTGCCCAGCTTGTAGGTCAACTTTGCCTCCACAGATCCGTAACAGACGTTTTTTCTGTCATGTAAGAAACTTGACAGCTGAAGACCAAGGAGTGGAGCCTCCCGTGAGGCAGCTCTTCTTTTCCGGTTGTTAAAATGCGCGTCGGGCCAGTGGTTCTGACTAATTCTCACTTTGTGTGGTACCTTCAGCTGGCAGGGGCTCGGGGAGTGTTCAGTACCGTGAGGAGCAGGTTCCTGAGAGCCCGTGAATACCGTGGACAGATTACCACAGCACGCACTGTTCCACGCAGGGCCTCATCCACGCTTTCTTAAGTGGTTTGCCACACACAGGAGCTCCTGGTTCTCCATGTCCCCTGCCAGGCAGGGCTGTTAAACTGGAAAGCCGGGGAGGGACGTCGCTGGGACACATTGTTATCTGATCAGAGCTCCGAGGCCCCACCAGGAGCTGTGCTATTGCAGAACCTCAAACAGCAGCCGCTCCGGCCCCGCCCCAGGAGCCACGCAGAGGCCCACGCACGGGGAGGACGCCGTGGGGTGGAAACTAAAGTGCAGGTCTGACCACAAAACCACACGCCACGGCACCGCTGCTGCCAAATGCCGGAGGCCTGCAGGAGGCACGGATTAATTTTTTATGAGTCTGCCTTGGAACCTAGACAACAGCCCTCTCCTCTTTCAGCACAATTTCAGGGCGAATGACCGTCACTTCCCTGGACTGCTAAGCGCATAAACGCACAGGGAATTTCCTAGTTCCACATACGCCGTTGTTCCCGCAGCCCATGCAGCTGGGAGAGCACACATGGTTGCCGTCGGGCTGTGTCTGTTTTCCCAGGAGCAAGAACTCTCAGAAGTGCAGTGTTGAAGCCCGAGCCTTCCCCGTGTCAGCTTTTATGATGAACGAGGATTCACCATTTATTTCTCCCCTAAAGCAAAGCCCACGGGCTCTGTTTTGAGCGATGGGGACAGATGCTCGGTGCTGCTGGGAAGGTGTTCACGGGGCAGATTCGCTGTGTCAGGAGACCAACGTGGAATGAGGTCGGCCCAGCCAGTCACTGCTTAAAAACAGTAATGACAATATTTGAGAAAATGGGTGGAATTTTGTGGAGATTTACTGGCACGGGGAAGGCGTGTGGCCTCTGGCAGGTCTGCGACACTGATTTCTAACTACCTGTTCCACAGCTCCACTGCCTGGAAAAACTGGCAAAAATGTGGCCTGGGTCTCCTGACAGGCCTGGCCATTGGAGTGGGGGTGTGCAGCTGAGACAGGAAATACGAGGCGCATGAGTGTCCCCAAGCCCAGATCCTCAGCCTCCAAAATCTTCTATTAGTAATTTCAGAGCTTTGGCTTCTTGGTGCTTTGGGAAAATTTAAGATGACGCGTGGGCTCTGGCACGGCCGTTGCTAGTGACCTCTCCTAATAGCGCAGAAGGGCCTCCCAGGAGGCTTTCCTAGGTAGAGAGGGGTCTGCACGCCCACTGGAACATGCTCTATCCCAGCCTCAGAAAACCCACATTTGGTGCAGGTGGGACAGGAGGAGTGGACACGTCACCTGGAGACCACATGAGAAGCGGCCATCTGCAGCAGCAATCACCCCGTGGGGAGGCGGCGCCCTGGCAGCTCTCATGTGGGGCCTGGTCCTTCCTCGCTGCCTGAGCAATGGGCCCTGCTTCCCCGCAGACACCGTGGTGCCCCTGGGCCACACCCAGCAGGTGTCCAGTGACCGAGGGTGGTGTTGGCCATGGCAGGTCCCTGCCCGTTTCTCCGAGGACCTGGGGCTGTGACCCAGCTGGGTTCTCCCGGGAAGGAGCGGCCACTGTCTGCACTGTCCAGTGCTGAGGGTGGCAGCCATTTCTGAAGCCTCCCAGGTTTGTGCCCTGCTGTGTCTGAACAGCTCCGGAGTGCAGGGTCTCTGTGTCAGTGCCGGTTCTAAGAGGAACGAGATGTGGTTTCAGAGACACTCCTCTTCTCTGAGGAGCTGCTGGGCGGGACGGCTGCTTGCTTTCTTTGTCTGTGACGTTGGTGGCTGTTCCTTGCCCAGGCCCTGCCCAGGCCAGACGTGGGAGTGGCGGCTGGGAGCACCCATGGGCGTGTGCCCGTCTGGGCTGGGCTCGTGTCCGTGGACCTGCCTCAAGCCACACCTCCCTCCTCCAGGCAGGACACCGGGCCTTGTCTGTGGACAGAGGCGCTTTGCTGGGAACAGCACAGATGGCCCCTGGGCCCTGCGGAGCCGAGACGCACCATCATACACACTTGGAGCACATAGACTGACCAGGTCTCACCCTGCGAGGCTCCCTGAGGCCATGTCCTAGGGAAATAGAAGGTTTCACCCGGAGATTGGGGAGTGCAGGGCTGTGGCGCTGCAGGGTGCGGGCCCTGAAGGAGGGGCAGGGGTGCTGCTGGATGGTGGCTCTTCCACCCCAGGATTCCTCGGGCCCTTCACCCCTGTGTGTCTGGACTGGGTATCGCTGTAGCTGTCGGGCTCTGGAGGTGCACATGGCTGCTGGGCGGGCAGCGCTCCTGGGCCTCTCTCCCCCGTGATTTCGGTTTTGATGTGTTTGAGCCACTGACCAGCAGGCTTAGGGGCCATTCTGGAGCTGGGAGGGCTTGTGGGGGAGGCAGGATGAACAGGGGCTGCTTGCCGGTCCTCAGGCCACCCTGCCAGCTCCTTGATGTGTCTCCCTGAGATCAGCCAGGGCATCCCGGCTGTGGGTGGGCTGTGACCTGAGCCCGTCAGGCCCTGCTGGGGTAGACTGGGGAGAAGTGCTGAGCGGAAACCACCTCACTTCTGACAAATGACAAGCGCTCCTGCCGCTTGGTGTCAGGCGACGCGACTCTCAGTGGCACGGATGTCTCTAGAAGGTTGCCGTTTCTCCCTTCGTGGCCGTGGGCTGTGGATTCTGTGTGCTTCTGGCCCTGGGGTCACGGGGTTGCGGCGTTTCCCACTTGCCTGTTTCAGGAGTTGCATTCTAGATGATTCTCTCTCCATAGAAGGTCGAGGTTTCTCAGCATGGATTAATTGATTAGATTTAATTAAATCTAAACGTGGTGTTTCCGGGCAGAATCTTCTTCAGCCAAAGTGAGCGTGGCCGTCTCTTCTCTGGGCGCTTCCAGGTGCGTTGGGGCCCCTGCACCCTCCACGTCAGTGCCCTGGCTCCGTGGCCCTGTCGGTGCTCTGGTGAGTCTGGGGTTCGTGCCGAGCGCCATTGCCTCCAGGTCGAGGTGGGAAGCGCGCTGGTGGGGCAAGGTGGTCCCTGCATGGCACAGGTTGGGAGAGCAGCCGGGAGGGCAGCGGGCCGAGGCGGTGGGGGAGGGCACCAGTTCTCCACGGCAAGCACGGCCTCTGGGGCTGCTCTTCCGGAGAGACGTGGAGACCCGCGTGCACGTGTGGAGACTGGCACGTGTGAGGGGCCCACAGGTGTGGCCGGGCGGCCTTTCTCCTCCCCACCTCTGTCCACCCTCGCCGAGGCGTCGGTCCTGCTGAGCAGCCTCTGCTGCCTTCGTGCAGGTGACAGCGCACGTGCCATTCACGGGCGCCATGTCTCCAAGAAGAGGGGCTCCTGCCGCGTGCCTGTTCTGGGGTTGCCACTCAACATCCTTCCAGCACCTTCTCTGGGCTTCCGGTTTGAATGATCTTTCTCCAAAGTCGGCGGAAGGGGCTAGAAAAGTAGGGACCTGGGAAGAAAGCCCAGACACCTTGGAGCCGGGGTCCGGGAAACAGGCCCTGGCAGCTCAGCGCTGCTTCTCTGGAGTGGGGATACAATGTTGGTTCACAGACGTGCGGTGGCGGCGGCGGGTGGTGGCAGCAGTGTGCGGTTGTTGGCGCCACGTGCTCACGCTGGGTCCCTCCTGGGGAGCTTCTGCTCCGGCGGGCCACGCCTTGCTGTAGCCTGCAGGTCATCTGGTTGGTGTCTGGGGGAGGTCTGGGGCCCCAGCCCGGAGCTCAGCTCTGAGCATCAAGAAACCCGAGTTTCTCCCCACTCCCACCCAGACAGCTCCCCACTCCCACCCGGACAGCTCCCCACTCCCACCCGGACAGCAGCAGCTGTGTTTGGAAGGGGACACACCAGAGCTTCCCTTGTAGCAAGTGAGGCACGCTCAGCTGGAGCCTGGCAGTCCTGCAGCTCCGCCTGCCCCCTTTTGAAAACCAAAAATCCCAAGAGACTTATGTTGAAACAGCCCTTCCCGGTCAGGACTGAGCCTGTGGCTGAGTGCAGTTTTTCAGTCGCGGCTGGAAGGTCCCTGTGCGGGGCGGCGAGTCCCTCTAGATTTGCTTTACAGCCACAAATTCAGTTTTATCTGTGGATCTGAACACGATCTATGAATCACTAGGAAAGCAACTGTGTTCACGGGAAGGATTCTCAGAATTGAGCTGACACTCCGTGGTGTGAACTCAGTATTGTCAGCTTGTGCACCGCGCGTATGGACACACACCTGCACGCACTGTCACACACACTTGCCTCGGGCCCCCACACACACCGCCCTGAGAGCTAGGAAGACGAATCGGTCAGTCACACGGATTCTGCAGACAGCTTCCTTCACCAGGCATGGTAGTGAGGGCAGCGCCCACTACTCACCCAGGGCCTCTCGTGCAGGAAACTGCATGGACACGTCGTCCTGTTCCTGTCATGGGAAGGGGCCTGGAGCCGTCCCTCGGGGGGTGGGGAGGAGCTAGTTTCCCAGTCGGCGCCCGTGCATTCACCGGTCTGAGAATCCACTCAGCAGGCTTGCTATGTAACCTCCGCCGTTCAGGCCTCAGCATGCAGCAAGCCCGTGGGGTCCCGTCTGCCCAGCCTCTGCCTCGGTTCCTGCCGGGCACATGGACGCTTCCCTTGAATCCTTCTGCCGACGGCATCTGTGGGAGGGCAGGTACGATCGATCCTGGTCCTGTCCCCCTAGCCCTGGGCGGGTGTCCCGGCACCTCCAGGCACAAGGCCCCTTCCCCAGGCTGCCCAGAGACCCCAGCCCCGAGGTGCTGGTCCGCCCACCCTCTCTGGGAAGGGCTGTGCCACATGGCGAAAGCTGCTGTGGGTCCTGGTACCTGGTGTCCCTGCCTGCCAGGGCTCATGATGCCAACAGTGCCAGGTTTGTGGGATTTGGGGGTCAGGAGGGCCTGGCCCTGCTCCTGCAAGGCCGAGATCTGTTCCCTTGGAGGGTTGAGGGAGTGTTGGCTGTAGGGTTCCTGGAGGCCTCTCTCATGCACTCTGGGTCTGTCAGGAGGCTGGCAACTGTGGCCAAACAGGTAGAAATAAAACCTGAAATGAGAAAAAAACTTTTTTCTAGAACTTCCCAGAGAGCAGTGAGCTGGTGCCAGTGGGTCAGAGGCTTGTCACATGTGGTGTGTGTGTGTGCGTGTGTGTGTGCACGCTCTGGGGGGGTGTGCACATTTCCCAGTGTGGCTGTGCGTGTGTGTGTGCCCACGTGTGTTCACAGAACACCAGGCTTTGCCCCGACTCCTGGCTCAGGCCTGAGTCTCCAGCCATGGCGTCCCCGTTCCTCCCGTTCCTTCTCTGCACTGCACACTGGGAACCAGGACAAGAGGTGTGCGGCGTCAGGCTGTGTCCTTCCCCCACCCACCCCGAGCCCACGCTGCTCTGGAGGGAGACCCCAGCTTCCCCCGCCTACCCCGAGCCCTCGCTGCTCTGGAGGGAGACCCCAGGCCCCTCAGGCCCTTTCCCGCATCTGAAGGGGCCAGGGCAGGGCGTCCGGCAGATGAAGCTGCCCCTTAAAGCCAGGTCTGGGCCGGTTTACAGGGAAGCACTGCTCACGTACAACCTGGCAGACCACACCAGCGCCGCACACACAGGCACCCCTGTGGGCACCCACGTGCCCGACCCCGCAGACCACACCGGCACTGCACACACAGGCACCCCCGTGGGCACACACGTGCCCGACCCCACAGACCACACCGGCGCTGCACACACAGGCACCCCCGTGGCCACACACATGCCTGCACACGCACACTTCTGGTGCACACGCCCACACTCACGGAGGCTTCTGCACACCACACAGCCAGCAGGTGAGGAAGTGGACGCTGCGTGGCTGTCTCTTGGTGGCTTCACCTGGAATGTCACCGTGGACCCCAGAGCCCGAAGCCCCGGCAAGCACAGAAATCACACCGGCAGCCTGTCCCACTTCGGGCAGGTGAGGCCTGGCTGAGAAAAGGGGGAAGGAGAGGGAGGATGCGGGGGTGTGTCCTGGTCCTCCACCCGTTTCGGGTTTGGGGTGCTCCCTTCGACTACTGGCTCCATTTTTGATGTCTTTTACTTTTGTTTCGATTTTTCCTGGTATCTTGAGTAAAGTCTCCCTGGAGCATCAAATTGGATTTTTCTTACAAGTACCGTGTGCTGTTGACTCATCTGCTTTGGTGTGCCGTGGGTCACGTGGGCCTGGGCTGTGGGTAAGGTGGGCCTCGTTCCTGCAGGAACACCTGGCTCTGCAGCAGTGGCTGCCGTATCATCCTGGCCAGGCCCCTGTACCGAGGGTGGAGCCACGGGGTCTCTGATGCCTTCCTTCTCGTGCTTTGGTGGAGAATGTGGCTGGACGTCCTCCCATGACAGATGCACTCTCCTGCCTGGTTCCCTGGCCCCGGGCCCAGCCCTGAGAGACGCACCACGGCCTTCACCTGGAAGTGTCACCTCTGGCTGCTGTTGTGGGTGATGAGGATTCCAGGGCTGAGAAGAGGACCCTAGACGCTGTTCACACAGCGTGGCAATCTCTCAAATTAATCCAGCATGGGGGGAATCGGGGTTGAAACCGGTTTGTGAGCCGGATTTTCTGTCCCTGTGTACTTCCTTGGGGCAATTTGAAAAATGCAGATTTTACTCGTAGGCCCTAAATGGATAATTTCCCTTTAGGCTGACGGCTGCTCCTGTGCCCTGCCTGGAGAGAAGCCTGACTCCAGGTCGCCTTGGCTCCGTTTCTGTGCAGCAGCTCAGACTATGGGGTGGAGGGTGAGACATTCCCACCCGTGAGCTGCCTCTGTCCACCCCACACCTCCCTCCCCTGGGTGCACGCAGCTGAGTTCCACGTTGAATAAATTTGGCCTCAATCATCCACTACCCACCATGTCACCGTGTAAGTGCTGAGGTCAGCACAGGAGCTAAAAACAAACATTGTAACGTGTAGGAGACTCAGTAGCTCTTATACCTCGGCAGTGGAATAAGAATAATACATTTTGTTTAGTTAAGGTTGAGGCAGAGGGAGGTCATTGTTGTGACAGGGAATTTTATAAATAGGATTCTGACAGGTTCTGTACTGTGCCAGAGGCAGAAAGCCCATGCAGTGGGGCCCGTGACGTATTTAAATGACTTTTCTTAAAATGAACTTCATGTTTTAAATAATAGATGTTTACCTCCCAGGTGAAACCTTAAATATTCCCATTTTCACTGAAATGGCATGTTTTTTAAAGGATACAGTCATACCCCAAATTCACAGCATTCCACACACCATCAGAGAACTGCCACAGGGATCCTGGGGGAATTTTAAATTGTAGTTTTAAGACCACGTGACCCTGGAGCTGCCCCGGTGCCCCTCCCCCACCCCCCGAGGTGGTTTTGGTCAGCGACTCATTTACATTTTTTTCTATGTAAATTAAATTTTTAGGTATTAAATCTCGGAAAATGGAATACTGCGTGGCAGAATCCGCCTCTTAATCTGCTTTTCTTTTTACATTTCCCATCATAAAGATGTTTGAGTCCCACAGAGAGTTAAGGTATCTCGGGAAGTTCATTAACTTGGCAAACGGCTGGAGTCTCTCTTCCGAGGAGCTGAGGGCTGGACAGGCAGGTCCCAGCGTCCCCCGTCCTGACTGTTTGTGTGGAGACACTCATGTATTCATATGGGAAGGGGGGCTCTATTGGAAAGGGAAGGGCTTTTTGTTCTGCAGAGTTACGTGGTCTTAGCAGTAATCACTTTGGAGTGGGCTGCTGGTGGCCTTGGGTGCAGAGACTCCTGTGGGCATCTGCGCACATGGGGGCTGTGTCCTCATCCCTGTCTGTGGCTTCCCCACCGTGTTCCCACGTGATGCCTTCGTTCAGCCTCTGGCTTTGTGTTTCAGACCCCAAACGCCCCTTCGATGTCTCAGCTGGGACCTGGGTCCCGGCTCAGCCTCACGCGGCGTCCCAGTCCCTGCCCATCAGTCTGGGCCTCACGGTCAGGCCCTCAGTGACAGCAGCCGTCGCTTCACTGTGGCCTCGTCCCTGGAGGGCTCTGAGTTCAGCCGTCGCTTCACTGTGGCCTCCTCCCTGGCGGGGCTCTGAGTTCAGCCACCGGTGAGATTGGTTTGTTCTTTACTGTGGTGACCACACGGCGGCTGAGGCTAAGCTGGAGCCACGGAGCAAGGGCCGCCTCTTCGCCTGCCCGGGCCCCTCTAGCCCCATCTTCCCTCTGCCCACTGACATCTGAGAATCCGCCGTCCCCTGGCCCGGGCTCCCCCGCCTTCTCCCTCGCCTCGCTGGCCCTGAGTGGGCAGCAGGCATCTGCGTGGTCAGGGGCAGGCGTCGCATTTTCCTGTGGCTGGAACGTGCCTGCAGGAGCCCAGGCCTGGACTCTGCACGTGGTCATCGTGCTGCAGTTGCCGTCTGTGGTCAAAGATTTTAAAGTTAGTTTAGTGAGAAAATCGACTCCAAACGTGATCAGAGGGGTCGACGCGTCCCAGGATGAGTGGTTCCCGGGGCTGGGCGTTGCCACGGGCCTTGCATGGATTTTGCTGATGAATCTCAGGGCTCTGAGGCTGGCGCTCATCGGGCCCCACTTGGGGGATGCAGAAGGGAAGGCACTCTGAACGAGGGGCCCTGTGGGAGGCCCCACTGCGCAAAGGGTTTGACTCCTGCGGCCTCCCTCAAGGCCTTTGTGCTTGCTTTGAGAATCAAACGTTCCTGTTCCAAACCAAACTTGCCTCTTGCATATGGAATCAGACTATAGTGATTGTAAATGGTAGCGTTAAAGATAAAAACAAACAGTTCTAAAAATGACTCACTGCTGAAGGCGGAACCACGCGTGGTGCAGAGAAGGAGGGTGAGAGGGAACGGCACCACACTCTGTGTTTACCTCTCAAGACGCTGATGAGCAACTCATCCCACAGAACAGCTGGTCCTGAACATGTGTGTGCCCTGCCGTGAGGCGCACACCTTCCCAGAGGCGTGAGTGGGGCCCGGCCACTAGTGTCCTGGCGGAAGCACCGGGGCTGCTCCATTTGTCTGGAGTCCTGTCCCAGTGGTGTGGGTTTTGAGTCTCACCCACACGGCGCCGGCCGAGAAGCCATGAGCGGCTCTGCAGGGTGGTGCGGACTATAGACACCTCCATGCATGGTTGCCCTAGGCAGTGTCTGCCGCCAGCGTCTGCCTCTGGACACTAGCTGCTCAGCCACCAGGACGGCGTTGAGCGCTCCCCTGCCTCTGCAGGAGGAGAGGGGCAGGGAGCCATCAGGAAGGGTGCTGGGGCCTGGGGCCCGTCGTGCTGTGTGTGTGCAAACGCAGTGTGGCGTCCCCTGATCAGGAGTGGGAGCTGCGCGCTGCCCGGTTCCAGGTTAATGGAACACAGGAAGGTGGGTCATGTCCTGCGGGGCCTCATCTGGATTTATTGGTGAAGCGAGCCTTGCACATGGCTCAGCGAGGGCTCCGCTTTCCTGCACACGCCCCCTGCCAGCTTCACTGTGGCCTCAGAATGGGCACACACAGCAAGTGTGGATGCATACGTGCAAGGCCCGTTTCAAAGCCTAAAACTCAGTGCCCAGGTCCATTGGGATAACAAGGCATTTTCTAATCTGATTTACAAAGACACCAGTATGACATGGCAGAGAAATAAAAAGGGGGCAGGGCAGGGGGACACAGGCCTCGAACCCGCCGCAGGTTTTCTCTGCGTTCCGGTGACTCCCGGCGGTCTGTGCTCTGGGTGCTGAGCAGGTGTTTTCTGTTCTCTCGCCAGCTGCATGGCTACTTGGAGAATGAGCCGCTGATGCTGCAGCTTTTCATTGGGACGGCGGACGACCGCCTGCTGCGCCCGCACGCCTTCTACCAGGTGCACCGCATCACAGGGAAGACCGTGTCCACCACCAGCCACGAGGCCATCCTCTCCAACACCAAAGTCCTGGAGATCCCACTCCTGCCGGAGAACAGCATGCGAGCCGTGTAAGCCGCGGGGGACCTCCGGCCTCTGGCAGGGGGCGGTAGGAGGGGGCGTGCCTCCCTCCCAGTCCCGGGGGGTCTGGCCAGCCCCCCGCACTTCCAGGCTGCGTGGCCAGGACACTTTTGGTTTAACAGCCAATAAGTAAACTTCACTCTTGCTTTTGACAATGGATTTGCTTCTCTCTAGGGTTTCAGCCCTGTGTATATTGCCACTTAAAATGTCAGATATGCAGCTATAAATACCTCCCTCTGCATTTAGCTTCTAAACAGGACCCCTATTTCTTTCCGAATACAGCAGTGTAATGAGAGGATGGTTAAAACGTGAGCATCAAAAAATTAAAGCAGTCAGCACATCTGGATCACGTTGACCTTTAGGAGGTTCCGACAACACGGATAGGCCTGTGCTGATGTTCTGAGTCTAATTTGACACTGTAATTTGTTTAAAAGTGAATTTTTTAGTAAGGTGAGGACGAAACATGTAACTTCCAAATAAGGCCTTACTCACTTAATCCTAGCTTGTGCTGGGCACGCTGGCCCTAACCTGTGAAGGCAGCCGAGGAGGAGGACTGCTGGTTCCCGAGAGATTGATGTGGTACTGTGGGGGGAACCGAAAACAGACACATCTGTGGGTGAATGAGTGCAGGTTGAGCTGGGACGGCTGGAACGTGCAGACCAGCAGGATGGAGCCAGGCCGGAGGGCAGGGACGGCGTCCTGCGAGGGTGACCCGCAGGCTGGGAGCCCGTGTGATGGGGAAGCTGTGTGTGGGGTGCCCCATCCAGGTGGAGCCCCGGGGGTGGGTGCAGAGGTCCTGGGGCTGCAGGAGTGGGGAGGAGTCCCGCACGGTGAGGGAGAGCGTGTAGGAGATGGCGGCGGGGGGCCACGTTGGGGATTTTAATAAGTGATTCAAAGCCTGTAAGTCAAAAAGGGAAAGCTTTCTCTCCACGTTGACTTTTCAAGCACTGGGAGGAATGTACGCACCTGGGAATTCATTCCAAATCCCTGAGTTTGCCTCGAGAGCTGTAATCCAAGTTTCCCGCAGACAGGGCACAGTCAGGTGCGTTCCACAGCCGTAGTAAACGTCCTGGCTTCGCTGGCGGCTGCGTTCACCCCACCATGATGTGGGGCAGAAAGGGTGGCCGGGAGACGCCCGCAGCCAGGACCGCGCTCCAGCCCTGTGCTGGCTGCCGCCTCGTGGGTGGTCGGGGAGTCTGTGTTTATTCTCATTCTCTTAACTTACTGAAAAATACTGCTTTTTAGTGCATTGAGAATGTATACATGGAATGTTTTACTGGAGTCTAGTTTTGAATGAAATTGTTAAGAGGTTATATGAAACCATAGAAAAAATGGGTTTTACACACAAAAAATGAGGGCTTTTAAATATAGTGGAAATAATAGAATAATTTATTCTAATTATGATTTATTATATATTTTATATAATTATAAATATATAATATTTAACCTAATAATATATAATATATAATTATTGTAAATGATAATAATAAATTGAGCTTTTTGGGAACTACTCCAAGATAAGTGAGAACAGCAGGTGCCTCTGGCCCCTCCCCTGGGCCGCTCTCTGCCGCTCTGGTGACATCCCCGTATACGTGGCCAGCGTGGGCCCTGGAGGCAGCCAGGACTTGGGACAGCTCCGACTGGACCCGCTTGGTCAGGGGTGGAGGGTGGAGGCTGGAGGCTGGAGGAAGGTGGGAAGGGGAAGGTGGAAGTGGCTTTTCTCGGGGCTGCCTCTGCTTGCCCCCTCGCCTGCGCCAATGTCAGATTCTCTCCTGCACTAGGCAAGGGCCTCACGTCGCTGGCTTCAAGGTCTTGTTTTCCTTGGGGAAGGGGAGAGTGGCCAGCTGCCTGGCACGAGCTCGTGGGGCTGGGATGAGGGCCAGAGGGTCTGGGGGGCCAGGCCTTTACGCTCCCGCGTCAGCCATTGAAAGAAAAGCTGTGGGCTTTTGTTTTGGGCAGCATTGACTGTGCCGGAATCCTGAAACTCAGAAACTCCGACATTGAACTTCGGAAAGGAGAGACGGACATCGGGAGGAAGAACACACGGGTACGGCTGGTGTTCCGCGTTCACGTCCCGCAACCCAGCGGCCGCACGCTGTCCCTGCAGGTGGCCTCCAACCCCATCGAATGCTGTAAGTGGACGTCCACGCGCCCACAGGGGAGGAAACCGTCCCGTCACATGCGCTTCACTGTCTCACCCGCTCTCAGCTTTTCGTTCGTGTAGACTTGGGACTGAACGGTTCCCACCAAACCCACCACAGTGTGTGGCCACGAGGGGTCTGAGTTGATCATGGCTGAGTTATTGCCTGTGGCCTCCCGGGGGCCCCTGGCGCTGGCTCCTCTGATGGCTGAGCATGGCCAGGGAAAGCGGTGTGGGCCGGGGCTTCCCCTCACGCTGCGCTGACCTTTGCGTATTTGTGCGATGACTGTGATTTGAGTGAAATTGGCTGAGTCTTAGGAAGATATTTTGATGACTTCTTCAGAACGAGGTGGAGACCATCAGGATGAAGTGTGCACGGCTTCTCCCCTAGAAGTAGTGGCATCCGCAGGGGTCGGCCCGCAGGTCGTGGCGGTGCTTGCTCTGGGTGGGTCGGCTCACGTGTGACCTGCTGGGTGCCACACGTGTGCCCCAGGCCGCCCACTCAGGACAGGCCCTCACTGCCCCTCTCCTTCTGATGCAGCCCAGCGCTCAGCTCAGGAGCTGCCTCTGGTGGAGAAGCAGAGCACGGACAGCTATCCGGTCGTGGGCGGGAAGAAGATGGTCCTGTCTGGCCACAACTTCCTGCAGGACTCCAAGGTCATTTTCGTGGAGAAAGCCCCAGGTATGCTCTTCACCAGGGGCCATCTGCGGCCTGGGCTTCGGCGCTGGTGGGAACCGGTTCCCAGTCGGTGGAGCAGGACCCACCTGTGCACGGTCACCGGGACGGGGCTTATGGGGTGTGGCACGGAGCAGAGGCTCTGCGTGGCCCGTGTCTGCATCCGGCTGTGGGTTTTTGTGTGAGCCGACAGCTGTGCTGCTGAAGGGAAGAGGTGGATGTTTATTTCTGGGGCCGCCGGGGCCACTGCACTCACATCGCTGCTGATACTCAGGGAGCCCACGGGCTGGGGACGCAGAGGAGGGCAAGACGCATTTGCTGGCTTTGCTGGGGTCCTCCATCTGCAGAGAGTGGACGCTTCGGGGGTCAGTTAGCAGCAGGGCAGGAGGGAGCTCCCCTCCGGGGCCTTCCCCTCCCGCCAGCATTCCTGGGGTCGGAGGCAGGGATGGGGTGGGTGCCGCAGACGGCGGGAGCTGGGGTGGTCTTTAATGCCACAGCCGTGGTGTGTGTGAGGCTCTTGTGCCCCAAGGGCACAGGTCACCCCTGCCTCCAGGTGTTGCGCTGGCCCAGCCTGGAGGCTCCGGGGCTGAACTTGGAAGGGCAGCAGGGGTGTCCTCGGAGTGATGTTCCTCCTGGGGCCGTCACGCCTGTGGTTCTGTGCTGCCCACGGGAGACTGTCCTGCGGGGATTGGGCTCACAGAGTGGCTCCCAGCCCAGGTCAGTTCCATGCAGACGCCGGGCCCCAGCACTCTCATCCCAGAGGGGTGGCCTCGCCGGCTCCGAGCAGAGTGTGTGAAGACAGTGGGCTGCACTGATGGGAAACTGGCATTGCAGGGAGAGTGGGCACCAGTGTAGCTGGGCACAGGGACCCTAGCCCAGCCCTCAAGGGGGTTCAGGCAGAGTGGGCCTGGCTCTCCGCAAAGCCTGCCGTGAGCTCCCTGGTTTTGGGGGTTCCTGGTGCCTTGCTGGGCCTCTGCCCAGGGTGCGCCAGGTGAGGGGCATGCCCCCACAAGGCCTGTTTTGTGATATTTTTTTCCTTTTGTACACTTACCAATTGGAATTCTTTTGCACTTACTCCAATCCCTGGAAACCGCGGAGGCATTCAGCCTTGATAATGGGGTCTTGATTTGTACAGTTTGCCGGAAACTTAAGTGCTTCAATCAAAATCGGCTTTAGAGGTCTTTGACTCTAACTTGGCTTCCTATAGAATCAGGGCTTAATTGGAAAACATGTTTTAAATTACAGAGAAAACCAACTAAGGGCAGTGACCGGGAAGGCATTTGCATTGCCCGTGCCTTCTCGGGAGGAGGCTAATTTTGAAATAATTTTCCCTTCAGAGCTTTCGGTGTGTGTCCACGCGTTGGCGGAGAAACACTTCGCCCACAGTGTAGGGCCTCGCTTGGGCCAAGACTGGCCAGAACCGTGGCTCCCAGCTTCTGCTTTTCAAAGCCCAGACCTGAGCAGCCTCCTTGCTTTTTCTTCTGCCCAGAGAGGCCTGGGCACCTTGGCAGAGCCTCCCCCCGAATGCAGTCCGCAGAGGTGCCCCAGCTCCTGCCCTAGCCAAGTTACTGTGCTGAGTTGGTGCCACGGCGCCATGGGTAAGGGCAGCCACCAGCCTGCGAGGGCCAGGAGCCAAGGGGATGCAGGACCAGCCCTGGCCTCATGCGGCCGCCCCTACAGGCAGCCCCTCCTGCCTTCATCATCACTGTGAGCTGTGGGGTCAGCAGGCCGGAGGGGTACCTGTTCTGCCCTTAAGCTCGGCTGCCACAGCCACACTTCTGGGCAATGCCAGTTTGTCTGCCCATGTCCTCCTCTTGTCCCATGAGGTCAGGGTGGGTCTCTGACCCTCTGCCAGCACCAGCCGGCGTCTGGTATACAGCAGGTGAGCCATAAATGAATAGGTGCTGTGCTCGAGAGCACGTGAAGCTGTGAATACTGCAGGGATGAAGCCAGACCACGTTGATAATTTTATTCTTTATAGTTGAATAAGATAATTTGCATATTCATACACACACAAGCACATTCCATGTTTTCAAAAGTGGAGAACAAATGTCCACATAATTTTCTTCCTCCACTTCCGGCTTCTCAGGCGGGAGCCGTTGCTTACAACACGTGCTGATGTGCAGTGACAGGTTGGTGCAGCAGAAAGCCCCACATCCTCATCCTGGCAACGAGAGAAACCACTAAACTGAATTTAAATTAAAAACACAGTTGCCCTCTCGTTTTCTGATGGGATCGTCTGGTCTGTTTAAAGTTCTGTTTTAGACTGCTCTTGCAGATGGAACCAGGGCCGGGTGTGAGCTCAGGAGGGGAGGTTCCTGCTGAGGAAATCCGTCAGTAGGGCAGTTGAAGTGGCTTCTCCAGGAAGGGCCCCTGCGTCTCTCGACTGTCCTGCTCATTCCGAGGGTGCAGATGGTTGTAGCTGTTGGGAATGTTGGCTCTGGACACAGGCCAGGGTCGGCTCCACCCTGTCCTTCTCTGGAGTACGTAGGAAGCTCATTGTCCAGGCCAGCTCAGCCTCTGCGTATCAGCCAGGCCACCTTCAGCTGCTATGGGTTCACAGCATCTCTGAGCTTTGGGAAGTTTTAGATGGAGCGGCTCCACTGCCCTGGAAGGCTGGGAGAAGCTGGTGTTGGCCTCATGAGGAAGGGAGTCCCCGCAGCAGGGCTGCATTGCGGGGAGCCGGCCGGGCAAGGGCATGGCTCGCCGTAGCCTGGGTGCCGGGTCCCTCTGGGATGCTCCAGCAGGGCAGGAGGAGGGTGGGTGTTTGAGTCTCAGCCTGCGCTCCACGGAGCTTCCTCCCAGGTGTCTCAGGGCGGCGCAAAAGGCCGGGAGCGGAGTCAGCCTTTCTCTGAGGACTTAGTTTACAGCTTCCTCGGAAAACGACATTTTCCGATGATGAAAATCTGTGAGGAATGTTCTTCCAGGAGGCAGGTTGGCTGTGGGGAGCCGAGGGCCGGGTGTTGGTTTAGAAGCCCCTGGTAGCATCACAAGAACCCCCAGTTTCCAAGGCTGCAGGGGTTCAGCTGCAGGAAGTGGGAACCACACCCCTCTCCCACCCACACCCCTCCCCACCTTCACACCTGCACCCCTCCCGCCTGTTAAAGATCACTGTGTCTGTGTTCCGATGTGAGGCACCTCTCTGTACACGCGTGAACGTTGAAGCTGCTGAGGGACACACTAACGTTCAACATAAACGAAACGCCCGAAGAACGCCCGCGTGAAACGTGAGCTCGGGCTGTGTCTAGAGCCTGGCTGAGATGAGACAGAAGGCGCAAGGTTCTGAGATGTGGATGCATCAAACATGAGCCAGTTCTCGATGCTGGAGCTGAACAACCTCCTTTTCTTAAGTCACGCGTCTGTTCTGGTGCCGTTTTTTAAAAACATCAGCGAAGCCTGTTTTGGTGTCGCTGCGCGGAAGCCACACTACGACGCCGGGGGTGAAGACTCCCACTCCGTTTGCCAGCGATCGCGCAGCGGGCAGGGCTCAGCGGGTGGGGCTGCACGGGTCTCGTCAGTGGTCGTTTCTGTGGCCGCCGTGACTGGCAGGCCAGCTGGGGCCTGGACGGCCGGCGTCTCCTTCTCCAGGTAATCAGGGCCCCTCTACGTGGCCTCCCGGGGCCCCTCTGGGGAGGCAGCCTGGCATCTCACAGGCGGCCGGGGCTCCCGGGAAGCAGAGACGGGCTGTGCCAGGGCTCCTAGGCCCAGGCCTGGACCCAGTGCCGTGCCAGCCACCACCCCAGGGGCCCTGCCCTGGTTCGCAGGGAGACACACAGAAATGTGGGAGGCCGGGTGGCCTGCACGGTGGGAGCGAGTAGACAGAGCCCCTCCCGGAGGCCCCCAGCCCAGCACATCCAGAGCCCTCCCCTGAGAAACCCCAGACAGCCAGGTTCGCCCCAAACCCAACATGGTGGGACCCCAGCTCGCCCCCCATCTCACGGCCGCCCCATCCCACGGCCGCCCCATCCCACGGCCGCCCCATCCCACGGCCGCCCCATCCTCTGGCCCTGGATGTTACCACGTGGAGAAGACAGGCCTGTGGGCAGGCACTAGCCACACTGCAGGAGACGCAGGCTAGGTTTCCAGATTTCTCCACACAGCAGCAGGCGGAGGGCCTGCCTCCCACCTCACTGGGAGGGCCAGGACTCCAAATCTGGGCCAAATGTATGTTGTTATTTTTCAAATAAAGGGACCAAAGGCCCGGGCCTTTCCAAGGCTGCCCTGCCATGGGACCGTGACCGGTGTGGTTCCCAGGACTTCCACAAGCTCTGACAGGCACCTGGCCGTTGTTTTGGGAGGCTCCACCCAGCAGCCACAGAGCTTAGCTGGCAGCTGGCAGGACACTTGCAAGGACACGGAACTGTCACGGAACCACCGTGGCTTTGGGCTGTCACGGAACCACCGTGGCCTTGGCAGCTGCTGGTCCTATGCCGGGACACACACATTCACCGCGGCGAGTGTGGGGTGCATGTCCCCAGGCAGAGGCCATGTCATCCAGGTGCAGGAAGCGCCAGGCAAGGACCCTCCTGTCCGCCCAGAGAGCCGGGTCAGAGGAGTCCCCAGGCCTGAAGCCACTCCCTCCGGGCTCACCTTCAGGTTCCTTCAAGGCCAGGGGGAGGTTCACCCACCCCAGGGTGTCGCGGAAGCCCCGAGGCCCCTGCAGGCCCCGATTTCCCCAGTGAGGCATCAGTGCCCGCTGGCCACCCTGCCCCTCTCCTCCTCCAGCTGCCCCTGCTCCTTGTTTTCCTAGGGTCTGGTTCTTTCTCGCGGGCGGGGAGGAGGTGAGGGTCAGGGCCCCTGTAAGGCAGACTAGTGGCACTGCCCCTTTCGGCCCTTGCTGTCCCTCCTCTGTCCCTTGTGGAAGGTCTCGGCCTGGGGCAGAGGAGCGGGCCGAGGAGGAAGGTGGAGTCCAGGTGGGTGGTGGGGTCTGTGTTCTGTTTTAGTCGTGCGGGATGTAGGCCGAGGGAGATGGACCCGGGGGATGGCTGCCTCTGTGGCATCTCCGTGGTGTGCCCTCTGACGGGGCTGGGTGAGCAAGGAGGACACAGCTGGGAATTCCCAGCTCCAGCGTCCGCGGCACGGGCAGCCTCCCTGTGTGGAGCAGCTCAGCTGTCACCTCCTGAAGATGTTGGATGCTGGCCCCGAAGGCAGCATCGCAATGACAACACCTTCAGAGGTGTCCATCCCAACAGTTTAAAGGCCAAATGCAGATCTTTCAGATTTGTGTTTTCAGGGAGAAGGTGACATTGCTGGGCGCCTGTGAGTGTGGACAGACATCACTGTCGCCGTGTGCTCCGAGAGAGGAGAGTTGGGGCTGCTTTGTCACCACATGGCGTCTTTGGGAGCAGGACAGGTGGCCGGGCTGAACCCCCAGGCTTCTCTGTTTGCTCCCAGAGACCACACAGGGAAGGCAAGGAGGGCAGCGCCCGGGGAAGAGACACCTGCCCGTGTCTTCCTCATGCCCTGAGGATGGCTCAGTGGCCCAGATGGTCCAGGACCCCTAGAATTGAGTGATGACCCCACAGTTCTCATCAAGCCGCATTCTGGATAGCGCTAGGGGCGACTCTCAGACTCCCCCTGCCTGGGCCCCGCTGGTGTGGGGAGGCCACGCGTCACGTCAGTCCCCACTGCAGGAGGAGGGGCCGGGCTTCTGGCTCCCCTCCCTCCTCTCCCTTCTCAGGCCTTTTGGGATCATACACGACAAAGTCACCCATGGTCATGTTGGCTAGTTTCTTTTTTATATCAGCTTTATCGAAATATGATCTATACACCATTTAATTCACTCAAAGTGTATAATTCGGTGGGTTTTGGTGGCTTCACATAATTATGCGGCCACCACCAATTTCAGAACATTTTCTTGTCCCCAGAAAGAAACCCTTGCCCATGAGTGGCCACCCCTGCTCTCCCTTCCCCCACCCCGGCTCCGACAACCCCAATGCCCCCTCGCCGTGGCCTCGCCTGGTCTGGCTGCTCCCTGCTGGCCTGCTGGGGAACCCCATCCTGCCGGCTGTGGTGCCTGGCAGCTTCTGTGGAGCGTGGCATCCTCCATGTTCCCTCGTTGGTGTGGGTCAGGGCGTAGGGTCCTCAGGTCCCCTCGTTGGCACAGGTCGGGACGTGGGGTCTTTCTGTGGCTGAGGGAAGCCCACCGTGTGGCTGCCCACACCTGTCTGTCGATGGCACTAGGCCACGTCCACCCTGTGGAGATGATCGTGGAAAAGCCGCCATGAACCTCAGTGCGTGAGTCCTGTGTGGACGCCTGCCTGTCTCCTGAGCACATGCCTCGGTGTGAAAGGGCTGTGGGTCACAGGGTGGCTCCGTGTGAGGCCCTGCAGGCAGATGTGCAGCAGGGCTGGGTGGCTGTTTCCCCTCCAGAATCTCCTCTGGGAGCCAGGCTGGGACAGACTCCTGGGGGAGAGCCGGGGATGGATGAGACGCCCCAGGGACGCTCGCTTCTGGGCATGAGGATGCTGTGGGGTGCACGGCACGAGGACGCCGCGGGGAGCAGGGCACGAGGATGCTTTGGGGAGCAGGGCAGGAGACGCCGTGGGGAGCAGGGCTCGAGGGCACCGTGGGACCCAGGGACGCTGCTGCTTCCACCAGCGGCCCTCGTGGCTTTCTTTGTGGAAACAGTGGCTCAGCATCAGCACCGGCGTGGGGGTGGCCCGGCTCCGGGCGGCGGGTCCTGGCCGGTCTGGGAGGCTCCTGGGCCCGCAGGCCTGCCTGTGTGGAAACCTCGCGGGTGTGGCAGGGAAGCCTCCCGATGACTCAGACTGCAGGGAATTCCCTAATGATCTGGAATATTTTTACTCCTGCACTCGGGCAGTTTCCTACTAAGGACTCGGAGCTCTGATAAGGCTGAACACAAAGGCCCTTTCAGGACCGGCTGCCTTCCTTCCTGCCAGGGGCTGAGTTTTGAACAGCACGGGGGCCGGCGCTGCCCGTCCGGGCCTCCACGGAGCTGGGAGCCGCCATGGCGATGCTCTTGCCGGCGGGACGCGGCCCTGCGTCTCCTTTCCTGAGATGCGAGGTTATTTCCATCTTTCAGCAGTCTCGGCGCTTTGTCTTGTTCTGGAAGCAATTGCTAGATAGACATTTCTGGCCGTGAATACTATTGCTTTTGAAAGACAATTACTTTATGATCCTTAAGCAGAAACAGAAAGCCTGCCCTCACCCTCACCCTGGTCGACCTGAAACGGCCACAGACGTCGGACACCACGGGGAGAGGCCCCACCTCCAAGAGGGAAGGCCACAGGCGCTGGCTCAGCCGGGGTCTTTGAGGAAGGCAGGGATGTTTGTCGGTTCCCCGCACTTTTAGGGGAAGTCTAAGCGTATCTGCTCCCACCTGCGCAGGAATTGCAGGGTGCGGGTGCTCCCAGGTGTGCGGTGGAGGCTGCTCCATGGCAGCTGCTGAGCTGGGCCTGGCTGGCCACGCAGACGTGGCTCCCCTTGGGGCCGCTCCGGCAAGGATGGTTCCCCACAGGCCCACGAGGCACGGGTGGGAAAAG
The DNA here is from genome assembly GCF_000001405.40 of Homo sapiens. Lineage (NCBI taxonomy): Eukaryota > Metazoa > Chordata > Mammalia > Primates > Hominidae > Homo > Homo sapiens. Next base: position 79,459,316 of record NC_000018.10, read on the forward strand.
ACGCCTCCATGCCGTCGTTCCATTTGCTTTTCATGGACTCACCGCTGCGGGGCAGCCACCTGGAGGAGGCCGCGGGGGAGACGGCTGGAGTCCCTCTTGCTTCTCGGGACATAAAGAGAGGAGCAGGCTGTGTTGGCCTCGGCTGCAAAAATGGCGTCCCCTCGGGGTGTCATTAAACGCGACATCCTGGCCCCGTGTGCGCCTCAGTGTCCCTCCTGCTCAGCACAGTCACTGAACCTCCCTCCCCTTGCCAGTGCCAAAGGCCTCCACAGCGTCAGGGAAGTTCCTAGGGAAGCTGAAGTTGTGACTCTGAGCTTCCTGGGCTGGGCGGGAAGCAAACTATAGCCTGTTGCGCCCGGGAGCTTCAGAGGACCACAGCCTTTTGTGGGGTGTGGACGGGGCCTCACCCCAAAGATGGACTTTGTCATAAGAAAAGTTCAAAAGTCATTTTCAAAAGGTGCCAAACAACCAGAAGACTTAGTTACACACAGAGTGATTTGGATTTTTATGAAGTGGGGGTGGAGGGGCTTCTGAGTGGTGCATCTGGGCTGGGGGCTTCTGGGAATCCTGTGGCATCAGCACCTGTGCTGGAGTGAAAACGCCTCTTTCTTCCCAGCTCCTGAGCTTTCCAGGGCCTGGAGGACTTGCTGCTTCATGAAACTCAGATGGCTTCAAGCGCAACTGAGTGTACTTTTTAGTTTCCTGTAATTTTTTTCCTAGAGGAGAGAGGGATGCCAGGCTCTATCGAGTGGGTTCATCTGGTGGGTAATTTGCGTGGGGACCTCGGGCCTCCCGGGCTGGCATGGCCAGGGCTTGGCTGGGCGGCTCTGGGGTCCTGTGTGACTCACATTTCCTCTCCACCCTCCACCCAGGCAGCAGCCCGGCACTGTAACAGAGAAAAAGGAGATTTTGTCTGATTTATCAGTAATTGAGGGTTTGTAACAGACACACATTTTCTTCTTTGGAGACAGAGCATAAGGATAAACTTAAGTGTGTATACCTGTAACTGTTCATTTTGGGAACAGACTTTATTTTGGAGAAGATAAAAGGCAGGAAGAGACTCTGTAGGAGATTGACATCTGTTAATTTGAGATAATTGCCCCAAACTCAGCCCATCTGAGGGGCCAGGCCGTGCACACACCCAGGCTGTGGTGGGGCCGCCTTGTCCGTGTGCGCCTGGAGCCCCCACTCTGCCAGGCCTGGAGCAGAGAGCACAACGCGTCCTTTCACTACACCTCTGGGAGCCTTTTTATTTTTTAAAAACATGCAAATGGCCACTGGGGAAATGCCAAAAATACCTCGTGTTTTGCATTTCTGTCTCCTGATGGGCAAGAAGTTGTCAGAGGAAGGCTCTTCTCATTTACCCAGTGGTTCCTTTGCACACAGGCAGGGCCAGCGGCCAGGCCCTCATCCACCAGAGTAGACCCCAGCACGAGCAGGCGTCGCACCCTGGCGTGGAGCCCCCGGCCCCCCGTCACTACTCTCACACCTCCTGCATCCCTGGGAGGCTGGGCTGGGAACTGCAGAGCCGGGTCCCAGGTCCACGCACAGACGCCCTGCACACGCTCTGCTGATGGGGTACCTGCTCCCCCTCACACCTGCTCTCCCTGGAGAGGACGAGGGCATAGAGACCCTCCCGTGACCTGTCCTGAGGCTGTGAGAGGCCAGCAGATGCAGGGCCAGGACGGATTCCTGAGGATGCCCCTGCCCTGTAGTCCCTCCTACGCCGGGCTGGGGTCAGAACAAGCCCTGAGCCGCGTGTCCTCAGCTTCTCCAGGCTCCCAGGGCAACTTTGGTGTCGAGCTCGGGGCCCTGCCAGGGCACGTGGCTCCTGAGGTGCTGCCCTCGACAAAGCCCTGGGATGGGCCTACGTGGGTCTCCTGGGACAAGGCGCCCTCCTGGCTCAGGGCCCTGGGTCTGGATCACGTGGGGGTGTCTGGGGAGGGGGCTCCCCACCACACAGAGTCACAGACGTTTCCTGCTCCTTTCTTCCAGATGGCCACCATGTCTGGGAGATGGAAGCGAAAACTGACCGGGACCTGTGCAAGCCGGTGAGTGCCTTTGGCGCAGCTGGAGCTACTGTGGGTCCCCAGGGCTTGGGAGGCTGGGGTCTGCTGGAGCCACTGCGGGTCCCCAGGCCTTGGGAGGCTGGGGTTCCTGTTTCTTAGAATGAAACAAATAAAAATAGTGCATAGAGTAACAGAACCAGTAACAAACAGGATCACCAAGTACTCGCCAAAGCACCATGTGCTGTCACCCAACGTGTCAGGTCACGTCAGAGCCCTGGCGGCCGGGGACGGTGCTGGACAGGCTGAGGGCCACCTCACACACCCTGGCGCTGAGACAGCCCAGGGAAGGTCGTCTCACACGGACCCTCCCGCCCTTTGCTGTCCCCTTGCTGTCACCATCACCTGGCACAGAGCAGGCTCCTGGGAGTCAGTGCTGTGCTGAGTTCCCGGGGGGTGGTCAGCACCTGCCCAGACCCGCTCACAGCACCGAGGGCAGGGCTCTGCGGCATCCCCAGTGGGGACTCCTCACCCCGTCCTCCGAGGCCACTGATTGCGCCGACCTCCCCTGTGATGGTGTCCCAAGCACAAGAGCCTGGGCGTGGCTCCTGGACTCGCGATTGGCCACAGCCTGTTAGCGGGCGGTGCATGTGTGCGGGGTCGTGGCAGACGCGTGGCTGGGTCACACTTCTGCTGTCACCGGGCCGTTTCCAACTCCCCCAGTCACCTGCCACAGCTTCCCTGGCACCGCGTGCATACAGCCGGTGCCTGAGGATAATGACCGTCCTCGGATTGGAGATGACCTTTTGTGTGGATGGCTGTAGCTGCTCCCACATCTCCTGCACGGCACCGGTTGCTGCGTGCATCTCTCCCATCCCTGCGCTTCTGATCCATGTGCTCATGTTTAAAGTGGTTTCTTGGAGGCAACGTCTTCTTGGGTGGTGTCTTGGATCCTCTCTGACGCTGTCTTGTAATTGGCACATGGAGACCATTGATGTTTAGGTCTTTAGTTTTGTTTGTTTTTGTTTTTTTGAAACAGAGTTTCGTTCTTGTTGCCCAGGCTGGAGTGCAGTGGCGTGATCTCGGCTCACTGCAACCTCCACCTCCCGAGTAGCTGGGATTACAGGCATGCACCACCACGCCCGGCTAATTTTGTAATTTTAGTAGAGATGGGGTTTTGCCATGTTGGCCAAGCAGGTCTGGAACTCCCAACCTCAGGTGATCCGCCCGCCTCGGCCTCCCAAAGTGCTGGGATTACAGGCATGAGCCACCGTGCCCGGCCTGATGTTCACTTATTATTGATACAGTTGGATTGATCCCTACGTTGGATTTTTTGAGTGTTCTGTTTAGTCCTATAAAAGCAGTAGAAATCTCTAGGCCAACATAAGATGCCACATGGCTCACAAGGGAGTTTTGAAGACATGAACATGCTTCTGAGCTCAGCAGTGTGTGTCCCTGCGGGTCAGGGAAGTCTTGTGCACCCACTCAGTGTGTGTCCCTGCGGGTCGGGGAGTCTTGTGCACCCACTCAGTGTGTGCAGTTGGAAGCTGGTCCCTTCAGAAACCTCAGGGAAGAGCCCATCTCGGGCGGCTGGAGGCAGGTGGACAGGACACCGGGGAGGAGTCTTGAGGTCGTCTCCTGTTGGTGGGACGATCGGTGGCCTCCATGGAGAGCGGTGCTGGCACCTTCACTCCCTGTCCCAAGAGGTGGCTCTGTCAGAAAGCAGCGTCTTCCACCCTGCGACTTCAGCGCCCTTCCCCCAAGGACCCATCCCCTTCCCAGAACCTTTTCCAAGTGGTTATCAGATGGAAAAGGTTCCTCCCTGGCCCTGGGTGAAGTGAGCTCACCTGCACCTTCAGTGGTGCTCAGGCCTCCCCTGAAGCTCCTGGCACTCACAGGGTTCCAGTTCAATGCTGTCGCTTTTCTTGCCTTCACCTGAGAAGCCCCTTGAGGAAAGCTGGAGGCCCCAGGGCAGGCCAGTGTTCAGAGGAAGGAGTCCCGGCCTACACGGCCCGTTGTCCGCAGAGCCAGTGAGTCAGGGTGCTCAGAAGGGTCCTGGGAACGGCCAGCCACAGGCAAAGGCAGCTGGAGCTGCTGTACCGGCCTCTCCTCCCCGCAGCCTGTTCCCGTGTCCATACCGGCCTCTCCTCCCCACAGCCCGTTCCCGTGTCCATACCGGCCTCTCTTCCCCACGGCCATTTCCTGTGCCCATAAGGTCTGTGGCTCCCCGCTGGCCGGGCGTTTGCAACTGCCCAGGGGGCTGGCAGCCTTCGTCCATGGGGTCATTGCCAGGCCTCCCCACCTACTGGGTGTCTGATTCGTTCCTCCCCACTGGGCTGCCCTTGCTCTGCTGTGCGTCTGTGCTGGGTACACTGACATCTGGCTCTCCGTCCCTCTGCCTGCAGGCAGTGTACCCTGGTGCCTGGCCTCGTGCTGCCTACCCTCCCTAGCCCTGGCTCCGTCGGGGTCTCCACAGGCTTCGCCAGCCCCGCACATGCACGCGGGTTGCGGGATGCAGGATGCCGGAGCTGGGCTGCCCAGCCGCTGGCCTGCCCTGTCCCCCTAGGCAGGGAGAGCAGCCAGGAGGAGCCGTGAGCCTTTCTGCACTGAAAACAATCCCAGCCAAGCTGACATCCACATTCTCTGTGATTTTCTGTTTTACTTTTGACACTGGCATATTTCGAGGGAAGCTTAACAGCTGTATGTTTTAAAAGAAACTTAAGAGCACATGTGAAAAATTGTGTACTTCAAGTTTACTGGTTGTTTTTTGTTTGTTTTTTGTTTTTTTGAGACAGTCTCGCTCTGTCACCCAGATTGGAGTGCAGTGGCTCGATCTCAGCTCATTGCAGCCTCCGCCTCCCAGGTTCAAGCGATTCTCATGCCTCAGTCTCCCGAGTATCTAGGACTACAGGCGCCGGCCACTATGCCTGGCTAATGTTTTTGTATTTTTTTTAGTAGAGACGGGATTTCACCATGTTGTCCAGGCTGGTCTTGAACTCCTGACCTCAGGTGATCCGCCCACCGTGGCCTCCCAAAGTGCTGGGATTACAGGCGTGAGCCACCGCGCCCGGCCTGCTGTTTCATTTTTAATCTCTTAAATGGAGTTTGCTTTAATATATATATTTTCTCATCATAAAGGAACTTCATACTCATCGTGGACATTTGGACAATATAAAAAAGGAAATAAAACCTAGTGTAGTCTCACCAACTGAGACATAACCACTGCTGGCATTGGGCATGCGTCCTGCTCCATTTGCTGCTGTGTGTGGATGTTCACGCAGACACACACACACACACAGAGTACATTATATTGTGGATATATGTGTTTGTGTGTGTGTGTGTGTGTGTGTATATGTATGTGTATATATATATATTTATTTATTTATTTATTTTTTTTTTTTTGAGACAGGGTCTTGCTGTGTCATCCAGGCTGGAGTCCAGTGGCTTGATCATGGCTCACTGCAGCCTTGACCTCCCAGGCTGAAGCAGTTCTCATGCCTCAGCCTCGCCAGTAGCTGGGGACACAAGTGTGCCCTATTCTGCCCAGCTAATTTTTAAATTTTTGTAGAGATGGGGCCTCGCGGTGTTGCCCAGGCTGGTCCTGAACTCCTGGGCTCAAGCAATCCTCCCACCTGGGCCTCCCAAAGTGCTGGGATGACAGGTGTGAGCCACCGTGCCCGCCTGTGCATATTTTGTGAACAAAATGGGATGTGCTGTGTCTACGGTTTTTGTACTTTCTATAAGTAAGTGTATGAGCTTCATCTCAACAGTGGAGTTTAAAGCAGGTTGCGTAGGTGCTGGTGCCATTTGGAACCCGTATTTTTTCCGGTACAGACGAGTTTCCCTCTCCCTTCCTGTTCTTCCGTGTTTCTTCTTTATCGCTTCCTTCTGTGTGTATTTAAGTGGCAGTGCTCCCACGGAGATAGTATTTTTGTCATATAATTTGTCTATTTAGAGAGTTGAAGTGGGTTGGCCTGTGCCCACATCAACATAGGCCCTTCCAGTCAGGTAGGACTTAGGAAAACTGGCATGCACCGTCCAGCATGCCCCACAGGGTCCCACCTCCACCCATCCAGCCTGCCTCACGGGGTCCCCGCCTCCACCCAGTCTGGCCCACAAGGTCCCGCCTCCGCCCAGCCAGCCTGGCCCACGGAATCTCCGCCTCTGCCCAGCCAGCCTGGCCCATGTGGTCCCCGCCTCCACCCATCCAGCCTGTCCCACAGGGTCCCCGCCTCCACCCCAGCCTGTCCCGTGGGGTCCCCGCCTCCCCACTCCTCGCTGCTGCCTGTGAGTGCCTCCCGGCCCGTTACTATTTCAGTCTCGGCTTCCATGAGACGTTTCCTTCTTGTCTCTTCCCTCAGCTGCTTCTGCTCTAAAGACCCACCTGGTGTAGCTGCTGACTCCATCGCAGCTGCCCTGAGCACTGCTGAATTCAGAAAACAGCCTTGGAGGAAGCGTCTCTTTATCCCCCGTACAAATGCCGAGACAGGCTCCGGGTGGCCAGAGCTTCCCGGGTCAGCCCAGGAGATGGCCCAGACCCACAGTGCTCTGGGGGCAGCCCAGGCCCCGCCCACTGACAGCACTCATGGCCCCTCCGGCGGCAGCTTCAGCTCCCCTGGGGCAGCTCTGATGCGGGGCAAAGGCAGGAAGACGCCCATGTGCCATGGCTTCTGCTTCTTCCCAATGAACTGCAGTTAATTAAACAACACAGACCTGCTGCCAGGAGAAAGTGTGGCCCCTGGGCACAGGGCCCAGTGGGGTGGGGAGCAGGGGTGCGGGGAGGGCATGGCCCCTCTGCATGGGTGTCTGGGCCTCAGCTGTTTCATTATTTGTAAATGAAAGAGCCTGGACCTCAAGTTGTCTTCAGTTTTCTGTCTTTAACACTCTTAAGATTTCATTGTTAATGTGATTCAATCAATTTGGCTAAGTTAGGTGCTGAGCTATAATTAATTATTTTAACAAAAGAAGTAATACAATGGATTTTTCTCCTGCTTGTTAAACTAAGTCATATGATTATAAAAATGAAACTTTATAGATGCGACTCCCGCCAACCCTCTCCCCAGATACCAAGTGCCGCCCTCGGCAGGGATGCCTGCATCACCCCAGTCATTTAGGGTCATCAGGGGCCCGAGTAACGCTGGGGCCTGAGCACGCGGTTGGGGTCTCCGTGTCCCAGCCCCCCACCCAGCCCCGACCTCTGCGAACAGCGCCACACGTCCCATGGCTTGTGTTTCATGTGTATACTTGAAGGAGCATGAGTTTCGTAAACATGCTGCTGGCTGTTACATTAAAAACATGAGAAGGTAACGGCAGCCTCCACACGCCGCCCTCTGCTGTCTGTGCCTCCGTGCCCTTGGCTGTTCCCACCCCGGGGTCTGCGGGGGTCAGGGCCTGCCTCCTCTTCCTCAGTTGGAGTGAATTTGGGGTCTGACTGAGGGCCTCGGCCATCGTCAAATGTGACAAACACAGGCCCTCCCCAGAGACCGCGTCTCCAGGAAGCACCTGCTCCTCTGGGTTTCGCTGCAGTCACCTGAGCAGGTGCTGGGCCACCGAGCACTTCCATCACACAGTGGCTGGCGGCGGAGCCTTGGGTCGTTTTCTGAAGGTCACCAACCCTTTGGCATCAGAGCAGGCAGAGCCTTTTGCATCCCCGCCAGTCCCCTTGCCCAGGTGGCCCCGGGCAACCTCCACCCTCAGGCACCCGGTCCCAGTTCTGTTTACAGCTTCTCTTTTCCTGGCTTCTTTCCCCATATTGACAAGATTTCAGTCTTAGGTTGGTCTTGTCTGCTGTGCTGCTCTGAGGAAGCCTCTCGGCTCCTGGGTGTGCAAGAAGCCAAGGGCAGCCCCTTCCCTGTGAGCGTGCGTGTCCACACGCGTGTGCAGGTGGCACAGAGCATCCAGGGCTGTCATCAGCTGCTTCTGGACCGCCCAGGTGGCTGCTTGGGAGTTTACCGTCACGGCAGTCCTGTGCTGCCGTGGAAACGCGGGGTTGCCGTGTGGCCGCCGTGGAAACGCGGGGTTGCCGTGTGGCCGCCGTGGAAACGCGGGGTTGCCGTGTGGCCGCCGTGGCGCGGCAGCCATCGCCTGCCCGGTGCTGATTGTGCCTCCTGTGTGCCCTTCTCCTGTAGAATTCTCTGGTGGTTGAGATCCCGCCATTTCGGAATCAGAGGATAACCAGCCCCGTTCACGTCAGTTTCTACGTCTGCAACGGGAAGAGAAAGCGAAGCCAGTACCAGCGTTTCACCTACCTTCCCGCCAACGGTAACGCCATCTTTCTAACCGTAAGCCGTGAACATGAGCGCGTGGGGTGCTTTTTCTAAAGACGCAGAAACGACGTCGCCGTAAAGCAGCGTGGCGTGTTGCACATTTAACTGTGTGATGTCCCGTTAGTGAGACCGAGCCATCGATGCCCTGAAAAGGAAAGGAAAAGGGAAGCTTCGGATGCATTTTCCTTGATCCCTGTTGGGGGTGGGGGGCGGGGGTTGCATACTCAGATAGTCACGGTTATTTTGCTTCTTGCGAATGTATAACAGCCAAGGGGAAAACATGGCTCTTCTGCTCCAAAAAACTGAGGGGGTCCTGGTGTGCATTTGCACCCTAAAGCTGCTTACGGTGAAAAGGCAAATAGGTATAGCTATTTTGCAGGCACCTTTAGGAATAAACTTTGCTTTTAAGCCTGTAGTCCTGATGTGGTCTTTAAGGATGGTGAATGAGCTTTGTGCTGGGCGGACGTCCCCGAGACACTTCTCCAGGGGTAACTTCATCTCCTGGGACCACGGGCATCCAGGCTGGGGCACCTTCTCCTCAACCTGCCTGCCCCTCACCCGCCGTGGGAATGGCTCCTTTTCACTCATACAAAAAAAAAAAAAAATCATCTTACCTTTTTAACCTTTAGGGTGTTTTCTTAAAGAAAATACCATCCAGTTTGTTTCTTCAGTCCCTGAACCAGTAGAAGAGAAAGGCGTCCCCCACGCCATCCCCGGCTTCCTTTGTGGGTACAGGCCACTCCCCCCAGCTCGGAGAGGACAGAATTAGCAGTCATCCTGAATTTTACTGTATTTTGTGGGTACAGGCCACTCCCCACAGCTCGGAGGGGACAGTTAGCGGTCATCCTGAATTTTACTGTATTTTGGGTAAGCTTAGCTAACATCAATAATCTTTTTATATTGCTTTTTTTCTAAAAACTGCAGAGATTCCTGTCATCTGAGAGGGAAATTACACACTGGGCGCTAATTGCAAAAGCAGCTGCGTTCTCTTAGTAAAATCAGGGTGTTTTGGAAGGTTTCCATTTTCTCTGAATGTAAACAGCATTTGTAATAGACCAGATCCTAAGGAAGCCCTTGAATCCCCACGTTCACACCAAACTGTTGGGACTCCTTGTTTTTATCAGGCAAGCTCTGGAAAGGCCTCTCAAGATGTGGAAAATGGGGTTTTGCTGTAAAGTCGCTGTACCCTAAGAGTGTCTGTGAGACAGAGCTGCAGGGGTGATGTGCAGCCCCCAGCCCAGCCCTCGCGGGGAAGAGCCTCACGCTCTGTGACCCCCAGGATTGTGGGGAGGGCCTCATGCTCTGGGACCCCCGGGATTGTGGGGAAGAGCCTCATGCTCTGGGACCCCCGGGATTGTGGGGAAGGGCCTCACGCTCTGGGACCCCCAGGATTGTGGGGAAGAGCCTCACGCTCTGGGACCCCCGGGATTGTGGGGAAGAGCCTCACGCTCTGGGACCCCCGGGATTGTGGGGAAGGGCCTCACGCTCTGGACCCCCCTGGGGTTTACGTGGTCTGTGCCGCCCACACTTAGTGAGTCCAGCCCATTCTTGGAACAAAGTACAATATATCTTACAGAAGAAAATATTTTATCTTTTTCTGAAAATATAATGATTGAGTCCTAATTAAACTTCAAGCATGGTTGACCAGAAATTGAATGTTTTAAAGAAAACCTAGGCCTTATAGAGAAGGATTGCTTTCCAGAGCAGTGCATTAATTTTTTTCTTATTTGCTCAGCATGCGGCAGTCCCCACCGTGGGTTTGAGCAGCACTGACTTTAGCACAGATCACGTATCTCAGAGGCAGAAGGGGCGTGCGGGGAGCGTGCCTGCCCTTCACAGGTGGGAGGTGGCGGCCCCCAGGACCGTGGCCACAGCATGAAGCCGGTGGGGCTGAGCCGCTCCTGCTACCTCCAGTCCACACCCCACCTGGCAGCCGGCCGTCCTGTCCTACCAGCCACACTCCTGCCTCGATTGGCCCCGGCTCCCCTCTCAGCATTGTGCCCAGCGTGGACATCTCTCCTGCACCCCCTGCCCAGTGTCTCGGCTGCACCCTCCACCCCCCATCTGCTCCAGCATGGCTCAACGCAGGCCAGGTTCCCCAGGCTCACCCTGGGCACCAGCCTTCGCCCGTTCTCCCTCTCTTTGCCTCCGTCGTCTCTTCTCTCCTGGACGTAGCACCATAGTCCCTGGGTGACCATCCCAGGTCCCCACAAGCACACTGACCAGCCCCACCAGCCCCCAGGGGCTCCCCGGCTCCCTGTCACCCCACCTGGTCCTGGGGGCTGCGACCGCAACCTGCACCAGACTGTGAGCCCCTCAGGCAGAGCCCCCAGGCTGCCGCAGGGCGAGATCCCCAGTGTTGACGCTGGGCCTACCTCGAGGCCACTGTCAGTGTGGTTGTTAAATAAATAATGAATAGAAACCAGCACCCAGGTATCCGTGTTCCGTCCCGCGTGCCCGCTGCACTTCCTGCCTCTGCAACCCCGGCTGGGTCTGAGGACGCCGAGGCCGCTCCAGGACCTGCGTCCTCCGTGCTGTGCATCTGTGTCTTGGGGTCCAGCTCAGATGGCTTCTGCCATGTGGTCCGAGAGATAGTTGCCAGCTCTGCTTCTGCCGACCCTGGAGGTGGAGGCAGGACGGGTGGGTGTGGGTGGAAGACAGCTGCTTAGCAAGCACCGCCCTGACTCAAAGCTGCTCTTGGCTTTTTCCCTTTTCTACACCGTCATCATGGGGTCGTTAGCAGTCTAGGTTTCCGCTGTGCCGATGAGCTTCGGGTCTGCATGCCCGGGGGTCACGGCAGTGAGGGGCGGACTCCTAGGGTTGTGAAATGTGCCGTTGAAATGCACAAGGTGACAACAGTGAACCCACTTACACTCCAGCTGTGGAATTCATTTCACGTACATGTTTGTAAAGTCAAGTCTCATTGTAGGTTTTCCTTCAAAATTGCCATCCCCACAGGCAGCACAGGGAGGCCCCTCCGAGAGCTCCAAGCATTTGGAATCCAGGTGCCCGAGGTGTCCGGTGCTTGTGGGGGGCGGGCTGGGGACACGCCTTGGCCACCAGCCGCCCGCACTCCTCGTCTCAGTGCCAAAGGCATCCTCCGATGACTCGGCCGAAGATGAGCTCAGTCCGCAGCCCCTGTCCCGGCCCCGCCTCCCGTCTTCAGGGGGCCTCACGTCTCCTTTTGAGTCAGAAGGTCGCAGTGGTCGGCCTCCGGGAATCAGGCATCTGAGTGCAGGGGGCCCCCGGGCTCAGGTGGGGCTGACACCTCTGGCTGATGGTCTGTGATGGGGCCCAGAGGGAGAGTTCCCTTCACCCTCCCTGGGGCGGGGGGCAGGCATTAAATGGGGAGAAGTTCCCAGCAGAATGTATGAGCCCCATGAACGGAGTGGGCATAGCCCTCGGGGAGTCCTGCCGGCCGCCCCTCCTGACATCCCGGGGTGCTGCCCGGTGAGGAAAGTGAAAATGTTGTCTGCAGTTAGAGGCTGGAACACACATGCCCACAGAGAGGCTTCCTGAGCGGCTTGTCTGTCACTGTTTTTGTGTAACTGCGCCTGAATTTAATCTCCCGGAAGGCGCGTTAGGAGGGCTGAGGGATGATCTGGTGCCAGGAAGGTTGGCAGTTCCGAGAGGTTATTCCAGCACGTCAGCATTAAAGGAGAGAGGCGAACCTGGAACGTGGGAACCCTGCCCAGGTCTGGTTAGAAAGGCGGCGTCCGCGTGGCCTGGGGCTTGTGTGAGGGGTGCACTTGTGCCCCCAGATACAAGCAGGCAGGGCCGGGAATCTGTCTCGTGGGGGGCTGCGGGCACTTTGGAGAAAGAAAACCAAGTTACAAACTCAAAATTACCTACCAAAGTCAGTATTTTTTTAAACGAGAAAATAAAACATGACAAATGCCAGGTCTTTTTGTCTGAAGTCGTTTTAGTCGGTTACCTGGAAACGCTCCCAGGGCCCCTGAGCTGGGGACACGGAGCTCTTCCCCCATCAGTGCCCAGGAGAAGCTGCTCCCGGCCCTAGGTCCCTGTGGGAACACACAGCCAGCCCTGCCTCTGTGGGGGTCCCTTTCGTGGCCAGAGCCCCCTTCCTCAGGGGACACGCGGTCCAGCTGAGGGTCATCCCGTGACAAGGAGTGGCTGCTGTGATGACCCAGGCACAGAAACAGCTTTGACCACAGAACGTGACATCCAGGGTGTGAAGGTGTCGGAACAGATCTGCCTCGGGATCTGGGGGTCCTTCACCAGGGGTGGGCGTGGGCCCCGAGCCCAGACAGGAGCCAGCTGGAGACTCAAACGTCACGAAGAAGGGAAGACGCGCTTCCCTCCCCCGGTACTAACCAGCCCTTCTGCTGGCCCTGCAACGATGACCTAGGCTTGAGAATCTGTTTCTGCCTCAAGGGGTAGAAAGGGGAATAGATTCCATTACTTCCCTGTTTGCAATGGATTATTAAATCCAGCAATAACTGTGGCATCGGAGAGGTGTTGGTACAGAGGGAGCCGGGGTCCTGTGGCCTTGGGTCCACCCCAGCGATCATCACGGGAGAGAGCTGCTTAGGGTGTGAGCCGTGGGGGGGCGGGGGGCGGCTGTGAAACTGAGGTCCCCGTGCACAGATCCCACCACCCAGGGTCGACAGCTGGGGGCTTTCTCTGCTGGCACTTCCCAGGCAGCAGAACCGGCCCCTCTAGGAAGCCCCCTCCAGGTGGCGTGGCCCAGGCCCTCAGTAAGCTCAGCTGGGGCTGTGTGAGCTGAGGGGCTCAGAGCACCCCACAAGGGATCCGCCTGATTGCAGACAAGCAGTTCTGGGCCGCCGCCCGACCTCCATGCCCTTCTGCTCAGCCCGGCAGCCTCTCCTTCCCAGGGGTTTCCCATTCTGCCTTTTCCCTGGACTTTCCAACTCACTTTGTCCAAGTCCACTGCATGTAAAGCTTGATCCTGAAACAGTGAAGTTCTTGAGGTCTCTGCAGATGCTCAGCGGCCCCAAATCACCCTTTCGCTGCCATTGGCCAAAAGCACAGCCTGGGTGGGCCTTGAACACCTGTGGCCTCTTCCCCTCCCCCTCCCCTCACCCCACACACTTGGAGACACCCTGGGGCTGGGCCTGAGCTCGGCTCTCACTGCAGAGTAAACCTGCCCACCTCAGACACCCAGGCATGGCTCCCGCCTTCCCTCATCTGATCCTGCCACCGTGGCGGCTGCCTCCAAGCTCCTGACAACGTCAGGTCAGCCCTGGCCTCGCGGCGCTCTGGGTTTCAGCCTTAAGAGACTTTCCATGTGTCGGCTGTGGGCACCTTGACGCACCAGGGCCTGGTCACAGGTTCTCAAAGCAGAGATTCTCCTGGCACCCCTCGTGCGCCCTCCAAGGGCCTAAAACGCAGACGACCCACACTCCATGCCATGTCCTGCACAGGAACCAGGGTGGCCTCCCCTTTCTGCAGCTTGTGGGGGTCAAGCCGGGACCCCTACACTGATGTTTCAGCCCAGCTCTGCCGCAGCTTAGAAGTCCTACCTGATTTCAGACAGAGCGGATGATGCTGACATTTCCAGCCCACAGCGTGGCCTGCGCCACGCTCCAGGTCGCCACAGGGGTGAGAATTCTGGGAGCCCAGCTGCCGAGTGCTTCTGGGGTTGGAGCTGGGCTGGCCCCACCTGTGAACAGCGGCCTGTGGGCCCCTCATCCCTGTTCTACTGAAGGCCCCACAACCACCTGAGGGAGACAGCTTTTATTAAATTTCAGTTTTTGTCGGTTGCCTCGCTCTTCAGACGGCAAGTGAGAGAAGCGTGTTCTCACGCTTACTGTCAACGTTGCGAGGGAAGCGTGTTCTCATGCTCACTGTCAACATTGTAAACCTGAGGGAAGCGTGTTCTCAGCTCATTGTCGACGTAAACCCCAGGGAAGCGTGTTCTCACGCTCACTATCGACGTAAACCTGAGGGAAGCGTGTTCTCGCGCTCACTGTCGACGTAAACCTGAGGGAAGCGTGTTCTCGCGCTCACTGTCGACGTTGTAAACCTGAGGGAAGCGTGTTCTCACACTCACTGTTGACGTTGCAAGGGAAGCGTGTTCTCGCGCTCACTGTCGACGTTGTAAACCTGAGGGAAGCGTGTTCTCACACTCACTGTCGACGTTGCAAGGGAAGCGTGTTCTCACACTCACTGTCGACGTTGTGAGGGAAGTGTATTCTCACGCTGTCGACATAAACCTGAGGGAAGCGTGTTCTCACGCTCACTGTTGACGTAAACCTGAGGGAAGTGTGTTCTCACACTCACTGTCAACGTTGTAAACCTGAGGGAAGCGTGTTCTCACACTCACTGTCGACGTTGTGAGGGAAGCGTGTTCTCACGCTCACTGTCGACATTGTAAACCTGAGGGAAGCGTGTTCTCGCGCTCACTGTCGACGTTGCGAGGGAAGCGTTTTCACACTCACTGTCGACGTAAACCTGAGGGAAGCGTGTTCTCACGCTCGCTGTCAACGTAAACCTGAGGGAAGCGTGTTCTCACGCTCACTGTCGACGTTGTAAACCTGAGGGAAGCGTGTTCTCACGCTCGCTGTCGACGTTGTAAACCTGAGGGAAGCGTGTTCTCACGCTCGCTGTCGACGTAAACCTGAGGGAAGCGTGTTCTCATGCTCACTGTCGACGTAAACCTGAGGGAAGCGTGTTCTCGCGCTCACTGTCGACGTAAACCTGAGGGAAGCGTGTTCTCACGCTCACTGTCGACATTGTAAACCTGAGGGAAGCGTGTTCTCGCGCTCACTGTCGACGTTGTAAACCTGAGGGAAGCGTGTTCTCACGCTCACCGTCGACGTAAACCTGAGGGAAGCGTGTTCTCTCACTGTCAACTTTGCAAGGGAAGCGTGTTCTCGCGCTCACTGTCGACGTTGTAAACCTGAGGGAAGCGTGTTCTCACACTCACTGTCGACGTTGCAAGGGAAGCGTGTTCTCACACTCACTGTCGACATTGTGAGGGAAGTGTATTCTCACGCTGTCGACATAAACCTGAGGGAAGCGTGTTCTCACGCTCACTGTTGACGTAAACCTGAGGGAAGTGTGTTCTCACACTCACTGTCAACGTTGTAAACCTGAGGGAAGCGTGTTCTCACACTCACTGTCGACGTTGTGAGGGAAGCGTGTTCTCACGCTCACTGTCGACATTGTAAACCTGAGGGAAGCGTGTTCTCACGCTCACTGTCGACGTTGCGAGGGAAGCGTTTTCACACTGTCGACGTAAACCTGAGGGAAGCGTGTTCTCACGCTCGCTGTCAACGTAAACCTGAGGGAAGCGTGTTCTCACGCTCACTGTCGACGTTGTAAACCTGAGGGAAGCGTGTTCTCACGCTCGCTGTCAACGTAAACCTGAGGGAAGCGTGTTCTCACGCTCACTGTCGACGTAAACCTGAGGGAAGCGTGTTCTCACGCTCGCTGTCGACGTAAACCTGAGGGAAGCGTGTTCTCACGCTCACTGTCGACGTTGTAAACCTGAGGGAAGTGTGTTCTCACACTCACTCGACGTGAGGGAAGCGTGTTCTCACGCTCACTGTCGACATTGTAAACCTGAGGGAAGCATGTTCTCACACTCACTGTCGACGTTGTAAACCTGAGGGAAGCGTGTTCTCACGCTCACCGTCGACGTTGTAAACCTGAGGGAAGTGTGTTCTCACGCTCACCGTCGACGTTGTAAACCTGAGGGAAGCGTGTTCTCACGCTCACTGTCAACGTTGTAAACCTGAGGGAAGCGTGTTCTCACGTTCACTGTCAACGTTGTGAGGGAAGGGTGTTTTCACGCTCACTGTCGACGTTGCGAGGGAAGCGTGTTCTCACGCTCACCGTCGACGTTGTAAACCCGAGGGAAGCGTGTTCTCACGCTCACTGTCAACGTTGTGAGGGAAGGGTGTTTTCACGCTCACTGTCGACGTTGCGATGGAAGCGTGTTCTCATGCTCACCGTCGACACTGTAAACCTGAGTGAAGTGTGTTCTCACGCTCACTGTCGACGTTGCGAGGGAAGCGTGTTCTCATGCTCACTGTCGACGTTGTGAGGGAAGCGTGTTCTCACGCTCACTGTCAACGTTGTAAACCTGAGGGAAAGGAATTCTCTCTCACATGCTGTGGGGTGCTGGCCCCACCAGGCCTCCCAGGAGACCTCCCCAAAAGTCAGAAGAAGGGCTCCAATTGAAAGGGAGGTCCGAGATGTGCTCGCCAAAACCACCCCCAGCAAGACGCCAGGCATCCTAGCCACCCGACGCTCAGGCCGTGCGTGTCCTCAGAGCGTGTTTTAAAGCAGGAGGGATTTGGGGTGGAAGATTGCTCCTGCAGAAATCAGAGATGAGGGGAGTAAATTAGGGAACCAGCGTCAGGATCCAGACTTCTGTGAAAGAGCCACAGGGCTCAGCATCCGACGGGCGCACCTGGGGCTGGGCGAGTCTGGCTCCAGAAGGGGGGTGGGGCCGGGAGCCTGAGATGGGATGAGAGGGCGGGAAGGGGCTTGTTGAGAAATCTAAGGGCCACGGGCCACCAAAAACAAACCAGGAGGTGTGAGTCAGTGGGGAGGCTGGGTGCCAGGAAGCCTGCGCTCTGGGACATGCGTGGGGCAAGAGGGGCGCCCTGAGCTTGGCGACGCCAGCCGCGCGCCTGGGAGGGATCCGCCTGTCCACGTGCAGCCGCCTCCGGGCGGCGTCGGCCATGCTGCTGCCCCACCGTGGCTCTGTGGCTCCAGCCGGAATGGCAAAGCCTGGCTCCACAGCTGCCTGGGAGCGTGAGTCACGCGCCCCACAGAACACGGCGGGCAGCGCGGGCGAGGATTGGCGAAAGCCGACCGATGTGTTTTGGCTTGTGTGGTCTGTGGGAGCGTCCTTTGTCATCAGCCTAATTGGGCAACAGATCCCACCTCACTGTGCCCTGGAGCAGCACGGGGCCACCACACAGCCTGAGGCCCCACTTGCGCTTCCCCTCGCTGCCGTGCTGTCCTGGCCCCGTCGCTGCCACCTGAGACCCCCATCAAGTACCTGAGCTCTGCGTCTGTTTTCACGCTTCTGTATGTGTAGGAAGCCCCCCACCGATGTTGCTCGGGGTCGACGTGATAAACCTGAGGGAAAGGGAATTCTCTCACCCCGACCGACACACAGGATGGGTGTGGGGGCAAAGTGAGATCATGAACAAAAGCATCTGGGCCCGTCCTGGACACATGGCCAGGGTTAGCCACGGTTGTCAGCCTCCACGGAGCTGCAGTTTCAGCCTGGAGGTCTGTGGCGTGCATGGTTGGAATACTCACCAGACTCACGTGGTCGTGACTCCGGAAGATCATGCCTTCCTGGAAACCTTGGAACGCGCTTCAGCAGAAACTCCAGTGAAGAGTCGGTGAGAGAGCACAAATTCCCAAAGGCGGATGGAGTTCGGAAGGACCCTTCTCTGTCTCCCACATCAGGCGGTGCCTGGTTGGTGCAGATTTACCCCATGGTGGGCCGTGGATCCCTCACCTGCTCTGGAAACTGATCTTGGCTCTGAACAAGGAGAAATGATGCCTCTCAGCCTCGAGGGATGGGTGATAAGGCAGCTTCATCCGCTGTTTTCTTTCATTGTTTGAGAAAAGTCATGCCCCGGAGGTGTCATTCCTGGTTGTTTATGTTGATGGCAAAACTTGGACTTTCTTGTCATACAGCAAACAGAAGACAATCTGATCTTTGTTTTCCAGGGGTTTAGACTTTGAACAAAACCTCTTTTGTCCAGTACTGTAGTGCATCCCTGGTAGAGTAATTCAAGCTGAACACAAGGTTGCATAAAAATGTGGGCATGGGGGAGCAGGGAACTGTCTTGGGATCATTCTTTGCTGTGCACAGCAGCTGCAGCCTGCAGGCAGCTCAGCGTTAGATCTCCCCACCCCCAATGCCACCTGGGGACCAGATGTTACTGTTGGCGGAAGAAGGGGGTCCGGGGCACTGTCTCAGTCTTTGGGGCTTCCATGGTGGAGCACTACCGGCCGTACTGTTGGTGGAAGAAGGGAGTCCGGGGCACTGTCTCAGTCTTCGGGGCTTCCATAGTGGAGCACCACCGGCCGTACTGTTGGCAGAAGAAGGGGGTCCGGGGCACTGTCTCAGTCTTTGGGGCTTCCATAGTGGAGCACCACCGGCTGGGCACCTTGTAAACAACAGACATTGATTTCTCACAGCTCTGGGGGCTGGAAGTCCGAGGTTGGGACTGGTACGGTCGGGTTCTGGTGAGGACCATTCCAAGTTGCAGACAGCCAAAATCCTGCCATATCCTCACATGGCAGGACAGGCGATTTGTCTCTCCCTCCCTGTGGGACGGCAGTCCCGTTGGATCAGGGCCCCACCCTGATGACATTGTTTAACCCCCAGTTACCTCCTGCAAACACCACTCTCAAGTAGAGTCACGCGGACGGGGGTTAGGGCTTCAACATGAGGTTGAGGGGACACGAGTCCGTCCATAGCAGTGACCCCACTTGTCTAAAGCCACAGGGCTGAGCCTGCCCCCTGCCCCCCTGCCTGCCCATCCCCAGGCCCCCGTTCTTGCCCCCAGGCCCCCCCCCGCCCACCCCCAGGTGCTCCCTGTGCTGCAGACAGAGCCCCCGAGGAGCCAGGAGCTGCCGGGCACCAACCACACAGGAAGCCAACAGGTGGGGCAGGCTTGTGCCTGCCACCGTGTTGCTCATGCCGATTTTTATTCTCAGATCTTGTCACCTCTGTCTTGTAGCAGAAGGGGGCCCTGATCTGGGAGCCGTGAAGACCCCAGCTGTCCCCCGGGAGCCAGGCCACACCAAGGCAGCCAAGGGGACTACGTTGGGAGGAGGATGTGGTCCGGGCCATTAAGAGCTGTGATGAGCCCCCAGGTCTGCCCTGGGTGAGGGGCTCTGCCTGCCCTGGGGCTGCATAGACCCGGCTGGGGCTTTAGAACAGGAACCGTTCGAGGGGCTGCGGTGGGTGAAGCCCACTCATGTCCTGGCTCCTGTTACCGGGTAGGGATGGCAGCCCATTTTCCAGGCTTGGGGGTTCTTTAAGAGGCCAGGATTGTGCCGAATGCTCTTTGGCTGACGATGGCCGTGGCGGGGGCTTTGGGAGGGGAGGTCCTGGAGGAGAGGCTTGCCCAGCTCACTGCCTGCGTCTGTGGCCAGAATTGGCACCTGCATGGGGCCTGGAAACGTCGTGCTCACCTGGGGCGGAAGCCCCCCTCCAGGACTCAGCTCCCAACGTCACTGCTACCGAGGCAGAGACTCTGCAGCGGCATCAGAGAGAAGCTGGGCCCCAGAACAGCACCAGGCATGGGACGGGCCCTCCGTGCCTTCCACGGAGGATGCAAGCGTGAGGCCTGGGTCTGCGGGGACGGTTTACCTGTCAGCTCTGCACGCCGCTGACCACTGCGCGCCGCCTCCACAGACAGTCCCCATGGACGCTGGGGCTGCCGTGGACGATGGGGCAGCCATCATGGACAACGGGACTGCCATGGACACCGCAGCCAGCCTGCTCTGTGGGAATATGCTTTGTAAAGCCAGCCGGCCCTGAGGCCAGCACTCGCCTTCCACACTCTGCTCTTTGTAACGAGTTTCATAAACTCACCCTCAGGTGATTGGTGTTTCTGTTGCACCGTTGCTTAGCCTGAAAATGAGCTGCCCTTTTTCTGAGCCCATCCTTTCGCCACCTCTACCCCAGCCCCTCATGGCTGATATCAGGAGGTAGCCAGAGGCCGCCTGGTGCAGGGTGAGCCCGGAACACGGGCAACAGCTTGAACTGGGCCTGTGCGGCCCCCTCCACGGGCGACAGCGTGAACTGGGCCTGTGCGGCCCCCCTCCACGGGTGAGACTCCCAGGCGCTCTTGCAGACGCTCACTCACTTTCTCACTGATAGGATGCGTCTTACGAGGCTCTGATTTACAGAGCAGGCATCCATCTTCTCTGAAACCCACACAAAAAGCACAGTTTAGGCCAAGCCCAGGTGCAGTATGTTCGTGTGTTTAAGCTTCTTAGATGCTGGGGTGTGGAAGCAGCCGTGTGGCTTTCCTTTGCTTGTGAAGGTGAGTTTGCACTTTCCAGCTTCTCTCTGTATTGGGAAGGCTGCAGCTCTCCAGGACATGACTTAGCAGAGAACATCCCGCTGCATCCTCATAGGCCAGCGGGTCAGGCGGGGCCATTCTGAAACGTCCCCTGTGGGTGCCGGGTGCCTCGCGCATCCCTGCCGTCCACCGCCCTTTGTCCCTGGCTGTGCTTCGCGGCAGTGCCCCTTAGGGCAAGGACAGGGAGATGGGGCAGTCGCCTGGGGAAGGCCCGGTCCCGGTGGGAGGCAGCCTCAGAGCAGCTGGGATGGCACAAGACGCCGCTGCCAGGGCTGAGAAACCATCCGGCCAACCCCAGACTTGAGCCAGACTTCATGGGCAAGGCTGGGAGAAGCCGCGTGGAGACCCCAGCCCAGGGAGGGGCACTGTGGCAGGAACAGGGCCCGCACCTGCAGGGTCAGCCCAGGCCACCTTCCAAGCACGGTGACCACGTCGCAGCTCATGCTGCCAGCTCCGGGCCAAGGGACCTGGACTGGCTCTCCAGACTCACAAGATGCCGTCGTGGGTGGGGCACGTGCGGTGATCCCAGGTTTCAAGTAGCTGCCCCCAGCTCCCTGCAAATAGCTCTGGGCGGAAGAGAAGCAGTGGGCAGGCACACGAGTTTATTCCTGAGAGGAGCGTGTTGCCACAGCCTCTGTGGACTGGAGCCCCAGGCTTCAGAAAGAGAGGGAGCGCCTGCCTGTGGGTGGGGGGACAGGAGCTGCCAACCTGGCGGGGTCCCAGCGAAGCGTCCACTGGGCCTTCTGCTTGCCCCTGGGGGTGGTGGATGCATCAGTGCTGGGCCTGCTCCGAACCCGCAGGGCAAGCAGCCCGTGCGTCCCGATGCCACTGCCGGCCGCCAGCATCCTGGGGAGGTGGGTCGCGTGTCCCAGAGCCCTGTGCCCCTCGCCACCACCATCCTAGGTCAGGACTTCCCCAGGAAGAATCCAAGTGGCTGGAGAGATGCGGGGGTTAATGCCGGTACCACCGCGGTTTTAAACGGGGCCGTGTCTGAGCCGTGTTCTTGACGTTCTCCAGCCAGCAGCAGCAGACGCCACCCGGTTGCCCCAGCCCCAGCGGCTCTCGGGCATAGCCGGCCTTGGCCCGTGGGGCGGCTGATTTACAGGACAGCTGTGCACGGGGCCTCTAGTGTCCGCCAGAGCTGGTGGGTGAGAGTTTTTAAAGCGCTCGGGACACTTCACAGAAGAGGCGCACTGGCCCCCATGCCTGGCCATGTTTCTGGGCCCTGGCTGAAAATCCCGAGCAGCGGAGAGAGGATCCCAACAGGGTATTAATTTAACCTTCCAGCCATGTGCTTTTGCTTAAGATCTAAACTCTGAAAATTACCAGCCTAATTTAGAATGGAGGCTTGGCCATTCGGGACACCAGCATCTTCTGAGCGGGAGAGATGTGGGTGCCCACCGGCGTCTCACTCCCACATCTGGGCCTGTTTCCAGTGACCCCTGCACCTCTCAAAGGCGCAGGCCTGAGTTCACAGAGAGCACTTGGCCAAGCCCTGCCTCTGGGGCTCCCCATCGTCTGGCTTTGTCGTGGACTCATCATTTCTGGATTTACCACATGCTTCAAGCTGGAACAGCAGGAAGGGGCAGTTCCTGAGGCCCAGCTGCGTCCGCAGAGCTGGGGGCGCCATGGCCTAAGGCAAGACGCGTGCCCTGGATGAAAATGACTCCAGCTCTGTAGTCTCCAGACAGCGGTTAGAGCCCCACCCTCCACGGACACCGCCTCCTGCCACCCCTTCAAAAAAGTGTTGCAGCCCAGGGCCCAGATATTCAATTTTCTAATGTAAAACGAGGCGGGTAGGGTTTCCCAATCAACATGAGGGCGCCGTGTCCTCTGCAGCCCCCTGACTTGCACAGGCAGTCCTGGGGCTCTGCCCCATCTGTGAACCCTCAGCTGAAGAGGGCAGCCCCAGAGGCAGCCACATTCAGGTGGCTGAAGGCAGAGTCCTCCTCCCAGGAACCGCCTCGGCGCTGCCAAGGCCTGTGCACCTTCTTCAGCCCGAACTAAGGAGAATGTGCGGGACTGAGAGCCATAGACCCTCGTGAGCCAGGCTTGAGCGTTGTCTTCAGATGGGGCCCAGTGGGCCTCACTGTTGTGACGACTGAATGTGACGTCTGGGGTGTAATTCCAGCGTGACCTGGTCCTGGGGTGTCACTCCAGCGTGACCTGGTTCCTGAGGTGTAATTCCAGCGTGACCTGGTTCCTGGGGTATAATTCCAGCGCGACCTTGTTCCTGGGGTGTCATTCCAGCGTGACCTGGTCCTGGGGTGTCATTCCAGTGTGACGTGGTCCTGGGGTGTCACTCCAGCATGACCTGGTTCCTGGGGTGTCATTCCAGCGTGACCTGGTCCTGGGGTGTCATTCCAGTGTGACCTGGTTCCTGGGGTGTCATTCCAGCGTGAGCTGTTTCCTGGGGTGTCATTCCAGCATGACCTGGTTCCTGAGGTGTAATTCCAGCGTGACCTGGTCCTGGGGTGTCACTCCAGCATGACCTCGTTCCTGGGGTGTAATTCCAGCGTGACCTGGTCCTGGGGTGTAATTCCAGCATGACCTGGTTCCTGGGGTGTAATTCCAGCGTGACCTGCTCCTGAGGTGTCACTCCAGCGTGACCTCGTTCCTGGGGTGTAATTCCAGTGTGACCTGGTTCCTGGGGTGTAATTCCAGCGTGACCTGGTTCCTGGGGTGTCATTCCAGCGTGACCTGGTCCTGGGGTGTCATTCCAGTGTGACGTGGTCCTGGGGTGTCACTCCAGCATGACCTGGTTCCTGGGGTGTCATTCCAGCGTGACCTGGTCCTGGGGTGTCATTCCAGCGTGACCTGGTTCCTGGGGTGTCATTCCAGCATGAGCTGTTTCCTGGGGTGTCATTCCAGCGTGACCTGGTCCTGGGGTGTCACTCCAGCGTGACCTGGTTCCTGAGGTGTAATTCCAGCGTGACCTGGTCCTGGGGTGTCATTCCAGCATGACCTGGTTCCTGGGGTGTAATTCCAGCGTGACCTCGTTCCTGGGGTGTAATTCCAGCGTGACCTGGTCCTGGGGTGTAATTCCAGCATGACCTGGTTCCTGGGGTGTAATTCCAGCGTGACCTGCTCCTGAGGTGTCACTCCAGCGTGACCTCGTTCCTGGGGTGTAATTCCAGCGTGACCTGGTCCTGGGGTGTCACTTCAGCGTGACCTGGTCCGGGGGTGTAATTCCAGCGTGACCTGGTCCTGGGGTGTAATTCCAGCGTGACCTGGTTCCTGGGGTCTCATTCCAGCGTGACCTGGTCCTGGGGTGTCACTCCAGCGTGACCTCGTTCCTGGGGTGTAATTCCAGCGTGACCTGGTTCCTGGGGTGTAATTCTAGCGTGACCTGGTCCTGGGGTGTCACTCCAGTGTGACCTGGTTCCTGGGTAATTCCAGCGTGACCTGGTCCTGGGGTGTCACTCCAGCGTGACCTGGTACTGGGGTGTAATTCCAGCGTGACCTGGTTCCTGGGGTGTAATTCCAGCGTGACCTGGTTCCTGGGGTGTAATTCCAGCGTGACCTGGTTCCTGGGGTGTAATTCCAGCGTGACCTGGTTCCTGGGGTGTAATTCCAGCGTGACCTGGTCCTGGGGTGTCACTCCAGCGTGACCTGGTCCTGGGGCGTCACTCCAGCGTGACCTGGTCCTGGGGTGTCATTCCGGCGTGACCTGGTTCCTGGGGTGTCATTCCGGCATGACCTGGTTCCTGGGGTGTCATTCCGGCGTGACCTGGTTCCTGGGGTGTCATTCCGGCATGACCTGGTTCGTGGGGTGTCATTCCGGCGTGACCTGGTCCTGGGGTGTAAGTCCAGCGTGACCTGGTTCCTGGGGTGTCACTCCGGCGTGACCTGGTTCCTGGGGTGTCACTCCGGCGTGACCTGGTCCTGGGGTGTCACTCCGGCGTGACCTGGTCCTGGGGTGTCACTCCGGCGTGACCTGGTTCCTGGGGCGTCACTCCGGCGTGACCTCGTTCCTGGGGCGTCACTCTGGCGTGACCTGGTCCTGGGGTGTAATTCCAGCGTGACCTTGTCCTGGGGTGTCACTCCAGCGTGACCTTGTTCCTGGGGTGTAATTCCAGCGTGACCTGGTCCTGGGGTGTCACTCCAGCGTGACCTCGTTCCTGAGGTGTCACTCCAGTGTGACCTCGTTCCTGAGGTGTCACTCCAGCGTGACCTGGTCCTGGGGTGTCATTCCAGCGTGACGTGGTTCCTGGGGTGTCACTCCAGCGTGACGTGGTTCCTGGGGTGTCACTCCAGCGTGACCTGGTTCCTGGGGTGTCACTCCAGCGTGACCTGGTTCCTGGGGTGTCACTCCAGGGTGACCTGGTCCTGAGGTGTCACTCCAGCGTGACCTGGTCCTGGGGTGTCACTCCAACGTGACCTGGTTCCTGGGGTGTCATTCCAGGGTGACCTGGTCCTGGGGTGTCATTCCAGTGTGACCTCGGCGGCACTTGCAGGGTGGGGTGGCTGACGAGGCGGGGGGAGCACACCCGTTCTCCCTCCCCTGCCCTGGGCACCACTGCAGAGGCAGCCCCTGGCCTCATCCTCCAAGCTTCACAGCTTGGGCTGCACTCCCCGAGTTCACTGTGGCTGGACTTGCCCCAGGCCAAAGGCTGGGAATGCCTGGGCTGCAGAGCCCCAGGAAGGCCTGGCACGACCCTCAGCAGAGTGTGGCTTTATGGGCCCTGGTCAGTGAGCTGCAGGCTGCGTCCTGGGAAGGCCTTGGAATCACAATGGCCCCGTGATTTTCTTCCTGCCTCCTGGACGTCCCCACCTCCTGGTCACCCACCCCCTCTAAAACCTTAGCCTCCCTACTCTGTGTAGGGCGGACGCTTTAAACCTCGATGTTTCTACTCAGTGTGCAGGGCGGACGCTTTAAACCTCGATCTCCCCACTCAGTGTGCAGGGCGGACGCTTTAAACCTCGATCTTTCTACTCAGAGGGTGGATGATAGAAAGATTTGAATGAGTGAATGAAAGTAGAGACTTGAAAAGTCAGCACAAAAGCAACAAAATGCAGCAACTCCACTCGGAATCCCTGGGTGGAAAGCTCTGGTTGACTTCCTGCGGACTCAGGCTGGTGAGATCCTACAGCTGGGAACGGCCCATATGGGTCAGTCCCTGTGATGCCTCCAGTGTGGCGGGAAGGTGGCTTGGCCACCATGGATGACTCGCGCCTGCCTTCACGACCGCCGGGACCTGTGCGGGGGGGGAAGAGGGCGGCTGCAGGGGAGGCCGCACGTGGCACAGGTGCTCCGGCGTCTCGAGCTGCAGGAAAACGCCGTCTCCATCGTTCGCAGCTGCTGGTGGACTCCTCGGCACCCAGCCGTGGCGGGGAACAGCTGCATGGACTCACGGGCTCAAGCCCGGGGCTAAATATTTTCTCTCGAATTGTGGAAATGCTTTTGTTTACTGCAGGAGGCTGCCAGGCTCTCTGTGGTGGCGACTGTTTGCACCGGGAGCCTGTGTACTGGCTTTGGGGGCCACACATAGGCCCCCAGGTGGTGACAGGAGGGGAGTTTCCCTCCCTGTGGCCGACCCTGCTGCCAAAAACCCACCAGTGTGCAGCCCACGGGGAGGAGAAAACAGGCTGAGGAGACTCACTCACAGCTTGCTGTCTGCGTAGCATTCGCTCAGAGTGGCACCACGCGTCTGTTAGGAATGTATGTGCGCCATTGTGAGAGCTTTAGAGCCACTGAGCCGTCTGATGTCTCCTCTAAGTAGCACGAGAGGCCTGAGACCAACAGGAAAACAGCAACCGCAGGAATGCCGGCTGGGATCCGCCTCGCCGCTCCTGCTGACTGCACACCCTGCCTGTTTGCTTCCCAACACCCCCACAGAAGCCGGCACAAAGGCTGGGGTGGGCGTGGGCTGGGAGCCGGTGTCGGCTCTGGCCCGGGCCTGGCGGAGCAGCCTTGGGGACCCAGCACCCGCCCTGTGGGCTCTTCCCCAAAGCCCCGGACTTTTAGGGAGGGCTGGGTGGGAGAAAGCTCTAGAAACTCGGGAGCCCCCTGTTCCATCCAAGGCTGCCCGGTCACAGCCTCCACACAGCCTGTCCCTTTAGAAGGGGACTCAGGAGCACCGTGGAGGCAGTCCAGCCTCCATGACAGTGTTTTTCTTTCGCAGTGACGGACGGCTTCTCTCCTGGAGCAGTCGTTCACCTTTGCAGTTGGATTTTTACTGACTCCTGAAAGCCGTCTTGTTCTGTGTTCGAGTTTACCAAATGTGCAGACATTTATCAAACCGAGTGTCGGGAGCAGAAATGCAGTCGTGCATCCACGTTGAAACTTTCGCTTTGATTCCTGCAAACCCACAGGCCCCTGGGTCCAGGACTCCCACTGCAGTTTGCAAGTGGACTTTTATAGCACGTTAGTGCTGCAGGAGGTTCCAAGGAAAACAGTCCTCGCCAGTATTAGAACCAGCTGCTACTCTCTCGGCCGATGACTCACGCCTTTTTTTTTTAATGGGGTGGGAGAACCAGGCAGGAGACAGAGGGACCCAGTCAGGGCCCTGTTGGTTTTGCGGAGGGTGCCCCAGCCACAAGCCTGCCTGATCACACTCATTCGCAACTTGTGTTTATTTAATTTTTTTTTTCCTTCTCACAGTTCCAATTATAAAAACAGAACCCACTGATGATTATGAGCCTGCTCCAACCTGTGGACCGGTGAGCCAGGGGTTAAGTCCTCTCCCAAGACCATACTACAGCCAGCAGCTCGCGATGCCACCCGACCCCAGCTCCTGCCTCGTGGCCGGCTTCCCGCCCTGTCCGCAGAGAAGCACCCTGATGCCAGCGGCCCCTGGCGTGAGCCCCAAGCTCCACGACCTTTCTCCCGCTGCCTACACCAAGGGCGTTGCCAGCCCGGGCCACTGTCACCTCGGACTCCCGCAGCCGGCCGGAGAGGCCCCCGCCGTCCAGGACGTGCCCAGGCCAGTGGCCACGCACCCCGGCTCGCCCGGGCAGCCACCCCCGGCCCTGCTGCCACAGCAGGTGAGTGCGCCTCCAAGCAGTAGCTGCCCCCCTGGTCTCGAACACTCGCTCTGCCCCAGCAGCCCCTCTCCTCCACTCCCGCCTGCCACCCAAGAGCCGACCTGCCTGCAGCCCTGCAGCCCAGCGTGCCCGCCCGCCACGGGCCGCCCGCAGCACCTGCCGTCCACGGTCCGCAGGGACGAGTCTCCGACTGCCGGGCCACGGCTGCTGCCAGAGGTGCATGAGGACGGTAGTCCTAATTTGGCCCCTATTCCTGTAACGGTCAAGCGAGAGCCTGAAGAGTTGGACCAGTTGTACCTGGATGACGGTGAGTGCCCGCAGCCATGCAGGTGTGTGCCCCGCCTGGCGCCATGGCGTGAGCTCATGGAGGGGCCGTGTGCGTGCTGCGTGTGTGGCACGTGTGGAAGTGCACCGAGGCACCGGGCAGGGTGTGGGGTGCGTCCTCCTGATATAAAGTGCCCGTGCGGTGCCACGGCGTCAGCGCCACCTGGGGCGCTCGCCGTGAGATCTGCTCCGGTGGTCGCAGTGTGGGGCCCTTGGCGGGTCCTGGGCTGCAGATCCTCCTGCGAGACCTGTCCCGGGGTCTAAGGCTCACATTGGTGTCCAGGTTTGCTTCTGCAGCTGAATATGGAGCCGCACGGCTCAGGCTCAAAGCCCTGACTTGGAGAGGGACCGGCCTCTGCAGTCGGGGCATCGTGGGTGCCGCCTGAGTCCCGTGAATGGTTTGTAGACAACAGCTTAGCCGAGGTGACGAGCACGTTACCCCGTGCGGCTCTGTAAACACATCTAAATGCAGTGGCGGCCTTGCCAGGAGCTCGCAGGGTGGCCGTGACACCGGGGGCCCTAGACTGTGCCTTCAGGCCCCAGGTGCAGGGTCTTCCCCATCTAGCCCCTGGGCTCGCACAGCGCGGAGATGCACCCAACACCGCACACCTGGGGTTGTTAGGGAAGGAAGTGGCCTCACGTCTGTAGCCAGGCGGGTGGTGTGGGGCGTCTGAGCACTCAGGCCTTTCTGTGACGAGTGGTGACCGAAGGCGCCGTGGCGTTCTTCTCGACTGTTTACACTTTAAGGCGCAGCCCGACTTGCTTGCAGTCGCGCTGTGATCGGGGCGTGCCCGTGGCCCTGGTGACCACGCGTTAGAGGGTGATTCCGCTCGTGTTTTCTGGCCCTGCGGTTTGTGTGCGCGTTGTGATCGGGGCGTGCCCGCGGCCCTGGTGACCACGCGTTAGAGGGCGATTCCGCTCGTGTTTTCTGCTCGAATGGTTTGTGTGGGAATTGGCTTCATTTCCTCGGAGGCACAGTGAGTCCTCCCAAGTGTATGACGTTTCCCAGGCCCGGGTTCCAGCAGACACACCTGGAGCCACTGCCCACTCCCTGCTCAGTGGCCTGGGGTCCAGGCGAGCCTCGGCCTTCTGGGGAGGGGGCGGCATTAGCCCCTCCTGACCCAGGGGGGGCAGGGACTCCCGGGCGTCAGGAGCTCAGTTTCCCATCTGCTGGGAAGGGAGTGAGGCCAAACGCCTTCCTGCTGTTTCCTGACTGAAGGCTACAAGCTTTTTAAGGAGGATGCATGCAAATATTTTAGCCCCCAAAATATTAAGCTCTTGAGCCCACAGCCCTGGTGTGTGTGTGTTTGCGGTAGTGTGTCCCATGGAGCCCGCAGCCCTGGTTGTGTGTGTGTGTGTGTGTGTGTGTGTGTGTGTGTGTGAACTTGAGGTAGTGTGTCCCATGAAGCCCGCAGCCCTCATCGTCTGTTTTTGCAGGAGTGTGTCCCGTCAGCCCAGGAGGCTGCTGCCTCCCCAGGGCTGTCCCTCAGAGCCACACACTGGAGGCCCGTGGCTGCCCCCTGGCCACTCTCTGGAGGTTCATGATGACTGTGGGGCGGGGCCAGGACAGTGTTCCGTGTCCTGTGCAGATGTCGTCCTGAAGTTCTTACTGTCTGACCTGCCTGCTGTCCTCCTTGTCCACCCGCGAGGCCAGCCGGAGCTCCGCATGGGGCCCATGTCCCTGCTCTGCAGCCTCCTGAGCACAGATGGACTCTGCCTTCCTCCCCAGCCCCTGCGCGAGGTGGACGCTGACATCCATGCCTCCAGTCCCTCACCCCTGCTTTGTCTCACGCGGTACCAGGTGGTCCCAAGGCGGCTGGGAGATGCTGAGAAATTCTCTTTCCACCTGCCATGCCTTGTCCCAGTTGTGACCCACCAGCTCTGGGCTCCCACAATTGGGTAGTGCCCTGCAGGCCCAGGTGGGAAGCAGGTCCCGGTCATGTTTCTGCTGCCCTGTGGCCCACGTGTGGCTTTATGGCGAGGGTAGAGTTCGGGGTGGGACTTGGGGTGGGTGAGCAGCGGCAGTGCTGGGGGCTGGGACGTGTTCTGCGTCAACACAGCAGGCAGGGGACTGTTGACCCGCACGGTGCTCAGGTGAGATCATCCCTTTACCCAGCCCGTTACTGCCAAAGCCTCACCAGGTGGCCCGGGCCCCTCTGGCCTTGGTCCTAGAGGTCAAAGCTAAGTGAGCCAGGCCTTGCCTTGGGGCCTGGTGGGCCACAGAGGGTGGGCTGTTGTGTCGCTGAGTGCACAGGCTAGGGATGTTGGAGCTGCATGGGTGTGGGTGTGACCCCGCCCTGGCCTGCCTGACTGTGCGTGGACATGGAGGGGATGGGTCTTGGGGAGGGGAGTGCACAGACGACTCCCTGACACATGGAAGGGCTGAGGCCAGAGTGCATCTGCCATGGGGCTGGGCCTGGCCTGCAGCTCCTCTGAGGATGCCCAATGCCACGTTCCCATTGGGGCCTCTCCTGACAGCCAGTGGGACCCTGGAGCCCAGGATTCGCCAGCTGTAAAGCAGTCGCTCACACCCCTTTTAAGAAAGTTTGTTTCCCGGCGTGCTGCCGTCGGGACACTTGAGGACAACCTCTCCCCGCAGAGTGAGCTCAGTTCCCAGCGGGCCTCTCTCCCCATTTTCCTCACTCAGTTGCCGTGGTGATCCTCCCCAAACTCGGATCGAATGGGTCACGTCCTGTTCAAAAGACCCAGGGGTTTCTGTGTTGTCAGAGCAGACCACACCCCAGCCCACCAACCACAGTCATCTCGTCCACGTACGCTTCGTCAGGCCCAGGGCCGGTCCTGGGACCTTGAGCACAGACCCCGAGCGCCAGCCCTGCACACTGTTCTGGTCACAGTTTATGGGTCCTGTGTGCTTCTGCCTCCATAACCTGGGAGCAGCCACACACAAGCTTTCGGGGTTAGCGTACGGCGCTAGGCGGTGCCGCTTCGGGGGTCGGGGTTGGGATGGAGGTTGAGATACCTGTGCAGACACCTCCCTATGACATGGCAAGTGTGTGCAGGTAATGTGGTGATGTCCGTTTCATCTCCACCTGTGAGGTCCCTCGATGCTCAGCCAGGACCACAGCAGTTAGGGCTTCAGGCAGCTGGAAGCAGTGTCAGCTGTGGCCTGATCTCCCCCCCGCCCCCGCCCCCCCGTGGGCAGACAGCCCCTCTCGGTCCTTCACAGGCAGGCAGGCGGGGCGCATGGCAGAGGAAGTTCTGCTCGTGGTGTGTGTGAAGGGGAGGGGAGAGTCCTGGGGGCTGAGGTGGTGCAGGTGGGGTAGTGTCTGGTGCAGGCCCGGCTCTGGGTTAGGGTGGGGTGGTCCCTGGTGCAGGCCCCGCTCTGGGTTAGGACAGGGTGGTCCCTGGTGCAGGCTCAGGCTCTCGGTCATGGTGGGGTGGTCTCTGGTGCAGGCCCAGGCTCTGGGTCAGGATGGGGGTGTTCCCTGGTGCAGGCCCGGCTCTGGGTTAGGGCAGGGTGGTCCCTGGTGCAGGCTCAGGCTCTCAGTCATGGTGGGGTAGTCCCTGATACAGGCCTGACATTGCCGCCACCCTGGGAGACAGGCACCAGGCCATGGACTCCAGGTTCCTCCTGAGCACCTGGGGGCAGGTCCACCCACTCTAGACACCTGTTCCTCCCTGTGAGAAAAGCAGATTCAAATGTTTATTGCTCTGTCGGAGCCGAGTGGATGGAGCCTTCACTGAGAATGACACGGGCCGAGCCGTTTCCCGCGTCCTGGGTGGATGGAGCCGTAGATGGGTCGCTGCCTGTCCTTGTGAGAAGATGGCTGGAGCATCCACCAACATGGCCGGGAAGGGTCCCGGGTCAGGGTTGAGTCTGGGTCGGCCCCTCCCCTGCAGATGACCTCTGGCTTGCCCTGGGTCCCTGGAACCTGGAACCCACACCCCAGGCTCACAAACGCCGTGACATAAACGAGGTCAGGGCCTGGGTTATGTCGGGAAAGCCTCACGCAGGCTGAAGACCTGAATTGTAAGGTGGAACTCTGAGTCCCCGAGACTCCAGCTCCATGGAAATGCGGGGGTGTACCTGGGGACCGTCTCGATGGGGACAGCGGGAGAGGGAGCCCAGACCCCAACAAGCTCCATGGAAATGCGAGGAGCCATCTTGATGGGGACAGCGGGAGAGGGAAGGCAGGCTAGGGTGAATGTGGGTAGTCCTTGTTTAGTATTAATATATATTTTGTCTAATTTCACAACCCCTAAGAGAATCGGGCACCTCAGCAGCCACCCTGGGGCTCAGTCGCTGGCTTAGAAAGCAGGCAAGCGTGACCTGGAGTTCGGGGGCGGAGAAGAATAGGAAGCACAGGGCGCCCCAACAAGGGACGATCCCAGCACCTGGAGAAGGAGCAGAGACGAGAGACAGAAACAACACGAACCCCAGGTCAAGTCGGTGCCGTGCGTGCCAAGTGTCCTCAGCGGGTGGAAAGTGTCGCTGTGTCTTTGATAGTTTACACAACAGGGAGAGAGCGAAAAGCTGGGGTTGGAGGAAACAGGAGAGAAGTAAGGCTGTGTGGCGGGGACAAGACTCAGACACACCCCTGACTATCTGTAAATGGGCCGATCGGACACAAGGCCAGGGACCTCCTGGCCAGCCCCGAGCCCCGTGAGGTGCCTGTGGCAGGACGTGGGTATGGCAGGTGACAGAAGCCCTGCCGGGTCCACTTTCCAGCCTCCCCGGCTTCCCTTCTGCGTTCCGCTGGCCTGGCCGCCACCTCCAGGGACAACAAGCCTGGCATGGGGTGCAGATTTAGTCTCCAGCCCTCTGCGAACCAAGCAGTGGTGGATCGCAGAGCTGCGTGCGGGGAGAGGGGGAGACAGGCCAGCGTCTGGGATGTCCTCGTGGGGCCGGGGACTCAGCCCCGGCCCCTGGGCACCCAGCCATGTTTGAGAGGCTTCCCTCCGCCTGACCAGAATCAGAGCTGTGGGTCCATGAATTGAGTCACTTCAAGGTCTTGCTGCTTCACATGAACAGCTGTGCAGAGGCAGCCAGAGACAGCCCGGGGCTCCTCACGCCCAGTGATGCTGACGACGGCCTGCCCGTGAGGACATAGAACTTTTTCTGTGCGTAGTGGTTTTTCATTTGTTTTGATTTTGTTTTCCAGGAATGTGGAGTTAAAAGGCAATAAGAGAATAGTGTCCAGTTGCAGAGTCTAGGTAGGGGGTCCACAGTGTCCGTGTTTGCATCCCTGAGGGGTCTGAGGAGGGCAGTTCACGCTGGAGCCTCCTCTGTGGCAGCCTCTGCTCAGCCGCAGGAACCTAAAGGTCACGCACAGCCCACATCCTGTGCGTCTCAAAGAAGTCAAGCCTCAAAATGAAAAATGAGGCTGGGCACGGTGGCTCACTTTGGGAGGCCTAGGTGGGTGGATCACCTGAGGTCAGGAGTTCAAGACCAGCCTGGTCAACATGGTAGAACCCCATCTCTACTAAAAATACAAAAATTAGCTGGGCGTGGGGCTGGGTGCAGTGGCTCAGGCCTGTAATCCCTGTACTTTGGAAGGCTGAGGCGGGTGGATCACGAGGCCAGAAGATCGAAACCATCCTGACTAACATGGTGAAACCCCATCTCTACTAAAAATACAAAAAATTAGCCGGGAGTGGTGGCGGGCGCCTGTAGTCCCAGCCACTCGGGAGGCTGAGACAGGAGAATGGCGTGAACCTGGGAGGCGGAGCTTGCAGAGAGCTGAGATCGCGCCACTGCACTCCAGCCTGGGTGACAGAGCGAGACTCCATCTCAAAAAAAAAAAAAAGATTAGCTGGGCGTGGTGGTGCATGCCTATAATCCCAGCTACTTGGAAGGCTGAGGCAGGAGAATCACTCGAACCTGGGAGATGGAGGTTGCAGTGAGCTGAGACCTCGCCACTGCACTCCAGCCTGGGTGACAAAGCGAGACTCCATCTCAAAAAAAAAAAAGAAAAATGAATCCAGCTTTTTTTTTTTTTTTTTTTTTTTTTAGGATTTCTTTGCTTTCCAGTCCTTTCTACTCCCAAGTTTTGTTTCAGAAGTGCTTGACCCATAAATAAATTCCAACAATGAGGTCGTCTTTGTTTCTCCTGAATATTGGGCTTTCCCCTCAGACTTCTCGAGCATGGCCGAGCCACAGAGGTTCAGTTTTTAAACAGTGGTTTTCTGTATCTTGCATTATTTTAAATGTAGATTTGAAAAAATGCCACAGAGCTCCGTGTGGCTCCTTTTCTAATGTGATCTCCACGCATTCCGCATCGTGGAGAAGGGCCGTGAGGAGGCTCCGCTGGGGGCGGACTCGCGGTGGATTACGCGTCAGCGAGGGCCGCCCCGTGCCACGCGCTCGCGCGCTGAGAGCGTTTGTGGGGCCTGTGTCTTCCGAAACGGAGGCGCTCGGGGCCCGCTGCGGTGCCCGCGGGTCTGTGCCGCTGAAGTGGGCACCCCTCCTCCAGCCTCGTGAGGACAGCGGCCGTCCCTCGGCGCGGGGCTGGTCTGCCACGGGCGCCTCCCCGTGTCCCCTGGGCCGCCGCACGGCCTCTGCCACGGTCGGCCCTTTCAGTCCCTCAGAAGCACTTGGGTTTAAAGTCTCCATGTCATTAAAACAACGAGCAGGTAGACGAGGCGGCCGGAGCGTGTCCGCCGCAGTCTGGGCTGTGAACGGGCCCCTCGCCCGCCCCTCCTGAGCCGGAGCTGCTCCGGAGGACGAGAAGCTCCCTTCGTGGAAAGTCTTACTAACCTGGCCCGGCGCCCAGGTCTGAGGCCTTCCCCCCGGCTGAGGATGATTGAAAGAGCCTGTGTGCCGCCATCCAACGTCGTTACCGTCGCAGACGGCGGCTACCGCGTGATGGATGGAGCAGCGGACTCAGCCGTGCAAATCATTCATCGGGGTCAGTGCCTGGTGCCGTGGGACCGCGGCGTGGGGGTTTCAAGGCGTAAAAATCGCACCGCACGCCACCCGGAGACGGAGCCTGCTGTCGGCAGGGCGGGCCGGGCTGCGGGGCCGGGTGCTCCGGAGGCCGCTGAAGAGGCAGCTCCCCAACGCCAAGAGCCCGTCCAGCCCCAGGCCCGGAGCTGCTTCCTCAGGGAGCCCACCCTGTGACGTGCCCGAGGTGAGGCGGCCACCAGAGGCCGCGTCCAAACCTGTGCGCCAGGCAGCGTGTGGCTGAGGCTCAGACGTCGACTCACGCGTTTCAGTTCCTCTCGAGAAAACTCGCTGCCACCTGGTCTCAGCCAGCGACCGCGAGGGACAGTGAGAAAGGCGAGAGCGGGCACACGCCCCCCATCAACCTGGTGTGGCCGGGGGAAGGCGAGAGCGGGCACACGCCCCCCATGAACCTGGTACCGCCGGGGGAAGGCGAGAGCGGGCACACGCCCCCCATGAACCTGGTACGGCCGGGGGAAGGCGAGAGCGGGCACACGCCCCCCATCGACCTGGTACCGCCGGGGGAAGGCGAGAGCGGGCACACGCCCCCCATCGACCTGGTACCGCCGGGGGAAGGCGAGAGCGGGCACACGCCCCCCATCGACCTGGTACCGCCGGGGGAAGGCGAGAGCGGGCACACGCCCCCCATGAACCTGGTGCGGCCGGGGGAAGGCGAGAGCGGGCACACGCCCCCCATGAACCTGGTACCGCCGGGGGAAGGCGAGAGCGGGCACACGCCCCCCATCGACCTGGTACCGCCGGGGGAAGGCGAGAGCGGGCACACGCCCCCCATCGACCTGGTACCGCCGGGGGAAGGCGAGAGCGGGCACACGCCCCCCATGAACCTGGTACCGCCGGGGGAAGGCGAGAGCGGGCACACGCCCCCCATCGACCTGGTACCGCCGGGGGAAGGCGAGAGCGGGCACATGCCCCCCATCGACCTGGTACCGCCGGGGGAAGGCGAGAGCGGGCACACGCCCCCCATGAACCTGGTGCGGCCGGGGGAAGGCGAGAGCGGGCACACGCCCCCCATGAACCTGGTACCGCCGGGGGAAAGCGAGAGCGGGCACACGCCCCCCATCAACCTGGTACGGCCGGGGGAAGGCGAGAGCGGGCACACGCCCCCCATCAACCTGGTGCGGCCGGGTGAGCATGGAGCCCATGGCTGGAGAACCCTGGGGCAGCTGCAGTGGCAAGTCTGCCCCTTGAGGAAATGGGGGCAAGGATGGCACTGAGACGGGTGCTGAACAAGGCTCTCTAAAAATAGGGGCTGCATGGGCTGTGCACATCCCGTGTGGGTGCTGTTGCAGGTCTCCCGCCGTGGCGTGCAGGCTGTGAGGCCACAGTGCCTCCGTCCTTCCCTGAGGTGGGCACGGGAGAAAGGAGAGGTGCCCGCTCCTGTGAGCTGCCCACGGGCTGCTCCTTGGGGCCTGTGAGGTTCTGGGCACTTTTTTAAATTGCCTGAAGATATTCACTGTGGACACAGAATATTTTGAATTCTATGCTGTTTCTAGTTGAAATATCAGTCTACAGTCCAATTTTGTGTACTTGGAAGGGAAATTTGGGGGTATCATTTTCAGCTATTCATCTTCTGCCTTTGACTCCTTAAAAGTGGGTCTTAGCTTGTTTCGGCGTTAAGTGGAGAGCTGTCTAAAATTAGTAACTGGAGAGAGAGACATAGGGACGAGGTGGAAGGAAGCAAGAGGGAAGAGCTGGAGAGATTTCACAGAGCTTGGGCAATGAGCACTGTTTAGATCTATTTTGTGCCGAAGAAAATTCACGGCCAGTGGCAGCAAAGAGAGACCAAGCCCTGATGTTCAGCCGCGACTGCGCGTCTGGGCAGTGTGGGGCGTGTGTGCGATGCCTTTGTCATCTTGTGTAGGCAAGCCGTGAACAGTGGTAAGGCGTTCGCGAGTCATTGTAACGTAGGCAGGCCGTGAACAGTACTAAGGCGTTCATGGGTGTGTCACTGTAACACAGGCAAGCTGTGAACCGTAGTAAGGTGTCCGCAAGTGTCACTGTAACACAGGCAAGCCGTGAACAGTAGTAAGGCGCCCGCGGGTGTGTCGCTGTGACGCGGGCAAGCCGTGAACAGTAGTAAGGCGTCCGCAAGTGTCACTGTAACGCAGGCAAGCCGTGAACAGTAGTAAGGCGTCCGCGGGTGTGTCGCTGTGACGCGGGTAAGCCGTGAACAGTAGTAAGGCATTCGCAAGTGTGTCATTGTAACGCTGTGTTTTTCTGGTGTAGATGCACTCTGTTTTCCTCCTACAGATGATTTCAAACTTTACAGAAACATTTTAAGTGGCATTGTCTCCATTTCAAATCAAGTTGCCTAGCTTCCTCCTACCGCCATACGTTTTCTCTTCCTAATGTGTAGACATTTCAAAGAGCTTCCTTATTTGAGAACGAGTGTTCTTTACAGACACGCTTAGATCTGTGAGCCAGCATGTCGCACTGATGTGCTGGGGTACCGGAGCGTGAAGCCATGAGCGAGGTATTTAAAAAGCATAACAGCCACATTCAGCGCCCAGAGGCCGATCGCCCGTCAGAGGGAGAGAGGTGGCCGGGGCAGTGGAGGGCTCTGCCCATGTCTGTCAGACAGCCATGTTCTTGCCAGGGCAGCCAGGGCCGGGCCACTCAAGCTGGGTGCTTGGCTCTCCCTGAGCTCGAGCACGGGCACGTTCAGGTGATCTTCCTGATAGCAAAGTGCGTTTCTGCGCATGGACTCCTGAGGAGCAGCGAGGAGCTGACTCACACATTCTGCCAAGCCCAGGCTAGAAAGAGGGGACAGTCGGAACCGTAGTGTTTTCTTCCTGTCAATGCTGAGAGACTCACTCCTGAGGTCGCACATCCTTGCCAGCAAACGGAAGACCCAGATCACAGTCCTAGGCTCGTCCTGGACGTGTAGCCTTTGTACGTTCCATAGTGACCTTTTGTACATTTTCTCCTGTGCGTGTTCAGCCTTAGAATGGCACTGTGGGCAGGCAGAACTGCCGGTGCTCACCACCCCCCTTTCCCGGGG
This sequence comes from Homo sapiens, assembly GCF_000001405.40. NCBI lineage: Eukaryota > Metazoa > Chordata > Mammalia > Primates > Hominidae > Homo > Homo sapiens. The sequence continues at coordinate 79,496,881 of NC_000018.10, forward strand.
GGAAACTGAGGCTCAGAGAGATGCCGCTGGACTTGCTCCAAGTCAGTCAATGAGGCAGAACCAGGAGCGCCCCAACCCCAGCGCCAAGGCCCGCATGCTCTCGCGGGTCCCAGCTCTACCGTTGAGTATTTTCTTCCCACTAGAGAGATGTGATGAGCAAAGATTTCCGCTCAGAACTCCTAACATCCAAGTATGAGTTGGCTTTGCAAGCCGAAGGGGAGCATGGTGTCTGTTTTTCTTCAGAGAATTTCTGACTGTTTGCTAAGGCACGTTTCCATAAGAAGGACTGGAGAGAAGCAGGCCTTCTAAACTGCTGGAGAGCATCTTGAATCAGCTCTCCCCCAAAGCAACAAAAATACAGCATCACTGTCAAATCAACCACCAAATCTGGCAGTCAGCCAAGAGGACAGAACAAACACAGATGCATTCACTCAAGGAAGAGCGGCCCCAGGGGGAAGAACAGGATGGCAGCGTCTTCACTTGGGGCCGCTCCAGCCCCGAGGCGCACAGCCGTGGAAAGCCGGTGACAGCACAGACCGTGGAGGAGCTGGGCTCTGTTGAAAACCCCATCCCAGGATGCAGTCCGCATTTGGACTGGTCATGGAGCTCCTGGAAAAGGCCCGTTCCGAGGCACAATCACCGTTGGCTGCAGTCGTGATCATGGGAGCTGCCCCAAGGCTGCGATCGACATTGGAGCAAACAAGAGCCTGGCCAGACCAGGTGACCCCGGGGACTTTGAAAAACCTTGGAGATTCCCGGGCACATACGAAAATGGATGTGTGAAGGCTTCGGTACAGAGAGGGCCCCAGCCACTCTTCTCTGGCTGACCTCAAAACCCCACCAAGCAGAAGTGAGAGGTAAAGCTGCCTGTGGCTGGGAGGCAGGTCCTGACACACAGGTTTTGTGATTAGAGGGAGGAGACTGGCTTCGTGGCTCAAGGATTTAAGGAAACTTCCTGTCTGGTAACAGCAGACCATTAAACTCTGCTAACCAGAGGGTGATCCCTAGGCAGCCTGGCTTAAAGACAGAAACAAGATTTAAAAACAGAGAGAACAGAAAACTCAGTGTCCACATTCTGCAAGGAATACAGCATCTAGATAATTAGTCCAGGAAAGTCATGAGTCACATAAGCAACAACCAAGGAGAGGGGAAGCCGAGAAACAACAAGTCCTATTTGGAGGGGGATGGGGGGGGGGGAATCTCATTTCAGAGTCGCTACAATGCATTAGTTGTCATCTCCAGTTGTAAACCAAAAAATTATAGTACATGCAAGAAAACATGAAAATATGTCCCATCCACAGGAAGAAAAATCTGTAGCCCCTGAGAGGGCTCAGGTATTAGACCAGCAAAGGCTTTAAATCAGCTGCAATAAATATGCTCAAAGAACTGAAAGAAATTGTATTTAAAAAATTACAGGGGAGTGTGGCAAATATATCTTACCAGATAGAGAATATCCATAATGAGATTTTTAAAAAAAAAAAAAAAGAAGCCAAATAGAAATTACACAGTTGAAAAGTAAATGAAAAATGCATTAGAGAGGCTGAACAACAGATTTGAGCTGGCAGAGAAAAAGAATCAAACGTAAAAATCAACAGATTATTTAGACTGAGGAACAGAAAGAAGAAAGAATCAATAAAAATGAACAAAGCCTCAGAGCATGTGAGATGCTGTAAACACATATACACATGCATAATGAGTTATAGAAAGAGATGATTAGAAGAAATACGTGAAGAAATAATGGCCCCAAACTTCCTAAATTTGATGGAAAACATTATTCAGTGCATCCAAATGGTTCACAAAATTCAAATGGGATAAATTAAAAGCAGCTCACACACAGACATAAACCAAACTGTTGAAAGTCAAAGGGAGAGACAATCCCGAAAGCAGTGAGAGGAAAACAGCTTCTCAGTACGTGGGATGCTCAGCAGGATTAACAGCCAGCTGCTTATTGTGAATCGTGGATGTCGGAGGACAGTGGGACGGCGCATTCAAAATGCTGAAAGAAAACCACTGTCAACCAAGAATTCTATATCTAGTAAAACTCATCTTTAGAGATGAAGAAACAAAGCTGTGCTCAGATAAACAAGACACACAGAATTTGTTGCCAACAGACCTGACCTACAGGACATATTAAAGGGAGTCCTTCAGGCTGAGGTAAGAAGCACTGGTGAGAGTAATTACATAGGTGAATTAAAAAGACAGCACAAACATGTTTTAAACTTTTCTTCTCTGAACTGATGTAAAAGGAAACTGCATAAGACACGATTGCAAACCTGTGCTGATAACAATGTGCTTATAACAATTTGTGTGACAGTAGCACAAAGGAAGGGGTGGGGAAGGAAGTTACAGCAAAGCAAAGTCTTTACATATTATTAGAACTCAGTATTCATCTGAAATAGACTGTTTTGACTAAGATGCTTGTTGTAATCTCCAGAGGAACCACTAAGAAAATATATATGTGTGTGAGTGTGTCACACACACACATAAAATGTCAAAAAATGCACTTAAATGATACACTAGAAAATATGTGTGTAACACAAAATAAGCCAGTAATGAAGGAACATAGAAACAATGACAACAGCAAAAGTTACACAAGACATGTAGAGAACAAATAGCAAAATGGAAAACATAATCCTACCGTATCAATAATCACATTAAATGTCAGTGGAATAAACACCCCAATAAAAAGGTAGATGTTGTCAGACTGGATGTTAAAGACAGAATGAAACAGGGTACAACCATATGCTGTCTAAAAAATACATATTTTAGATTTAAAGACACAAATAGGTTGAAAGTAAAATGATAAAGAGATACTGTGCAATAGTAATCAAAAGAGATATGGAGATAATGGAAAAAATACATACTTCAGATTTAAAGACACAAATAGGTTGAAAGTGAAAGGATGAAAAAGATAGGCAGAGTTAATGTAGAAATTTGGAGTAGCTACACTAATATCAGACAAATTAAACTCTAAGATAAAAATATTACTAGAAACAATGAACTGTCAGTAGTCATGTTCTCTTTGATCTTAAACCTGATACATTGAACAGGAAGATATAAACACATTTGCACATAACAGAGCCCCATAATACATGAAACAAGAACTGACAGAATTAAAGGGAGAAATACATAGTTGAAAAATAATAGCTGGAGACCAGTATATCACTCTTAATGGATAGAACAACTAGACAGAAAATCAAAAGGATATAAAACACTTAAGACTATCAACCAACTTTACAAGACATCTGTAGGACACTCTACAGAGTGCACATAGGATAGACTTCCTACTATGCCATAAAACAAGCCTTAATAAATTTCAAAATATTCTGATTGCAATGGATATCAATTGAAAATCAACAACAGATATTTCCACAAATATTTGGAAACTAAACAACACATTTCTAAATAATTAATGAGTGAAGTTAGAAAGTATAAGGGAAATTGGAAAATATTTTGAACTAAATGCAAATGAAAACACAACATATCAAAATTTGTGGGATGCAGGTAAGGCAGTGCTTAGAGGGAAATTTATAGCTTTAAATGCCTATATGAGGAATAAGATGGATTTCAAATCAATAATCTAAGCTTTTTCCTTAAAAATGTTGAAAAAGGAGAGAAAAAACCCAAGGCAAGTGGAAAAAAGGAAATGCTGAGGATGAGAAGAAAAAGCAATGAAATAGAAACATGAGAAAAATCAATAAAACCAAAGTTAGTTATTTGAAAAAACAACAAAATTGACAAAACTTTAATGAGTTTTTCTAACAAGAAAAATTAGGAATGAAAGAGGGGACATTGCTACTGACCCTGCAAAAATCAAAAGGTTATAAGGGAATACTATAACCTTATGCCAACAGATTAAACAACCTGGATGAAATGGAAACATTCTTAGACACGAATTACCTAAACTGACTCAGGAAGAAACAGAAAAGTATAATAGACCTATAGCAGGGAAATAAAAGAAATTAATAATTTAACATATTCTCACAAAGAAAAGCCCAGACCCAGAGAGCTTTACTGGTTAATTTTATTAAACATTACAAGAATAATACCAGTGCCAATACTCCACAAACTCTTCAGAAAATGAAGAAGGAACACTTCTAATACTGAAGCCAGTATAGCCCTAATACCAAAATCAAAAGTATCGTAAGAAAAACTATAGAAAAATATTCTTTATGAACACAGGAGCAAAAATCCACAACAAAATATTATCAAACTGAATCCAACAACATAAAAAAAAGATTTTACACCATGACCAAGTGGGATTTATCCCAGTAATGCAAGGTTGGTTTAGCATCAGAAAATGAAGTCATGTGATGTACCATATTAATAGAAAAAGGACAGAAACCACGTGATCATTTCAATAAATGCAAGAAAAAAAGCATTTAACAAAATCCAACACCAACTTATGATAAAATCTCTTGACAAACTTAGAACACAAGGGAACTTCTTAACCTGATCAAAGTCATACACAGAAAAAAAAACAGTGATCATCACACTGAATCGTCCAAGACGGAGGACCTTCTTTTCCCCTAGGATGAGGAAGGATGCAGAGGTGGCCACTTTCACTGCTGCTACTCAGCCTTGTACTGGAGGTTCTAGCCAGTGTAGCCAGGTAAGAAACAGAAATAAAAGGCAACCGGAATGGACAGGAAAAAGTAAAATTGTCTTTATTGGAAGAAAACGTGATTCTATATGTAGAAAATCCTGAGAAATCTGCCTACACCCCACCCCCCCTCCCCCCGCCAAAAAGGTAAAGGAAAACCCACTGTTAAAACTACCAAACAAGTGCAGCAAGGTCATCAGATGTGAGACCAGGGTACAAATAAATTATGTCTATATGCAAGGAATAATCCAAAAATGAAATCAAGGAAAAATTCCTATCTACGATATAGCATTAAAAAGAATAAAATATGAATAACTTTAAAGAAGTTAAGGACTTATACTCTGAAAATGACAGAACGTTGCTGAGGGAAAGTTAAGATCTAAATAAATGGGAGAACATTGCATGTTAATGGAACAGAAGAATCAATATTGTGAAGATGGCAGCTTTCTCCAGATTGATCTGGAGAATCAGTGCAATCTCCATCAAAACTCCAGCAATTTTTTCTTCTAAAATTCACAAAATGATCCTAAAATCTACATGGAGTTTCAAAGACCCAGAATAGCCAAAACAATTTTGAAATCAGAGAACAAAGTTGGAGGAGTTACACTTCGCAATTTCAGAACTTTCTGTGAAGCTATAATAATCAAGACAGTGTGGTATTGGCATAGGACACATAGATCAGTGGCGCAGAATTAAAAGCCCCAAAATAATTCTTATGTCTGCGGTAAATTGATTTTTTGACAAAGGCACAAAGCCCATTTAATTGGAGTAAATGACAGCCTTTTTAACAAGTGGTGCTGGGACATTTGCCACATGCAAAAAAACACACACCACGCACCGAAAATGAACTTGATCTTGGACTAGTAGGAGCCAAAATAGTCAAACGTTTTTGGAGATAGCACATGAGGAACTCTTTCAAGACTTTGGATTAGGCAGAGGTTTCTTAGATATGACATCAAAAGCACAGCTCATAAAATAAAAACTTGATAAATGGAACCTCACCAAAATTTAAAATTTTTATGCTTCAAAAGTACTATTAAGAAAATGAAAAGATAAGCAATAGACTAGAGGAATGTGTTTGCAAAACAACTATCTGATAAAGGGCTTATATCCAGAATATACAAAGAACACTTACAGCTCAATAATAAGACAGAAAGCCTAATCAAAAACTGGGCAAAGGATTTGAATAGACATTTCTCCAGACAAGACATAGGAATGGATAATAAACACATGAAAAAATACTCCACATCACTAGTTATTAGGGAATGCACATTGTAAATTTCAATAAGATACCATTTTATATCCATTCAAGTGGCTTTAGGAGATAAGATAGACAACAGCCAATTTTAGAGACGAGGAGAAATTGGGCCCCTGAAGCCTTGCTGGCAGGAGTGTAACATGGCATTACATTCCGGCCACTTAGGCAGTTTCTTAAAGAAATTTCTTAGAAGAAACTTGCCATGTGACTCAGCAGTTCCACTCCTAGGTATGTATTCAAGGAAACAGATGCACACATCCACACAAAGGCTTGTACATGACTGTCCTTCACAGCGTTCTTTAGCCAAACATCTGAAACAACCACAATGCCCAGCATGTGGGGAAGAGAGAGGAAAGGTGGGGTTTATCCTCACCCGAGTGTTATCCATCCCCAAAAGGAATGAGTACTGAGCACCCCAGGACTCAGGTGAACCTGGAAACCCTCATGCTCTGGGAAAAATCCACACACGAGACCACAGACTCAGTGGCTCCCTTGCATGCACACCTCAGAGACGTCGCAGGTTCAGCCTCAGACCACTGGGATACAGCCAGTATGGCAAAAGAAAGCCGCTGGAGTGTGTGGCTTCCAGGGCATATAAAAGTGACGCTCACACTGTACTGAGTCTGTTAAGTGTGCACCAGCAATGTGTCTAAAAAAACAGTGTTTGTACCTGCGTGGGGTGACCAGGTGCATTGTCCGTGAGCAGTAATATTATTAAAGGGCTCTTTTTATGAGCAGTTAAGTCTCAATGGTGGGCTTAAAACCTTCGGTAAACCATGCTGTGAACAGAGGTGCCGTCATCCGGGCTTTGTCGCTCCATGGGTGGCGCACAGGCAGAGGAGATTCCGCGTCATTCTTAGGGGCCTTGGGATTTTCGGGGTGGCAGATGGACACTGGATTCAACTTAAAGTCACCAGCTGCATTAGCCCCTACCAAGGGGGTCAGCCTGTCCTTGGAAGCTTTGCAGCCAGACACTGAGTCCTCTCCAGCTATGGGAGTCCCAGACGGCATCTCCAATAGAAGGCTGTTTTGTCTGCACAGAAAATCTGTTGTTTAGTGTGGCCACCTTCACCAATGGTCTCAGCCAGATCTCCTGGAGAACTTGCTGCAGCTTCCCCATCAGCACTTGCTGCTTCATCTTTGCTTTTATGGTATGGAGATGGCTTCTTTCCTTCAACCTCATGAACTAGCCTCTGCTGGCTTCAAACTTTTTTTTCTGCAGCTTCCTCATCTCTCAGCCTTCGTAGGACAGAGAGAGCGAGGGTCTTGGTCTGGATTAGGCTTTGGCTTAAGGGAGTGTTGTGGCTGGTTCAATCTTCTGTCCAGATCACTCGGACTTTCTCTGTATCAGCAATAAGGCTGTTCCGCCCTCTTATCATCGGTGTTGTTCACTAGGGCAGCGGTTTTCACTTCTGTCTGTCTAGAGTTTTCCGCTGCATTCACAGTTGGACTGGCGCGGGAGGCTGAGCTGTCAGCCTGTCTCGGCTTTCGACGGGTGTTCCTCACCAAATTTAATCATTCCTAGTTTTGAAGTGAGAGACGTGTGACCTTTCCTTGCCCTTGAACTTTTACTTGAAAACTTGGAGGCTGTCGTAGGGTTCTTAATTGGCCTAATGTCAGTATGGTTGTGTCTCAGGGAATAGGGAGGCCTGAGCCCAGGGAGAGAGATAGAGAATGGCTGGTCAGTGGAGCAGTCAGGACGCACCCAGCTCTTATCCATTCACTTCATCTTAGATGGGCACAGTTCGTGGCACCCCAAAACAATGACAACAGTAACCCCAAAGATCACAGATCTCCGCAGCAGATATGATAGCAATGAGAAAGCTTGGAACATCATGAGCATTATTGAAACGTGACACAGAGATATGAAGTGGGCACCTGCTGTTGGAAACGTGGTGCCCACAGACATGCCTGGTGCAGGGTTGCCAAAGACCTCCCCTTTGTGAAAAGCAGTGTCTGAAGCACAGTGAAGTGAGGCTTGCCTGCAAGACATCCACAAAAGGCGCAGCTCTGGAGACAGGAGACTGCTGCGTGGGAGGAGGTGGTGCTGGAGGCCCTTGGGTGAGGGAAGAGGCAGGAGACTGCTGTGTGGGAGGAGGTGGTGCTGGAGGCCCTTGGGTGAGGGAAGAGGCAGGAGACTGCTGCGTGGGAGGAGGTGGTGCTGGAGGCCCTTGGGTGAGGGAAGAGGCAGGAGACTGCTGTGTGGGAGGAGGTGGTGGATGAGACCCTTGGGTGATGGAAGAGGCAGGAGACTGCTGCGTGGGAGGAGGTGGTGCTGGAGGCCCTTGGGTGAGGGAAGAGGCAGGAGACTGCTGCGTGGGAGGAGGTGATGCTGGAGGCCCTTGGGTGATGGAAGAGGCAGGAGACTGCTGCGTGGGAGGAGGTGGTGCTGGAGGCCCTTGGGTGAGGGAAGAGGCAGGAGACTGCTGCGTGGGAGGAGGTGGTGCTGGAGGCCCTTGGGTGAGGGAAGAGGCAGGAGACTGCTGTGTGGGAGGAGGTGGTGGATGAGACCCTTGGGTGATGGAAGAGGCAGGAGACTGCTGCGTGGGAGGAGGTGGTGCTGGAGGCCCTTGGGTGAGGGAAGAGGCAGGAGACTGCTGCGTGGGAGGAGGTGATGCTGGAGGCCCTTGGGTGATGGAAGAGGCAGGAGACTGCTGCGTGGGAGGAGGTGGTGCTGGAGGCCCTTGGGTGAGAGAAGAGGCAGGAGACTGCTGCGTGGGAGGAGGTGATGCTGGAGGCCCTTGGGTGATGGAAGAGGCAGGAGACTGCTGTGTGGGAGGAGGTGGTGCTGGAGGCCCTTGGGTGAGGGAAGAGGCAGGAGACTGCTGTGTGGGAGGAGGTGGTGGATGAGACCCTTGGGTGATGGAAGAGGCAGGAGACTGCTGCGTGGGAGGAGGTGGTGGACGAGACCCTTGGGTGATGGAAGAGGCAGGAGACTGCTGTGTGGGAGGAGGTGGTGCTGGAGGCCCTTGGGTGAGGGAAGAGGCAGGAGACTGCTGTGTGGGAGGAGGTGGTGGATGAGACCCTTGGGTGAGGGAAGAGGCAGGAGACTGCTGTGTGGGAGGAGGTGGTGCTGGAGGCCCTTGGGTGAGGGAAGAGGCAGGAGACTGCTGCGTGGGAGGAGGTGGTGCTGGAGGCCCTTGGATGAGGGAAGAGGCAGGAGACCGCTTTGTGGGAAGAGGTGGTGGACGAGCCCCTTGGGTGATGGAAGTGTTCTGACACCTGCAGTGATGGTGGCACAACTGGGCACCTTTACCAAAAATCACTGAATTTTGTGCCCTTCTCAAGGGTGCATTACCTGTGTGAAACGTGCCTCCGTAGAATGCTGTGTGTTTAGGGAGGGGCTGGGAGACCCTAGCAATGCCACGTGCTTTTTACTTTTCTTCAACTGAGTTTTGAGCATTTTGTTAATGCAAGAAAAAGGACTCCTTATAAAGAGCGGTTCGCCGTGGGGTCTGAGCCTGTGGCGTGGTTTCAGTTGCCTCCTCAGCCGCAGTGTGGAGAGGAACAGTGGTCTCGGCCGAGCAGCGGCTGTGGGCACCTGCGTGTCAGCCCCTCCCTCCGTGGACAGATGCTCCTGAGCTTCCCCAGCAAAGACACTGGGACTGTGCGCCTTGTCCCCCCATCTTCCCACCTCCGGTGACCAGGCCTCTCCCAGGGACCCTCTGTGCTGGCCCGGCACCTGCTCTGATATGCCCTCCCCAGGGGTGTGGGTCCGTCTGCCCTCCACACAGCCCTTGGAGCCTCTCTTCACAGGGCCTGAGAGCTGAGTGTGGTTTCATAACGTGGTTCATTGGCCTCTGAAGATGCTCAGTGCTGGGGGAATTGGGCTTGAAGCCATCACGTCCAACACACGGTCCCTGGACCATGTCCTGTAGGGAGTGTTAGGAGGAGTCTAGCTCTATTTTTAAATGACAGTGTTCATGACAGAATTTCTCGTAGGGAATAAAAATGTGTGTGCTTCCCAGTTACTTATTGTGTTGCTTAATTAAGAAATCTCTTTAGAAACACAGACGGGAGCATGAACTTCTCAGCCACTTCCTGCCTGGCTTCTGGGTGGTTCTGTGTTGCATTACTGGAGGTCTGGGTGTGGAATTTTGAGAATCTCTTGATCCTTTTCAGTTTAATTCTGAAACAGGGTTCTTCCTTCCTTCCAGATTACAGTGTGGACACTCACACACAGTAAGGGACAAAGAAAGTGTATCCCCTTCCAAAGATCCGCCCACCAGGCCCCGGACCCATAATCAAAGCCTGATACTGGGACAATGGACCCAGCGGCCGGGCCAGCCCTCCCCTAGTTATCACCCCAGAGCTGTGGCTGGGCTCTCTTTGTTCCGAAACGGAGCTGATGGAGCAGGACGCTGTCGCCAGGCACTGCGGGGAGGGGGTTATCAGCCCCTGGCCCGCGTCCCACCCCAGAGGTGAAGTCTTCGCCCCAGACAGGCCCTATCAGGCCCTCCCAGCTGCTGTTATTTTAGATATGGCAGGAAGTAGGGCCTGGAAACCGCACGGCTCCCAGCCCTTGGCAGCAGCTCAGTTCCCGAGGCTGCACTCAGAGCTGGTGGCAGGGAGGGAGAAGGCACAGCAGCCTGGACTGCGGGTTAGAGGGCTGTGCCGGGGCCGGTGGAGCCATGCGAGCGGCCGCGTAAATCAGGCAGGCGTGGCCGGCAGGCTGTGGCTCCCCACAGACATGGGGCTGACGGTGTGCAGCGCTGGCTGGCGCAGCCTCTGCCAAGGGAGCCCCTGCCCTCCGGGGCAGCACCATGAAGACCTCACCCCTCAAGTGGATGGGTTTGCAGTTCAGCCCAGTGTCTGTTCAGCTGGCACCGATGGGCCCAGATGTCCTCCCTGGCAGTGTCTCAGCAGGCGCACAGACGAGCCCTGGGCCAGGGGACAAATGTGTGGGTTCCTGACGCACGTCCCCCGGAGCCCTAGAAAGGACACCAGGCTTCTGCACCCCCACCCGTGATGTGTTGCAAGAAGCCTCACGAGTCAGTAAAGAAAAACCTTCTCCCTCGCCCTCTGAAATAGTAAACGTTAGTGAGCGCATTCGCATCCGCAGTGCTTTTACGTGAGAAGTTAGGTTTTGGGAGCTTTCGGAGGAGCTGGCTGTGGAGGGAAACACGTCCGTCACGTGGCCACCGTCCCGCGGGAAGCTGGGGGCCGTCGCTCTGGCCGGGCTCCCCGCAGCCGCAGTCGCCGCGTCAGGCGGAGGATCCCTGTTATGTACTTTCCCTTTTCCACAGTAGCTGCTGCCAGCGGGCTGTAAACTACCGTATATCACTCAGATTTAAGAACCCAAACTTTAAAACAAATTAAACTCTTGTTGACATTGTAATAAAAATCAGAATGGAACTGAACAGCTCAGTAAAAGTGAACTTCAATTATTTTTGTGGATTTCAGATTGTTTTCTGGGATTCCCAGACTCCCAGTGCAGCTGAGTTATTTCCTCTTGGCAGAAGGCTGGAGAAAAAAGGTGGAGGGAGGGAGGGACGGACGGACGGAGGGCGCCTGGTGGGAGGAAGCCTGGTCACCTGGCTGGAGGGAGGGATGGACGGACAGAGGGTGCCGGGCAGGAGGAAGCGTCGTCACCTGGCAGTTCGCTCGGCCTGACCAGCAGCCACAGGGCAGCGGCGTGCGTGTGAGGGTTGGGTGAGGGGGCGCATGGGCAGGTGTTTTTTATGTGTTTTAATTTAAGAAAAGAGCTCAGAAATGTTTGTCAGAGCCTATCTGTTAATTAGGTGTTTATGCTGGATTAAAAGAAAAATTGAAAGCACTAGTCTGACTGCCCCTCAAAAATGTGCTCGAAGGCTCATAAACGCACGGAGGGTCTGAACTCCCTCCCCTCTCTCTCGGTCTTTCTCTGTATCTCTATCCCTCTCTCTGTCTCTGTCTCTCGGTCTGTCTCTTTCTCAGTCTGTCTCTCTGTCTCCCTTCCTCCCTGTCTCTGCCTCTTTGTCTCCCTCCGTCTCTGAATCTCTGTCCCTCTCTCCATCCATCTCTCTCCGTCTCCCTCCCTTCCTCGCTCTGTTTCTCTGTCCCTCTCTCCATCTCTCCGTCCATCTCTCTCTCTCTCCATCTCCCTCCGTGTGTCTCTGTCTCTCTTATCTCTCTCCCTCTGTCTCTGCCTCTCTGTCTCTCTCTCCGTCCCTCCCTCCCTCCCTTTCTCTCTCATGGCGGCCTTTTCTTTTGTTGCTGTGTTCACTGTGATGTCTGGTTCTTTTCAGCTCCTTTTCTCTGCTGGAGTGGACAGGGTTGTCGGTCTCCACTGCCGTGCCAGGTGTCTGTGCTTCTTGCAGTGTCCTGTACGGAGAAAGCGGAGAACTAGAGCATTGGAGAGACCCGCATGGAAGGAAACGCCATTGCTGGGCAGTGTTGCAGCCTCCGCAGAGGTGTGTGGGCTCCGGGGAGAGGGACGTGCTGGCCCCTGTGCAGTGGCGTGGCCCGTGTCCTTTCCCCGCCGTCCACTTCCTGTTCCCCTTTTCTGCACCTGTCTCTAGCTGCCTTCAAGGCGGAGCTTTGGCACCCACATATGCAGATGTCCACCGCGCCTGCCGGACGCCAGCTCTCCACCAGCCGGAACTCACCGCCACCCACCCTGGGCTGCCAGCTCAGCTGGGGCCCAGCCACTCCCCCAGGTCCCCCTTCACTGTAGGAGGAGCTGGGCCTGGGATGTGGACAGTGGGCGGCGAGGGGGTTGGCCATGCAGAGGGCGTGGGAGGAGAGGAGAGCACGCAGATGCCGGCCCGGTGATGTTTCCTCAGACGCCCGCGCAGTGCCATGCCGTGGGCCTCACATGCAATGCTCCCCTGCCTAGAGGGGCACCCCTGCTCCCAGGAGGGTCTCAAAGAGACCTGGGTTTCTTTTAAGCAGTTTTGACCACTTTGATTAGGTCAGTGATCTCCATTAGATCTGGACCTGCTAAAGTTACAGAAGGTTCTGGAAGGTGCCGGCACAGTCTGAGCTGAACACCCATGACACCTGAGCAGGAGGCTGTGACAACTGTCAGCTCACGGACCAGGGAGGGAACGCGAAGCTGGGGAGCTCTGAGCTCCAATCCCAGCTTCTGCTCCTGCTCAGAAAGCCCTCCCACTTTCTCTGGGCTGACCTCACCTCGGTGTTTGGAAATGGACCAAGACTTATCGGAAAGTGTCCTCGGCGCCAGGTACCACACTGAGCTCACAGGCTGCTTCCATTTAAAGTTAACCACTCTTGGTGCAGCCATAAAGCCTCGTTGATCTTTGGTCCTTTATTGTGAACAGACATCTCGAAAGAGCCTGTGTCTCCACGGTCAATCTTTCTTCTGAAGACATATTTTAAGGCTTCTTCAGAAACCAAATTTAGGAAAACAGAAGAAATTAGTGCTTAGTTTTCCAGATAACTCATAGCCCCCCCCAAGGAGGAAATTCAGACAGGACAGCGAGCAGGTTCCCGGGCCGTCACTTCAGGGTCACCTGATGGGAGCCGCAGCCGTGGTGAGGTTCGCTGGGTCATGCCCCCGTGCGGAAACTCAGGGATGGGACGGATTCCACTTTCAAAAGATGACATAGAATGAGTGAGTATTTAGGAATTACTTTAGGGCTAAAAAAAAACCACATATGGGGATCAGATCCCTGAGCCCTCAGAAAATCGGAGTAGGGAGAGGGAGAACAGTTGAAGCGAGAAGTTAAATAATTCACGTTTAAATCACAATTCCAGGTGAGATGAATGCGGCCCTACCTGATGGCACCTGCGTGGTTGCCACAGGCGTGGTGGAGGGCTCTTGCGTTTGGATTTGAGGGGCTTAGAGGTCAAAAAACTTTTCGGAGGAACAGGGATGGGCCTGTCTCTCTTTTATTTCAGCGGTCTTTTCTGTTTATGTGGGAAACGCAGTGTCATGAGGTTTGAAACCCTGAGGATGAGATGCATTCCCAGTTGCCAGGCTCGGTTTCCAAGTCTGCTGGGTTTGGGAGCGGTCGGTTGATAGAATTTCTTCTAGAAGACAGGGTGTGGGGGCACCCAGGTCCTTCCTGCGGAGGCGTCCCTGCCCTGTGTGGCCCTGGGCACAGACCCCGGCATCCCCTCCACGGGGCTCCTCTGCCGGGGCATCCTCTGCCGGGGCATCCTCTGCCGGGGCATCCTCTGCCGGGGCATCTTCCGCCGGGGCATCCTCCGCCGGGACATCCTCCACCGGGGGCTCCTCCGCCGGGGCATCCTGCTCCGGGGCATCGTTCGCCGGTCTTGTCGCTGCGGTGGAAGTGTCGTGTTCCCAGCCAGGCTGGGAGTGGTCGCTGGCGAGGCCTGGCGTGGGCCCGCGGTGTCTGTCAGGGTGCCCTGGGCCAGCCCCGCTGATTCGATTTAGAGCTAACGAGAGTCCACCAACGGCAATTACAGGAACCTAATGGCCTTCCTGCCGCACCGCTCCGTGGCACCCGGCTCGCTGTGATGAATTGCTCATTATGTGCAGTGTTGGAATAGCCTCCACAAGATTAATAATTGGATAATCAATACAGAAATTCAATCTTGGGGTGTTTTTTTCACTCCGGGGTCAATATGTCCTGAAGATTACAAGGCCCGACTCTGCCTCCCCCCTCCCCGCTGCTTCCGCGTTGGGAGTTTGGCCAGCACCTCGCCACACGATGGGTCATGGTGCGTTGTCTCCGTACCTCCGTGACTTTTCTATTCTTTGCAAACAGCAGGTTCTGCCGGGGGTCAGTGCTGCTAACACAGACAGCAGTGACTCCACGGTGGCTTCCGTTAAGCCAGGGGAGGGCGGCACAGGTAATGGCTGTGAGGGCACCAGGGCCATGGCACAGTGGCGGCCGTGGAGGGAAGCCTCGCCGTGCCCAGGATGTACGTAGCCTGAGCTGTGGAGGGGTGGAGGGCAGGTTCAAGAGGGGCTGTGCCTCCCGCCAGGACACGTCTGCGCCCCTGAGCTCCTGAGGCAGTCAGGGCCTGGATTTCCCTCCCAGAGGTGCTCCCCTGGCTGCAGCATGGGGAGCTGCCTGCGTGGTTTCGAGGCTCTCAGTGGGGGGCCAGCCGGTGAGGCACTGAGCTGGCCCGAGGAGAGCTGCTGAAGCTCAGGACGTGCAGTGGAGCTGGGAGATGTGGATGGACTTGCTGCGGGTCCGGGACCTGCCTAGGGAGTTGGCAGGATTCGGGGCTTCTGGGGGAGGCCAGGAACAGAGGGCGGCACGGGCCTGGGGAGAGCAGGAAGCTGTGTGCTGGCTCTCAGGAGCCCAGTGGATGGGACGCAGCTGAGACGTCCGCAGCCATCCCAGGATGCGCAGGTGGCGGGAGCACGCGGGGCACAGGAGCCTGTCCCGGCAATGGCTCCTTGTCTCCGGCCCAAGCGACCCCTGGCATGGCGGACAGAGAGGCCCAGGAGGAGCCGGCCTCAGGGAGGATGGCTTGAGGAGACAAGCCCCAGGACGCAGCCTGACCCCAGGACACGGCCTCGCCCCAGGACACGGCCTCACCCCAGGACACGGCCTCGCCCCAGGACACTGGCGAGTGTTTGGACTTTGTTGAAACTGCGCCACAGGCACTGCCCTGGGAGGTAAATAAACGGAAAAGCGTCTGACTGCAGCAAAATCCTGGCACCACCTGGCACTAGGACCTCTCCCACCACGTGGAGTTTAGACTAAGGCTTAGGGATTTTATGAGAACGGCAGCCACTCCGCCACACCCACACACCCCGAACTTTTGCTTTGCCTTGAATTTTTCTAGACAGCCTCCCAAGGAGGAGAAGCAACCCTGGCTAGGAACCGGAGCCGGAGCAGCATCTGTGGCTCCACGAGGTCAGAGCCTTGGCAGTTGTGCGGCTGTGGACTCACACATGTGGCAGGAGGAGATGCCTGCAGTCGGCGGGCCCCTTGTGCTTCCCGTTTGCTGAGCTGCGGTCTCTCCAGTCGGTGGGCCCCGTGTGCCTCCCCCGTTTGCTGAGCCGTGGTCTGTCCACCTGGATGCGGCACCTGTGCCCTCTGCTGCGCTCTGGGCTGTGGCTGCCGTTTGAACAGTGGAGCCTGCACACGTGAGCCACGTCTCATCCCACTCGAGCTCTCAGCCCCTGTATGTGTCAGGGAGGTCCTGAGGGCGCCTTCTCCACGTGCTGCGGGGAGGCGCGCTGACGGCCACCAAGTCCACTGGAAGAAATAGCCTTCCCGTGTGAATGTGGGGTGCTGCCTGCAGGGACGTCCTGACCGTAGGTCCGCACCCCACCCACACCAAATCGCCTTCCGTACCCACCTGGCTCATGTGCCTATAAGATGGGAGAGGGCCTGGCAGAGAATTTCGCTAGAGACGCAGGGAGTTGTATCTGCCATGTTTTTAAAGAGCGCTTTAAAAACGGTATCACTTTCGAACGCTCGGCTCTCAATAAAAAGGAGCACTGCCAGTATTTTAATTCCTCTCTCGATACCCAGAACCACCACCAGGCTGTGTCAACTCCCGTCGGCGTAGAGCAGCTGATGCCCGCGGGTGGACTCCGGGTTCAGGGCACTGGGACCGCTGCAGAGACGCCGTCCCCGGCCCCCACCTGTAGGGTCTGCAGGGAGATGACCTGCTTCCCGTGGCAGAGGGCACCTTGGCCTCCGCGGCCAGGGCGTGAGGCTCCCGGGTCAGCACACGGCTTTCTCAAGGACCAGGCTTGAGGATCTTTCCCTTTTCTGCTCTTCCACCCGCCTCCCACCCACCTTCCCAGATACCCGCGTCATCCCCCGAGGCTTCTGAGGACTCTGGGCTGTCCCCAAACCTCAAACAAAATGTCACTTTAAAAACTGGTACAAAAGCACCTCTTAAAGATTCAAACGATAATTCGAAAACATCGTGGTGGTGAGGGACACGTGCTTTCCCGCCGGCGGGGGCGTGGACGTCGTCTTTCGTGGGCAGCCCTAGAGAAGTACTCTTCAAGGCGAGTGTCCCTGGGGCATGGGGGCGGTTTCCCTTGCAGCTAGCTCCCGGTCTCCTCCCTCTGACCCAGGGCTCCCCAGACATTACTGGGGCTGCATCTGCCGGGGGTGTGTGGCCTGTGTGCTGCCGAGCTCCAGGTGACACCCACGGTGGTTCGTGGACACTCACCATGAGGGGAGGTGCGTGGCGTGGTGAAGCCTGAGGGTACACTGGCTGTGCCATGTGCATGCCCACGTCCAGGACGGGCCACTGTGGAGCCCATGGATCCTTTGTCTCCCTGTGTGCTAGCCTCTGTCCCTTCTCGGGGACGTGTCCCCACCTGAGCTGGCCGCTCACTGTGCTTCAGGCTCCTGTGAAGGCCGTGCTGATCTCCACGGTGAGCGTGGACGTGCGTGGGGCAGAGTGAGCGGAGTGGCAGGTTCCTCCAGGCGCTGCCCAGGTTCAGCTGTGAGCCGGTCCAGGTGTGGCCGCAGGGATTGGCGTTCCCATCTAGTTGTCATTGCTGAGATGTTTAAAAATCACACCCTCAGCCAGCACAGTGGCTCACACCTGTGATCCAAGCACTTTGGGAGGCCAAGGCAGGAGGATTGGTGAGCCAGGAGTTGGAGACCACCCTGGGGCAACATAGCAAGACCCCATCTCTACAAAAATTTTAGAAATTAGCCAGGTGTGGTGGTGCACACCTGTGGTCCCAGCTACTTGAGAGGCTGACGTGGGAAGATCACACGAGCCCAGGAGTTCCAGACCAGCTTGGGCAACATGGTGAAATCCCACCTCTACCAAAAATACAAAAATTAGCCAGGTGTGTTGGCGCTCAGGAGCTGCTCAGGAGGCAGAGGAGAAAGGATCGCATAAGCCTGGGAGATCAAGGCTGCAGTGAGCTGTGATCGAACCACTGCATCTCCAGCCAGTGACAGAATGAGACCCTGCCTCAAAAAAAAAAAAAAAAAAAAAAAAAAACCAATCTCACTCCCCACCCCCACCACCCTGGCATGCCTCCGAAGCAGGTGTCTTTTTTAAATGGCCGTTTTCTTACATAGCCACAGTGCAACTTTCACACCTAACAAAATGGCAGATTCTCTGGTAAGAGGAAGATTTAGTTGAAAGTCACATTTTAGTAAGGCAGGTTTGGGGCTGGGTACAGTGGCTCACACCTATAATCCTAGCATGTTGGGAGGCTGAGGCAAGAGGATCACTTGAGCCCAGGAGTTGGAGACCAGCCTGGGCAACATAGCAAGACCCTGTCTCTATACAATTTAAAAATTAGCCAGGCATGGTAGCATGCACCTGTGGTCCCACCTACTTGAGAGTCTGAGGAGGGAGTATTGCTTGAACCTGGGAGGTCGAGGCTGCAGTGAGCTGAGATCATTCCACTGCACACCAGCCTGGGCAACAGACAGAGCAAGACGCTGATTCTAAAAATAAAATGCAGGCCAGGCACAGTGGCTCACACCTGTAATCCCAGCACTTTGGGAGGCAACGGCGGGCAGATCACTGTAGCTCGGGAGTTTGAGACCAGCGTGGCCAACATGGCGAAACCCCATCTCTACTAAAAATACAAAAATTAGCTGGGTGTGGTGGCAGGTTCCTGTAATCCCAGCTACTCAGGAGGCTGAGGCAGGAGAATCGCTTGAACCTGGAAGGTTGCAGTGAGCAGAGATCGCGCCACTGCACTCCTGCCTGGGTGACAGAGCAAGACTCCATCTCAAAAAAAAAAAAAAAAAAAAGAAGGAAGGCAAGTTTCCCATCCCACAGGAGTGGTGGTCTCCAGCCACCTCCTTTGGGAGTCCCTGGCCCACAGGATACCTGCAGTGGTGGTGGTGGGCGGGTGGTGGTGGTGGATGGGGGCTCGGAGGGGGCTCGGCTCACACCCCTGCAGCCTGGCCGGGGACCAGGGGCGTATTGGCTTCTGAGTTGCCAATGGAGCTTTTGACCTCCTGCTGCTACACACTTCACATGGTGACATTCTATCCTGACCCTCTCTGCCACCCTACAAAGAAGGAGGCCGCCTGATCAGTGCCAGTTCACACCAAGTGCCCGTCTCCCCCTGGAACAGGCAGAGGAAGAATCGTGTTTCTGTAGCAGAGGGACAGGAGGAAGCGGGACCTACCGAGACCCAACCCGGTCACTCTCCTCGGGGTCCATTCACTTTATCTTTATTAAAAGGAGCTTTAACATTTTTATTTTTTAAATTCTGTTAATTCTGTTTGAAATGGAATTTCATAATTTGGGGGCATATACTTCCTAGTAGAACAAAGAAAGCCCTGGAAAACTGCAAGTGGTGGTTTAATGATCCCAGTGAGTGACTGGAATGGCAGTTTGGTGCAGATAAGACGGACTAGATCCGTGGAAACACGCGCCCGCATGCCGTCTCGGTGGGGGGCGGAAGGACAGCCTGTCGGAATCTCCCAGGCACGTGGTCCTGTACCCTGAACCCTGGCAGTTTCCACACGGCGTTTGCATTCTGTGCAACATTCAGGCTAAATAAGGAAGCAGGCAGTTAAGGTAGGAAAATTATTCTGTCTTAATGGCTGACGTCCCGAGTGGCGGTCCCGCTCCCCACCACCAGCTGCGTCCAGATGAGGGGCTTGTTTTATGAAAACTGTGACTTGTCAGGCCGTCCCTCCGTTGTCCCGTCCTCTCCTTCCAAAAATAGCAGGCCCTGTGGCGGTGGCTTATTGCGATGAAAAAGATAAAAATAAGTGAAGGCTGAAATAGGTCCTGGACTTGAGAACTTACTTTTTAATGAAACTTGAGAAGCTGTTATTTTCCACTGCTTTACAAAGCATCTTTGAAAAATGCAGAATCGTAAAGAAGGGTTCTAGAGACGCTGCGACCCTGCGTTTTCAGAATGTGGTGGCTCCTCGACTGTGGAGTGGCAGAACCGCCCTTGTTCTTACCCCGTTTCTCAGCCGAGCGCCGGGCGCCCAGCAGTGTCGGACAGTTTAGGGTGGACCGAGGAGGCCGTGGTGGAGGCTTCATGTAGGAGGTTATGGAAAATCCAGATATTTGCTTGTGAAGGAGGAAACATTTATGGTAGACTTTCTAAGAGGTTGCTTCTTCTCAAAAAATTAAAAAACCCACATGAGAGGCGGCCTCTTCAGTTACCTTGGCGCACACACCGAAGCCACCTCTGCATCAGACACGATATACGTACAGTGGAACAAAAGCGTTTTCCTCTTCGCTTCCTATTTTCTGATCTCTAATTTGTGGCTTTAACCATATTTTTATGTACTTAGCTCATATCTACTGTAATACCTTAAATGAGAGCCATACAAGTCTAAATGTGTATGTCAGATGGAAAAATTGAAAGCTGTGTATTCAGCAATTCAATGAAACCATAAAACAGTCAGTAAACACATCTATCATGCCCCTTTGTAATGAACGCCACAGCCATGAAAATCCATATGTTCATTAAGGTTTTCAACCACCATCAAATGGCGTTCTTACTCCAAGAATTATTAGATATTGTCAAAGCTGAGTACAGCAAATGTCATTGGGAGACATCTTAGAAGTTAGTTATTTAAGAATAGGATTTGGCCTGAGATATTTCTGGTTCTATCTGTGTCCTACCCAAATTATTACCCTCTTAGGTTACAAGACTAACTTTAGCTAAAGGTGTATTTTCTGGGAAGGTTAGCAAATACTTTTTATAATTATCTCTTAGTTATAGGAATGGAGGAGAATGTCTTTCCTGTTTTGTTTTGCTCTTTTTAAAAAGTTATTTTTGATGACTTGTCCTCTGAAGAATATGCACTTTTCTGTCCCTCAGAGGATGGTGGAGTAAGCTGGGGACAATTGCGTTCCTGCTGCAGGTTTAATTACGCTGTGTCCAGTGGGACGGTGGGCCTTAGAAGGGAGCCTGCTGGACGGAAAGTGAGGCGGATGGGGACGCTGCGACAGGAAGAGGCAATAGGAACATGCCCCCGTAGGCCGTGGGTGGCATCACGACGGCCTTTTTTGTTTCCTGTATTGCTTTAGTGTAAAGGAAAATGACAACTCTAAAGAAGGAGCAGTCCTGCAGGACGTTCTGATGTCTGATAATTCTGAGGCCTGTGTCCTTGCCAAACTGTCTGGTTTGTTTAGCGGTCATAGATAAATACTCTTAGACTTGAATAATCATAGCACAATTGGTTGTTGATTGGAACTAACATAACCATTGAAAAAGAGGGAAGATGCTTTTAAATGTGTTTTGTGCAATTAAGTTAGTGGTACCTATATGAACAAATATGCTTTTTAAAAATTGACACAAAAATCGTTTATGCAAGTTATAGTCTTCATCTGTGCTACTTAAACTTTTTAACTGCAAGGATTAAACAGTGTATTTGGGTTAGCGTGGCTGAACCACATTGTTTATTCTTTAAGCCCAAATCCAGTTCCTAAAAACAATTCTAGCGCTGCCTCTCCCGGCTCTTCACTGCACGCAGCCTGAGGGCGTCGTTGTCTGTGCTGCACCCTGGTGCTCAGTGGGTCTCCAGCTGGCACAGTCACCACCACTCCCAGATGGGCTCTGCCAGGGACAGGGATGGAGCAGACTGCATGGGCCTGGCGTGCAGGTGACCAGGTAGAGGCAGCTCAGCTGTGTCTGAACAGCTTTTCCCATCGCTTTCCCGGTCGACATTCATGGCAGCCGCTGCGTCCAATGACAGGCACAGTCAATTCTTTGAGACAGAAAGGGAAGGACAACACTAATGTCCCCATGAACCCCAGAAACATGAAGGAGGGGCACACGCCCACAGTAGAACATGTGGAAGCTGAGTGTGGCAGTGTAAAGGGCGATGGAGCCCCCGGGCCCAGCATGTTTCGCGCTGCCTGCTTGTGTTCTGATGGGCGGTAACTGAAGGTCCACCAGGAAGTGCCTGGCACCCCCCCTCTCGCTCGTGAAAGATGCAGATCAGAGCACCTGAGAGGGTGTCCTTGACAAGTGTTTTGTCACATCGTTCAGCCATATAGAAAACAGACTTGGAAAAATCTGAGATCCCCCAAGGAGCCACCGCTCATTGCCCAGGGCGTGGCCCACAGCAAGGCTGCTCCTGCCCCCGCTACTCACCGCAGTGTGAGGATGGGCTGACCTGACCGCCCAGTCCTGTCTTCAAAACGAGACTAAGGGTAGCACCCAGCTCCAAGGAGAGCTGTGCCGGGTGCTCTGGAGGGGTGTTAGGACCCCTGGCACCCGGTGTCCCTCAGTGGACGGCCGTTGATTCTGTAACAAGGCGGCCAGTGCCCACGGTGCAGGCAGGAGGCACCTTATCCCTGACTTGGGCTCCGATCCAGGAGGAAGTTGTTTCTCCGTGTGAGATGCTGAAGAGTCCGCCCATTCACAGAGCAGAACGGGGTCTCAGTCAAACCTCTTCCCACAGATTAGCCCCCAGGATGTGTCCTGAGCCCTGCAGGACTGGGCAGAAGGTGAGGATGGGCCCTTCCAGGCTCCCTTTTGCTAAACCTTGTTCTACCAGAGCGTTCAGGTGCAAAGACCTCGCCTCAGAAAGGCTTCAGAGCCTCCGGCGGCTGGCAGGCTGCTCACAGATCTCCGAACCATGGTTTGAACAAGGCAGCAGGAAAGTGGGAGAATTTTAGTCTGAGAAGATTTGGAAAATCCTTAGGAATTGCTGACTTCCAAGTTGTTTCACTACCATCTGAAAAACCCTTACAAGGCTCGGGCTTTCCTGGAAAACAGGAGATCAGGCTATTTATTTTTTATTTTTTTATTTTTTTTCCTGAGACAGGGTCTTGCTCTGTCACCCAGGCTGGAATGCAGTGGTACAATCTCAGCTCACTGCAGCCTCAACCTCCTGGGCTCAAGCCATCCTCCCACCTCAGCCTCCCAAGTAGCTGGGACCACAGGTGCACACCACCATGTCTGGCTAATTTTTACATTTGTTTGTAGAGATGGGGGGTGGTCTCACTACATTGCCCAGGCTGGTCTTGAACTTTTGGCCTCAAGTGATCCTCCCGCCTTGGCTTCCCAAAGTGCTGGGATTACAGGTGTGAGCCACCATGCCTGGTCTTAGGTCAGTTTTTAAAACAACAGCAAGATTTTTTTTATGTTGTTTCTGCCATGTTTTAGGAATTGCTTTTCCTCCCGGGGCTTGCATGTTTAAATTTTTATTCTCAGAACGTTGAAGGGACGCACTGCATTTCAGGATCCTGGGTCTCCGTCCGTGAAGGACTTTCCTTCTGTGGGTCTTTCCTCTTGCAGCTTAAAGTGGGATTATTTTCACTTTATTCAGAGGCCCTGTTAGTCACAGCCAAGCACAGACGTGCTCGCTGTCGCTCCTTTGCTGGAGTCGGAAGTAGGACAGTTGGTGATAAAGTCCTGGACGGGCGAGATAAGTGGCATTGGCAGAGCTCTGTTGTCCAGACAGCAAGAAACCGGCTGCCCCCAGGAAGCGGGGATGGAGGGCACACACCAGGAGAGGGGGCGTTTTGACCGTCGGCAGGGGTGCCACTTGGAAGTCAGATTTAAAATGGAATCAAAACTGGTAGAATGAGGGTCTGCAGGGGGAAACTTGACGGAGCCCATCAGGCGACAGCCTTCTCGAAGCCCCTCCGGGCCCCTCACGGGAGGGGATCCCCCGCTGCGCTGCCGGGAGGTCCGGACGAAATGTTGGAGCTGGAGAGTCGGCAGCCCTCGCGTGGCGTTGCTGCCTCTGCAGATGCCTCCGGAGGGACTCGGTGTGTCTCGGTGTTGATTTCAGAACAGGGGAGATGCTGACGTGTCCCGGTGGCTCTCACAGCACAGTGGAAGGCGAGTGGCAGCTCCGACATCCTGCTCCGCTGGCGCCTCTGGCCACCTGCCTCCCCCACCCCCACATAAAAAAAGTTTAAGGCACATTTAAGCTAGTACCGGAGAAATGACTGAAAAATAAGTATAGCCAAGCAGCAGAAGACTCTGTGTGTGGGGGGGGGAGGGTGCATCCACCACTAATGTGTGTCCGTGTGTGTGGGGGCATCCGCTGATGTGTGTGTCTGTGTGTGTGTGGGGGGGGCATCCACTGATGTGTGTGTCTGTGTGTCGGGGGGGGCATCCACTGATGTGTGTGTCTGTGTGTGGTTGGGGGGCATCCACTGATATGTGTGTGTGGGGGGGGGGCATCCACTGATGTGTGTGTCTGTGTGTGTAGGAGGGGAGCATCCACTGATGTGTGTGTGTGTGGGGGGGCATCCACTGATGTGTGTGTCTGTGTGTGGGGGGGGGCATCCACTGATGTGTGTGTCTGTGTATGTGTGGGGGGGGCATCCACTGGTGTGTGTGTCTGTGTGTGTGTAGGAGGGGAGCATCCACTGGTGTGTGTGTGGGAGGGAGCATCCACTGATGTGTGTGTCTGTGTGTGGGGGGGCATCCGCTGATGTGTGTGTCTGTGTGTGTGGGGGGGGGCATCCACTGATATGTGTGTCTGTGTATGGGGGTGGGAGCATCCACTGATGTGTGTCCATGTGTGTGTGGGGGCATCCGCTGATGTGTGTGTCTGTGTGTGTGTGGGGGGCGTCTGCTGATGTGTGTGTCTGTGTGTGTGTGTAGGGGGGGAGCATCCACTGATGTGTGTCCATGTGTGTGTGGGGGCATCAGCTGATATGTGTGTCTGTGTGTGGGGGGTGGAGCATCCACTGATGTGTGTCCATGTGTGTGTGGGGGCATCCGCTGATGTGTGTGTCTGTGTGTGTGGGGGGGGGCGTCTCCTGATGTGTGTGTCTGTGTGTGTGTGTGTAGGGGGGGAGCATCCACTGATGTGTGTGTGTGTGGGGAGCATCCACTGATGTGTGTGTCTGTGTGTGTGTGGGGGGCATCCACTGATGTGTGTGTCTGTGTGTGTGTGGGGAGCATCCACTGATGTGTATGTGTGTGTGTGGGGGGCATCCACTGATGTGTGTGTCTGTGTGTGTGTGGGGAGCATCCACTGATGTGTATGTGTGTGTGGGGGGGCATCCACTGATGTGTGTGTCTGTGTGTGTGGGGGGAGCATCCGCTGATGTGTATGTCTGTGTGTGTGGGGGGGGGGGCATCCGCTGATGTGTGTGTCTGTGTGTGTGGGGGGGGGGGCGTCTGCTGATGTGTGTGTGTGTGTGTGGGGAGCATCCACTGATGTGTGTGTCTGTGTGTGTGTGGGGTGCATCCACAGATGTGTGTGTCTGTGTGTGTGTGGGGAGCATCCACTGATGTGTATGTGTGTGGGGGGGGGCATCCCCTGATGTGTGTGTCTGTGTGTGTGGGGGGGGGGGCGTCTGCTGATGTGTGTGTCTGTGTGTGTGGGGGGGGCATCCACTGATGTGTATGTCTGTGTGTGTGGGGGCGTCTGCTGATGTGTGTGTTTTGTGTGTGGGAGGTTGTCTGCTGTGTGTGGGGAGGGGGCATCTGCTGATATGTGTGTCTGTGCATGTGTGGGGGGGCGTCTGCTGATGTGTGTGTTTTGTGTGTGGGGAGGGGGCGTCCACTGATGTGTGTGTCTGTTGGGGGGGGCCGTCTGCTGATGTGTGTTTTGTTTTGTGTATGGGGAGGGGGTGTCCACTGATGTTTGTGTCTGTGTGTGTGTGGGGGGGTATCTGCTGATGCGTTTTGTGTGTGTGGGGGGGGGTGTCCACTGATGTGTGTGTCTGGGTGTAGGGGGGGTGGCATCTGCTGATGTGTGTGTTTTGTGTGTAGAGGGGTGCGTCTACTGATGTCTGGGTGTAGGGGCTGGCGCCTGCTGATGTGTGTGTTTTGTGTGTGGTGGGGGGTGTCCACTGATGTTTGTGTCTCTGTGTGTGTGGGGGGGGGTGCGTCCACGGATTGTGTCTGGGTGGGGGGACGTCTGCTGGTGTGTGTGTTTTGTGTGTGTGTTGGGGGGGTGCGTCTACTGATGTCTGTGTGTGGAGGGTATCTGCTGATGTGTTTTGTGTGGGGGGGGTGCGTCCACTGATGTGTGTGTCTGTGGGGGGTGTCTGCTGATGTGTGTGTTTTGCTTGTGTTAAAAGGCGCACACCGCAGGAAAGGAAAGTGGCAGTAAACACCCCCGCCCCCAGCCTTCCCTCACCTCAGATACGCCAAGTTCCGGGCACTGAGCACCCTGCAGGTGAAACAGGGAGGACCAGAGAGGGAAGGGACGGGGGCCAGATTTGGAGGAGAGAGGACGGACTCCTGGGGCCAGGAGCTGGCTGGGCAGGGTGGGAACCCTCCTGTCCCAGGGTCTGAGTCGTCCCCCAGGCACCAGCCAGTAGGCCCATCCAGCTTTCCATGACTTTCCTAGTAAGTACTGAAAGAAAAAACACACATCTAACACTGTGGCTTGCCCAGCGGGGCCCCAGGCCGCCATCTGGGAGGATCTGGGGGCAGGTGGCTGTTCAGGGCCCAGCAGAGCCGGCTGAGCTCAGACCCCAGTAAGGGTCAGTCCTGCCCTGTCAGCTCTGGGGTCCCTGGCAGCCATTCCCACTCTCCGAGCCCTCCGTGGTCCCTGTGAACAGACTGGGTGACTACAGTACCTGCCTTTGCCGCTCCCGGGGCTGTTGCAAGGAGCAAGCAGGTGCACAAAGGGCCAGGCAGGGCTGCATAACTGCTGGGGAAATGGTAGTTTGTTCATTCCTTAAAATGTAAGATCCTTAATTGCTTTCAGAAACCGGGCATTCAGAAATGCAGAAAAATGTTGCTTCCAAGCCAGGCAGCAAGGGGGCAAAATATATCAAACAGCGTTCAGGCCCTGGCAGCTCCGTTCTGGCCCTCATCATTCCCAGCATAGAGAAACAAAACTCCTGCGTGAAACTTAAGAGGTGAACTTTGGGTAGCTCACTACAGGGTGAAGTTTAAATGTCAACTTTCTTTCAAAATGATGATCAAAAAGAAGAAACTGGTTATGTGAAGGTACGAATACTTGACTGAGAAAGGCGTCTCGCCTACGGCTTGTTTACGCACAGCTAGTGAGAGCTTGCGTGGCCCCAGCAAGGGCACAGATAAGATTCACAGGTGAGGCAGTGAAAGCCATGCCTGCCCTTGTACTTGGTAGTTTTTATATTTAAAAATGTACTGATTTCCTCCTTCACTCAATTCCAGATGTGTATAGAGAGGTGGGTATGAGTGTGGGTGTGTGGATGTGGCCTCGAGGGAGGCTCTCAGCCTGCAGCCAGGATTCAAAACGCCACAGTCGAGTTTTAGGAAAAAACAATAGTTTCCACCTGAGGAGTATTTTAGAGAAAAATCTAATATAAGGGAAAAAAAAGCCCTCCTTATTAAATTAAATTGTGGTATAACAGCTCACCACATCCTGTTGCGGGGACATCTGACGTTAGGCAAAGTAAGTTTCCTCTTTCAGGTCTCCCACACGCCGTGAGGGTCACATGCTACCTGCAATTCAAAATATGCTAGGAAGGGAAAAAACCCTTTGTGTCTGTGGAAAAGCTGAATAAGAAGATGGAAATTATCAGCAGAGAGAGCTGGTATGGGAAACCGTAGGTGTCATCGGCAACCATACCCTACCCAAGGAAGCCGCCCCCGGAATAGCAAGGGCAGGGCCGGGCAGCTGTGGCTGACCTCATGGGTCAGAAGTGCTCGTGGCGGGAAGGAGTTGGGGGGTGGGGGGGCGGTCCTGTCTTTCAGCCCAGCGCCAGCGAGCCACATGGCCTCAGACCAACCCCAGGATGGGCCCGTTGTCCACCTGTGAAAGGGGAAGCCGTGGCTTTCCTCTCAGGGCTACGGCACAGGCCGTGTCTGCGGGGCGAGCACGGCTCCACGTACGGCTCTCGTCCGCGGTGTGGATGGGTGGGCGGTACAGCCTCCTCTGCGGTTCGGTTGCTGTGCTGTCCTCTGCTGAGTGGTGTCAGGGTTGTCCATCCCGCTCTCTGTCAGCTGCTGCCATGGGGCAGCGGGAAGGCCCTGGAGGGTGCCTGGGCTGTGTCTGGTCCCGGCCACGCGTCCCTGCAGCGTCTGAGACCTTGTGGAACACACTTGACCCGGCGCTGGGACGGGGTCGGCCCACACGCACCGCCAGCCCGCAGGAGTGAGGTGCAGGCTGCCGCTGGCTCCTTAGGCCTCGACAGCTCTCTTGAGGTCGGCCCTCCTCCCCTCCCGAGAGCTCAGCAGCCGCAGACCCAGGCAGAGAGAGCAAAGGAGGCTGTGGTGGCCCCCGACGGGAACCTGGGTGGCCGGGGGACACACCGAGGAACTTTCCGCCCCCCGACGGGCTCTCCCACCGAGGCTCAGGTGCTCGTGGGCAGCAAGGGGAAGCCCCATGGCCATGCCGCTTCCCTTTCACCCTCAGCGACGCGCCCTCCTGTGCCCGCGGGGAACAAGACGGCTCTCGGCGGCCATGCAGGCGGCCTGTCCCACGAACACGATGGAGACCTCAGACGCCGTCCCCACCCTGTCACTGTCACCATCACCCATCCTGTCCCCTCACGCCTCCCCACATCCCATCATTACTACCCCTCAGGCCTCCCCACGTCCCACCGTCGTTACCCCTCAGTCCTCCCCACGTCCCACCGTCGTTACCCCTCAGGCCTCCCCACGTCCCACCGTCGTTACCCCTCAGTCCTCCCCACGTCCCACCGTCGTTACCCCTCAGTCCTCCCCACGTCCCACCGTCGTTACCCCTCAGTCCTCCCCACGTCCCACCGTCGTTACCCCTCAGTCCTCCCCACGTCCCACCGTCGTTACCCCTCAGTCCTCCCCACGTCCCACCGTCGTTACCTCTCAGTCCTCCCCACGTCCCACCGTCGTTACCCCTCAGTCCTCCCCACGTCCCACCGTCGTTACCCCTCAGGCCTCCCCACGTCCCACCGTCGTTACCCCTCAGTCCTCCCCACGTCCCACCGTCGTTACCTCTCAGTCCTCCCCACGTCCCACCGTCGTTACCCCTCAGTCCTCCCCACGTCCCACCGTTGTTACCCCTCAGGCCTCCCCACGTCCCACCGTCGTTACCCCTCAGTCCTCCCCACGTCCCACCGTCGTTACCTCTCAGGCCTCCCTCCTGTCCCTGTCGCTGTTACCCTTCAGGGTCCACTCATGGCTTCATTATTTCTTTGTAGTGTCCCCACCTTTCCCCTGTGTTGATCATTTAGGCCTCTTTCGTCCCCACAATCACTATTCTGACTGGAGTCCTTTCTTTTGGAGCTCCGCTGGCCAGGGTTGGATGAGGACCTGAGCCCAGTCTCTTCATGCATTGGGCAGCCTCCCTTCCCCCACAGGTGGGGCCTGTTCTGAGCTACCTGAACCCCCACCGTGTCTTCCTCCTGGGCAGGTGGCTCCTCCTGCCTCTTTGCAGACGTCTTTTGTAGCAAGGCTGAACCAGCGCAGTGGGAAAGGAGTTAACTGGTCTCGAATTCTGGGGCATCCCTGTCTCGTGCCACAGATGCCAAGCACAGCAGGGCACGGAGCTCCTGGGGGCCGCTGCACTCAGCAGCACAGTGGGCGGGAGGCCGCTGAGCAACCAGCAGCCTAGGGCATTTGGGTGGGGACGTGCGACCCCCACACAGAACAGAGCCGTCTTTCTCTCTGCGTTGTGCCGAGGCCCCGCAGCGCCGCCCGAGTGTCACGGAAAGTGCCTCTGGTGAGGAGCTGCCGTGCGCACTCTGGGACAAGTCAGGTCCTGCGTGCCAGTCCGGGAGCAGCCTGCGAGCACCTGGGCCCTGTCGTTATCCTCCTTAGTGTTTGTGAAGAGTCACACGGAGGGGCGGGAGCCCGGGCTCCTTCTGGTGCCTTCCACACTGGGGGCGGAGCCCTCTGCAGAGAGCCTGGCTCTGCGTCCTGTGGCTGAGTGCCAGGTCCCGTCTTGGGCAGGGCCCAGGATCAGCGTGGCTCTGAGCAGGGCCTGCGGGGAGCCCACGCGTGCCTGTGTCTTTACAGAGGCTGAGCTCCCACACGGGACAGAGTCGGGACCTTCTGTGGGCGCCATGTCAGGAGGTGCTGCTGGCGGGGCCGGGCATGTGGGGCACCTTTGCTTGCCTGGGTCTCTGGCCCCGCAGAGCCTTGGGCGAGCCAGCCTCGGGTGTGTGTTTGCAGCCAGGGTTCCTCCTGGAGCTCAGTGCCAGTGTGTCCTGTTATCAGTTCCCATGACACAATTCCTGGTTCTCCATCTGTGTTTTATTATTGTTATTCTTAAAAATAGTCGGGGGTTGTTGAAAGGGAATTTGGGGAAGGGAGTGGGGTGATGAAATGCACACTACTAATTGCTCCAGGAAGCCGCCCTGAGACAGGCCGGGGCCTTTGCAGAAACACGTGGGGCTTATCTGGGCTCTGGGCGCTCCAGCCCATGGCAGAGGGAAGCCCGGGCAGTTCCGTGACGTCAGCGCACGCCCCACCAGAACCTGGGAGGGAGATGGGACGTGGCGACAGTGCTGGTGGCACATCCCCTATCTCAGCGCCCATCAGGGCGGCCACAGCAGGAGGTGGGTGGGGCGGGGATGCATGCAGCTCACAAAGGCCCTAACAGTGCCGCTCGTTTCCTCTGCGTCTGCCAGAAGTCACAGGTGACGGGGAACGTCACTGGCCTGTGGGGGACTCAGGGACTCTGCCATCCAAAGGGAAATAAAAATCAGGAAGAGCCTGAGAGGGAGGCTCAGGCGACACTGGTGCTGACACCACAGAAGTGCTGGTGTGGACCTGTGGGTCGCTTGGTTCGTGGAGAGACAGCCACAGCATCTTCCCAGCATCGCGGCCGGCACCTGGCACCTGCACTTTGGCCGTCAGAGACGTGCTGGTACCGTGCTACGGACGAGGGCGGTCACTCTGGCGACCCCAGCTCTCTGCCGAGGCAGCCAGGCACTGGCTCACGACACTCATGGACCAGGGTGGGACCGAGGAGGAAATGTGGGTTCCTGGGGAGATGCCTTGTCACAGGCGTGAGCGTCACTGATGGAGAAGCAGGGCTGGGGGCGTTGCTTTGATGTTTATGGTATTTCTCTAATACTTTCTCAATTTTTCTTTTCTTACAGTAAATGAAATAATACGAAATGACCTCTCCAGCACGAGCACCCACTCCTAGTTGCCACATTGGAGCACTCAGTTCAGCAGGGGTATGCTGACTTCAGCAGACAAAGACTTTTGAATAAATAAACTGAACTCACACCTGGTACCACTCAGAACCTCCAACTGACTGAATGCCAGGAGCTGAACATTAATATGTGCAAAGATTGGCTCTCCAACAAGAAGGAAAGCAGGGAGGAAGGGAGACCACTGTGTCACCTGGAGGAGAAGTCATCTCATGACAACAGAAGGGAGGTGGCCGGGCTGAGCACGGGAGACCCACCGTGCAGGGGCCTTTCATGGGAACGGCCCACACGCAGTTTGACCCCACGCCCAGCCCTTCTGGCACCCCTGGGGTTCAATACTGGAAGTGCCTTATTTAACCAGACCATCAGGGCATCATAGAATTGAGCATTGAATTTGCTACTGTAGGAGTATTTTTAGGAGCAGAAACTGCAAACACATTTCATTGTGAGGTTTTACCCTCTGTATGAATGAAGAGAACGCTGGAAGGCTGCGAGAGGACTCTAGTATGAGTCTCCAACATTTGGAACGTTTCCTGGGCTGTCACGTACACTCCTGCTGCCTTACACAGTGCATTTTAGAATCTTCCAGTCTGTCATCTCAGCTCTTTTGTAACATGCTTCCCTTGTCTGCGCGGTTGAAACCGTAGGCTTGTTCATAGTCGCATGCTCGCATCTTTGTTTTTAATCTGGCTTCGAACATAGCACAAGTAACTTGAATAGCACATCAATAGGTTACTGGACAAAAGCAGAAAAACCTGTTACAGGATAGCCTGCATTTGCATGTGTGTACATATCTAGGCATCTATTTATGTATAAATAATAACAGAGCCGACGTGTCCTCGCCCAGGAGGGCTTCCCTGTCAGCAATAACCGGCATCCGTTTTGGAACCTGCGTCTGGGGCTCCAGTCGCTGCTCTTGCTGGCGTCCATCGCCGCCTCGGACGGCCGTGCATTTTCTCGTCTCACGCAGTTCGAGGAGGACCCTAGAAAGCCAGGAGCTGTGATTGACAGTAGCTGTAGGTTACCAGACGGCAACATTAGAAAGTGATTGTAAATAACATGCAACCTAAGTGTAATATATTTGTTCAGTTATAAGATGATTGTTTCACAGAAGCCTTACCACTCTCTGCTTCATCTAAGAAAACCAATACCAAAAACGCCACTTTAATGCTCAGCCCTGCGTTGTGTGTTTTCAGATGAGTTACTGTTAACAGGTAGGTTTGTGTAGGCCTTGCTGGGCACTCTGTACAATTAGTTGCTTATTACGTATGATTACTCACAGCGATCTATTGTTCCATATAACCAAAAAGCATGGTTTATTCATTGAAACACGGTTGACCTGAACTCGTGCCTTAGGAATTAATGCCCCCTTATGGAACCTGCCTGAATTGCACCTGCGGGTGGAGGCTCCGGCTGTGAAGTCACTGAACAGAACGTCGCTGATGGAGAAAGGGCTCCCGCAGAAGGAACGGCCTGTACCGTGCGCTCCGGCACAATCGCGTCTCTTGTGTCTCACTCACGGAAAGAAACAACCTGAAGGCCATCCCGTCGGTCTGCACGTAACCGTGAAGACGTGTGGCCGCGTCCCACCTGCGGCTGGGTACCCTGCACCCGGCACTGTAGGAGTCACGTGCAGCCTTTCTCAGGGGACTGTCATTGAAAAGGAAACGTTTGATGTCTGTGTCAGCTGTCTTTGTAGTTAGGAAATAGATCCAATAAAGCCGTATTTTTTTGCTGGACAGGCGTAGTCTGCGAGTGGTTCATGATACGCGTGGAAGATGCCGCTTTGTTCTCAGAGTGTGTTTTCAGTGGCGTGTACTTGGATCGTCTGTGAAATGAACCTCGTGTTGGGAAGGCTGTGTAGACGCGGCCATTCGCCGTTGGAAGGGCATCTTGCCAGTAGAGCTGTTCCCTTTCTTCTATGTTTAGGTAAAAACCTGCCGTAGAAATTTGCGAGACGCCGGATAGTTCCCAGGCCCTGTAACTGAAGCAGCTCAGAAATGTTCATCCGGGCGAGGTGGAGAAGGAACTCCTGCTAGTGCCAAATGTTTTTGCTCAGAGGAATATCCTGGGTGAGGCTCTGGCCACACACACAGTCACACGCCATTTGACAATCATCTGGCGAGGAAACGTGTGGAAACCCACAGGTTCTCACCGTCTCTCCCCGCTTCTTAAAGCTGCTCTTCCCCTTTTCCCCACCAAAGCTCCCTACTTCACGTTTGGGTGGGAAAATATTACCTGGCCATGAGTTAAAATATGAAACTTGGAACTTCTACAGTAATTATTGTTCTCATCTTTCAGGAACATTTTTCATTTAGGACTTTATAAAATGCAAGAATTCTGATTTCTTTTGCTCAGAGGTGTACAGATTGAGTTAAAGGACTAGGGAAGTCATCACCACCTAAAGCGATTAGTAAGCATCTATCCCCCAGTTTTCTGCGTTTGACAATATCTGAAGTGAGCCTGAGAACGTCGTCGAAGGTCCCGCGTGGGGTGGCGTGAGGAGAGCACAGAGGCCGGCGTTTGGGGGAGCTGGGAGGAGACCTCACAGGCATCAGGAGCCCTCGGCTCTCCGAGTAGGGGAGGTCCCGCGTGGGGTGGCGTGAGGAGAGCACAGAGGCCACTGTTCTGGGGGGAGCCCTCAGCTCTCAGCAAGTAGGGGAGAGCTGGTTAAGCCCTTGCTTTTCTCCAACTGGCCCCAGTCGGGGCCTAACAGAGCCTTGGACTGTTCAACCCGGAGGCGGCCAGCACGCGCCCTTCGCTTCCCTCTGCCGAAGCGGGCGGAGCTGTCCACCCAGAATGCACTGGAAGCTCTTTCTTGGTTTCAAAGTGACTTTGTGAAACCTCCTTGGTTGTCCTCAACCCCAGTAACAGAATATTCCAAAATTATGAATGTATACAGTGATGGTTTCTGCAGAAGAGGTTGAGCTTCTGCGAATAACCCTCTTAGTGTTTGTGCCTTTTAGGTTGATTTTGAGTAATTAGAAAAATGCACCCACAGGCTGATTTCCAGCCAGAGGTTCTGCCTGTCGGGGGGAAAAGCTGTTGGGCAGTTACGTGTGCCACCCTCGTGTACACCAGAACCAAGACTGCGTTTTCCTGGAAAGCTAAGAGAGAGGTCAGCTTCGGGAGGCAGTGGAACTACCTTCCTGGTCTTTGCTGGCCTCTAGCACGCGGTCCTCGGTGACCGAAATCCTGGGGGAACCTTAGGGATGGGGCGTTTTCTGAGACTCAGCCAGAGGCAAAGCAGCCGCATCTGCGCGTAAGATCACGTTTGCTTTGCTCCTGAGCAGAGACTGGGTGGCACAAAAGTAATATGAGTATCAAGTTTCCCCTCAGAGCCAAGTGGAGCCCAGGAAAGACCCAAGTGCTTGAGCTTCCGGCCCTGGCAAGGGCATCTCGTTATATGGACAGCCTGGGGCCCCTTGCCCCAGCATTCCCCTCCCCACCCGGGACGCACCCTGGCCCCGCTTCTAGAGAAGGACCCAAAAAATCAGCTGTTTCCGCCAGTTCCGCCACGTTCCCCACATGGCGTCCTGACCAGTGACATCACCGGAGGCTGTCTCGTCTCAACGTGAATATTTTTAAAAATACGTCCCGTGTTGAAATTAACAAGCTACACCTGAGTGAGTGTTTGGAGCGCGCTCAGGGTGCGCTGACGCCGAGATAAAATAACCTCTTTAAGAGAAGCCCCGGACCAGCTTTGTGGGTTTTTTAACATTGTAAATTCACCTAAGATTAAAGCAACCGCTTTAAAACGTGTGGTTCTGTGGTGTACGTTCACAAGGTTGTGTGGCCGCCATCTTTATGTCCACGATATTTTTGCCACACCCGGAGAAACCCCCGTGGCCTTGGGAGCTGCTCCCCGTCTCCTCCCTGGGACCTCGGGTTCACACATCTCTGGGTGTGCCTGTCCGGGCATTTCATGCCAACGGAATCATGAACGTGGGGCCCTCTGCGGCTGGCGTCTTCCCCGTAGTGTTTCTGAAGGTCATGTGTTTCCCAAGGTCATCCATGTGGTCACGTGGGTCAGTATTTCCTCCCTTTTTATGACCAAGTCACGTTCCCCAGCTGATGGGGACCCCACGTCGTGCTGGTCCTTTGTCAGCTGGCGGACACGGTGGCTCCCACCTCCTGGCCATTGTCAGCCGCGCTGCTGTGAACGTTGGTGTTCTGAATTTTGTTCAGGTCCCTGTTTTCAATTCTTTGGGGCATATTCCCTGGGAGTAGAACTCCTGGGTATTACGGTCATTGTACGTTTAACTTTTTGAGGAACTGTTTTCTCCTCCTCAGTTTTTAAATTACCCATCCCTAAGACAGATCCTGGCTCACTAACCTAATTTGGAATCACATATGTGAAGCACATCATATTTATAATTATTTATGCCAAAAAAATTAAGTTAGGTAGAAGATGACTAAACGTTCATTTATACCAAAGCAGAAAGCAGACCCCCCAGCTGACCCCGCCTGCAGCCCTCCGGCCAACCCCTACCCTGTGCCCGCCTGCAGCCCCTCAATGCCTGCCCCTAGCTTCCCCAGCAGACCCCTCCGGTGTCCGCCTGCAGTCCCCGTGGCTGTCCCCTGTGCCTGCGTGCAGCACCCCTCGGCAGACCCTCCTGTCTCCGCCTGCAGCCCCCCGCCCCCCGGCAGACCCTCCTGTCTCCGCCTGCAGTCCCCCGCCCCTCGGCAGACCCTCCTGTCTCCGCCTGCAGCCCCCCGCCCCCCGGCAGACCCTCCTGTCTCCGCCTGCAGCCCCCCGCCCCCCGGCAGACCCTCCTGTCTCCGCCTGCAGCCCCCTCCAGCAGACCCCCCCGCCTTGGGTTTCCGCCAGGACCTAAATGCAGTGTCTGAGTTGCCGCGACAGTGCCCACAGAGCCCCAGATGACACGCGTTCATTTTACTTCACATATAAATTAGAGAAAAGAGTCTTGGTGAGGACGTCGGTGCTGAGACGAAATCGCGCCAGTGAACGTGTTTCATGAGGAAAGCAGCTTCTGCCGACATCTATGCAGCGATTTTCCTGCTGACCCTAGAACTCAGCATCCCGACCTTTCTATAAACACAGCTGCAGAGCCACTTGGCCTTTTCCAGATTGTGTCGTCAGAAAGCGACTACTATCTCCATGTGGCTGTTCTCTCTGGGATCGACGAGTTTTTCAGCACGGGGGACTTGGGTCCCATCTTCCCAGCAGGACAGAGCGGAGTGGCTCCTTCCTCAGAGTGCGGCCGGAGGGCGGATGCGCTGCCGCTGCTGTGAATAGTTTAATTCAAAGAGCACTTTTGTGTCCAGCAGGCATTGCCCTTTTCCCAAAAAGGAGGGAAATGTTCACGAACATCTATTCTGGGGCAGCCTGAGTCCCATCCGGACGACGGGGAGCTGGGGGTGATCTGGGTCCCATCTGGATGGGGAGGAGCTGGGGGTGATCTGGGTCCCATCCAGACAGGGGGAGATGGGTGATTCAGGCCCACAGCACTCAGCCTCTCATGGGCCATTTCCCCTCCTTGCCATGCCCACTTTTCCGACCTG
Organism: Homo sapiens; assembly: GCF_000001405.40. Taxonomy (NCBI): domain Eukaryota; kingdom Metazoa; phylum Chordata; class Mammalia; order Primates; family Hominidae; genus Homo; species Homo sapiens. The sequence continues at coordinate 79,533,111 of NC_000018.10, forward strand.
GGCATTAGGTGCACGGTCTGGGCTCCCACTGCACCCCCTACGGCTTTTCCCAGCCGAGAATCTGCAGAGGTGCATTTTCCAAACTGCATGTTTGTTTCTGAGTGGTCTGCTGGCTCCACAGACCCCTGGTAGTGTGTATGTTGCCTTACGGGGTCCCTGGGTAGCACAAACACCACGCCACTCTCACGCTGCCCAGCACAGATGTGGGGACAGGTCCTACCCAGAGGCAAAGCAGGCCCCCAGTGGCACCATTGGAACGCTGTCCGTGCGGCGTGGCTGTGGGCTCTCAGCAGACACCTCACCCTCTCTGCGGTGGGGGTGTCTGTGCCTTCTTGGGTGTGGTTCTCATGGGAGACAGCTGCGCGCTGAGCCCTTCCCGCAGACAGCATGATACACTCACTCACTGGGTTTGGGGTTAGCACTGTTTTCCTGGCAGGGGGTCCTGCCTACCCACGGATCTCAGCCTCCAGGATGGGACTGTGGCGAAGGAGGCACCCCTTCAATTCTCCAGATGAGGAAATTGAGGCTGGAAAGGGGAGTGTTTCCCTGAAGGTCGGGGGTGGCAGATCTTGCCTCACAGCTGTGTGAGTGGCACTGGGCATCAGCTGAGGGAGGGAGCCCACCTTGGCATCCCCAGAAGGGGGGTTGTTGAGAGCCCCGGAGCTGGGTGGGCACTTGGTCTCTGCAGACGTCTCACAGGCACCTCCGGATCTCAGCACCTCCAGGTCCCAGCACCTCCAGATCTCAGCACCTCCGGATCCCAGCACCCCTGGGCCCCAGCACCCCCGGATCCCAGGACCTCCGGGTCCCAGCACCTCCGGGTCCCAGCACCTCCAGGTTCCAACCACCCATGTGTCTCTCCACACATTCCAATTTGCCCACAATTCTCAGGGCTCAGATTCACAGCAATCCTAAAACTGTTAGCAAATTCTCTGAGATGCTGTTTCCATGGAAGGCCACTATAAGCGGGTTCTATTCCAACCGATAAACGATTAGTAATTTTTTAATGTCCAGTAAAAAAGAGGGTTGAGTTGAAATACTCCTTAATTAATGGAACAGTATAATTAGTGGCCTAACTTTAAATGATAGCTTTCTGGAGCTCCTTTGGGGATTTAGTTTCAGCCTGTGAATAGGAGAGTTACAAGACAGAGTGAACTCAGGAATCCTTTTTGAGAATTGCCTCTCACGCTCTAATGTCTAAGCAGGTCTAAGTCACGCTGGAACCTTCTTCCCAAATCCTTCTCTTCCCTTCACAGCCTCCTAAATCTCTTCCTCCCTTTCTTCCCTGCTCTTATCACTCTCCTGGCCTTTAAAATCTAAACTGACAGTAGGTGCAGGAAAACAATGAGAGTGGAAAAACCGATCAAGTCAGGGATGGAGACCCCCGTTCCCTTCGCCGCGTTGCCCGACAGTCGCCACCCCACACCCGAGGGGTCGGTGAGCAGCACGGCCCCTTCCTCTAACGTGTCTGTCTGGTTCCGGCTCCAGAGTAACGCCAGCCTCAGAATGAGGTGGGAAGTGCCTCCTCTTGGCTTCTGGAAGAGTCTGTGTAAAACTGGTGTGGTGGAGTTCATGAAGTCATTTGGGCCTGAAGTTTTCTCTGCAGGAAGATTGCTAGTTACTAATTCCTCTAATAGATACAGTGTTCATTGTGTTTTGACGTTTATGTCTTCGGTAGTCGATGTCCTTTAGAATGTGTTTATGTCCTTGGTAGTCGATGTCCTTTAGAATGTGTTTATGTCTTTGGTAGTCGATGTCCTTTAGAATGTGTTTATGTCTTTGGTAGTCGATGTCCTTTAGAATGTGTTTATGTCTTTGGTAGTCGATGTCCTTTAGAATGTGTTTATGTCTTTGGTAGTCGATGTCCTTTAGAATGTGTTTATGTCTTTGGTAGTTGATGTCCTTTAGAATGTGTCCATTTCATCCAGCTGGATAACATATCAGCATAAAGGTGTCTGCGGGTCCTTTGCTATCCTCCAGCATGCGCAGAACCAGATGGCGTCCCCTCTCTCGCTCGTGACCTGGGCCATGTGCGTCGTCTCTTTTTTCCTGACCATTCTGGTGGGAAGTTTATCAATTTTGTTGATCCTTTCAAAGAACCGGCTTCTGATTGCAAATATCATAAACTCTGATATTTATTATTTTTTTACATTTGCTTACTTGGAATTTCATTTTCATTATCTAGATTTTTAAGGTAAACTCTGAGGTCATCGATCTGAAACTTTCTTCTCTTCTGATATAGGCACGTAGTGTTATAAGGTGCCCTTCATACTGCTTTAGCTCCATCCCACAAATGTGGTTTGTTTTCACTTTATTAAATTCAAAATCCTTTCTAATTTCCACTTGACTGCTTCTTCGACCTACTGAGAAGTGTTGAGTTTTCAAATATTTGGGAATTTCCAGGTTTTCTAACTTAATTCCATTATTGTTCAGAGAATGCACTTTATATGATTTTGGTTTTTATATGCATTAAGACTTGTTTCATGGTCCAGAATGGAGGCTGTCTTGCTAACGTTCCCGAGTGCATGATAAAAATCTGTCTTCTGTATTACTGGGTGGAGTGTTCTTAGAATTTCAGTGAAGTCAAGCTGCCCGGTGCTGGTGTTCAGGCCTTTCAGCTCCTGACTGACTTTCCATCTCCTCATTATATCAATCACTATTAAGAGAGAAGAGAGCGGCGTTTTGGCCTCAGACTTTAATTTATGGGTTTCTTTCTCCTCGTAGCCCCGTCAGGTTTTCTTCTGTGTATTTTGAAGGTTGGTGATTTGGAATCGTTGAGAGCTCCAAGTTCATCAACTCCTTTATCATGAATTTTCTCCCCTTGTCGCTGGTAATACTCTGCTATAAGATCTGCCTGGTCTGATATTGATCAAGCTTTTGATTAGGGTGCATCGGAGACATTTATTCATTTTCAAACCTTTAACCCGACTATAGACTGAACATTTCAAATTTGAAATTCTAAAATCCAAAATGCCCCCAAATCTGAAACTTTCTGCTCCAAGGAAATGCTTGTTGGATCATTTTAGATTTCAGATGTTTTGGCTTTGGGATGTTCAACTAGTGTAATGCAAATATTCCAAAACCAGAAAATATCTGAAATTCAGAACAGTTCTGGTCCTAAGCATTTGGGGTAAGGGAAACTCAGCCTGGATATCTTTATATACAAAGTGGGTTTCTTGCAGGCATCTAGTCTGGTCTTACTTGTTGTATAATCTCATCATCTCTGCCTCCGAGAGGGGTGTTTTAGACTATTGCACTTAATCTAATTATTGATCATGTTAGATTTAGAGCTATGCTCTTCTTGTTTTTCATTTGATCCAATACCTGTTTCCCCTTTCCTGCCTTCTTTTGGATTACGTCAAGTATTTTTATGATACCCCTTTTTCTCCTTTGTTGGTGTCTGAGCTATGTCTCTATATCCCTATGTCTCTATATCTCTATGTCTTTATATCTCTATCTCTCTATCTATATCTCTCTATATATATCTCTCTATCTCTATGTCTCTCTATCTCTCTATATCTCTATCTCTCTATATCATCTCTCTATCTCTATCTGTATCTCTATCTCTCTATCTCTCTATATCACTATCTCTCTCTCTATCTCTCCCTATCTCTCTCTATCTCTATCTCTCTCTGTCTCTATCTCTATCTCTCTATCTCTATCTCTCTATCTCTCTATATCTCTATCTCTCTCTATCTCTATCTCTCTATCTCTATATCTATATCATCTCTCTCTATCTCTCTATCTCTCTCTCTATATCTCTATATCTATATCATCTCTCTCTGTCTCTATCTCTCTATATCGCTGTATCATTTCTCTATCTCTATATATCACTATATTTCTATCTCTCTCTATCTCTCTATCTCTCTGTCTCTCTCTCTCTCTCTCTCTCTGTATCTCTCTATCTCTTTGTTGTGATACTTTAGTGGTTGCTTTAGAGTTCACAGGTAACCTCTTTGGCTTATCCACAGCCTACCTTTGAGTGCTGTCACTACAGGGTGAATAGGATAAGAACCTCCCAAATGCAGACCTCCACCTCCCTGTACCCAGCTTTCATGCAATTGTTATCAAACGTCTTGCATCTGTGTATGTTATAAATCCACAATGCATTCTTAATATTTTGCTTGAAATAGTCAATTATCTTTTAAAGAGATTAAGTAATAAAAAAAATTACAAACATTTCACGCTTATCCCTTCCCAGCACTGCTCACTGTTTTCTGAAGATCAAGATTTCCACTCAGTTTACTTTTCCTGAAGGACTTCCTTTAACGTTCGTGTAGTACAGCTCTGGGGGTGGTAAATCATTTTGACTTTTGCATATGTGAATCAGCCTTTACTTTGTCTGTTTTCTTTTTAATTTTTTTATTTTAAAATAATTATAGATTCATAAGAAGTTGCCAGAAAAAAAAAGTAGTACAGACAGGTCCTGTTGGAACTTCATGTGTCTCCCCAAAGTGGAAACTGGCATTGGTACCACTTACAGGGCGTATGTGGATCTCACTAGCTTTACATGCATGTATTTGTGGGTGTGTATAGTTCTATGCAACTTTTTCCTCAAATGTATTTCATGTAACCACCACCAAAGTCAGGATACAGAATATTCCATTATGAGATTTCCTGCCCCTCTGGAGCCAAGCCTGTACCCTTCCTCCATCCCCAGCACCCTACAACGAGTCATGTGCTCTCCATATTTACAATTTACATCTTAGACCTGCAGTCAGTCTGCAGCCTTTGAGACTGGCTTTTCCTCACTCAGCATAGCTCTCCTGCCACCCACCTGTCACCTGCGTCTGGCGTTTGCTCCTTTATTTCGTGGCATGGACGTACCACAGTTTGTTTCATGGCGTGGACGTACCACAGTCTGTTTCACCATCCAGTCACCGAAGGACATTTGAGTTCTTCTCTTCTTCCCCACATTTTGGCTATTATGACTGAAGCTGCTGTGGACACTGGTGGTGTACAGGGTTTTGGTGAATGCACATTTTTGTTTCTCTGGGATAAAGGCCCAAGAGTGCAGTTGCTGAGTCATATGTAAGTACATGCTTAGCTTTTCTTAAAACTACCAAACAATTTTCCAGAGTTGCTTTATCATTTCACGTTCCCACCAGCAATGCAGGAGTGACTGGTTTTATTTTAGCCGTTCTGACGGGTGTGCGGTAAGACTTTATCACGGCCTAAGCTTGCACCTCCCTAACGGCTGATGATGCCGGACGCCTTCGCGCACCATTTGCCGTCTCTGGATCTGGACACATCTGGAGCTGGTGAACCTCTCCTGGGGCCTTCTGTCTGTTTGTTTTTTACTGCCAGGTTTTGAGAGTCCTTATACATCCTAGGTGCAAGCCCTTTGTCAGATACATTTCTCCCCATCTGCAGTTTGTCTTTTCAGTCTCTTAAAAGGATCTTTAGGAAAGAAAAACTTCAATTTCAATGTGGTCCAATTTTTTATTTTTCCTTTTTCGAGTCGTGCATTTGGTGTCAAGCCTAAGAAGTTTTCACCCAGCCTCAGGTCCGGAAGAGTTTCTCCTGGACCTTATTCTACAAGTTCTGTAGTCCTGAGCTTTAAGTTTGTGATCCATTTTGAGTTATTTTTTGTAGAAGATGTAAAACTCAGCCCGAGGGTCCCTTTTCCCTGTGCGTGTCATGTCCAGTTGCTCCAGCTCTGTTTGCAGAACAGCCACGTGTGTGCTTTGGGCAAGGTGGTGCGGCTCTCAGCGAGGCTCTCTACCCTATTTCCTTGGCCTCCGTGCCTGTCTGTCCCCAGTACCACCCGGTCAGCGTCACCGTTGCCATGGAGGTCGTGAAATCTAGTGCCGCGATTTCTCTCACTTTATTCTTTTCCAAAATTATCTTAGCTATTCTAGGCCCTGTGTCTTTCCCTATAAATTTTGGAATGGGTATGTCTATATCTACAAAAGCACCTTGCCGGGATGTTGGTGGGAACTGTATTTAACCCGTAGACCAATCTGAGGAGCACTGGCACGTTTACTGTCTCACATCTTCCAGTCCACAAACATGGTACATCTCATATATGTAGCTCTCAAGAAAAGTTTTTCCATCAGCTTTTAAAATTTTCAGCATACAGATACTCCACGTGTTTTGTTAGGTTTGTATCTTAGATTTCATTCTCTTTGGACCAAGCGTAAACGGTGTGTTGTTAATTTAGATTTCCGCGTGTGTAGTGTTAGTACATAGACATGCGATTGACTTTTGTTGGTTGACATTTATCCTGTGAGCTTGCGAATTCACTTATAAGTCCTAGTTTTGCTGTAGATTCCTTGGTTTTCTGTGTAGACAATCACGTCATCTACAAATAAGGCCATTTCTTCCATCTTAATCTGTATGCCCGTCCTTCCCTTCCTTTCTTTTTGTAGTTTTCAACAAACATGGAAAAATGTCAGCCATTCTGTTCCAATATCCTGCCCCCTCCTCCAGCAGCTGCAGCTGCACATGTGTTAAGCTGCTTGACACTGGCCCGCGGTTCATGAACAGTCTGCATTTCAGACCTTTCCTCTGTTTTTATTTTACATCGTCGCTAGTGCCACGTCTTCAAATTTACTGGCTTTTTCCTTCTGCACCGTCTCATCTGCCATGGAGCCTGCCCACTACACCTCTCAACTCCAGTGCTGCAGCTTTCCACTCCTGAAGTTTGGTTTGGGAATTTTTATGCCTTCCATTCTCAGCCTCCCCTCTGACTCCCTGAATGCGGGAAGATTGTCGTAGTAAGTGTTCTACTGTCTTGTGGCTAACTCTTCATCTGCTCCGTTCACCGTTGGTTTAACTGATTCAATTTTCTTCTTCTAGGTTGTACTCTCCTGCTTCTTTGAATGCTGCTAATTTCTGATCAGATGCTAGACATTGTGAGTTCTGCCTCATTCTCTTGAGCTTTGGAAGGTGTTGATCTTGAGCTTTGGAAGGTGTTGATCTGGAGCTTTGGAAGGTGTTGATCTTGAGCTTTGGAAGATGTTGATCCTTTTGGGTCATCCTTGCTTTTTGGCTTCATCAGGTGGGACCTGAGCAGTGTTTAGTCTCCAACTAATTTTTCACACTGTGAAGACAAAGCCCTTCTCAGGACACTGCCTGGTGCCTTGCGAGTGTTTCCACTGTGGACAGCGGGATGAGGGCTACTCCCGGCTCTGAGTGAGACCCCATGTTGCTCCCCGAAGCCTCTTGGGCTGGTCAACCCTTGACTGAAGACTCGGGGCTCCCCTTGCAGATCCCAGAGCCCTCCCTCCGGGCAGCTCTCCTCGCTGGAGATCCAGCCTGAGACCTCCAGCCTCTGTTTCCTCCTTGGACTTGGCTCCTTCTCCTCAGCCCTGCCTGGGGCCTCTCCCTGCACTGGGGCTGGAACCCACGCCCGCCGTGCACTGGGCCCCACCTTGTTTGCCCGCCCTCCTCAGGGACCACGGTCTCTCGGTGCCTGGTGTCTGATGCCTAACACAGGTTTCAGATATTCTGTCCATTTTTTAACTTGTTTTCATGGAAGAGTAAATCTGGTCCCTGTTAGTCCTTCTTGGCTGAAAGCGTAAGTTCTGATGCTGATGTCTCAGAGCTTCCTTGGCCAAATTTGAGTCAGTGCAGTAGTCAATCTTCCATTGTCCCTGCATTTTACACCATACAACAATAATGCTATTCAAATAAAAACTGCGTGTCTAGCCAAGAGAGAGGCTTGTGATCACCAGCTCTGCCTCAGGGCCTCCTGTAACTTTAATCGGAAGGGAAAGCACCAGAGGTTGAAAAACAGCTTTGGCTGCCAAATGTGCCTTTACCTGGAGGAAAAACAAAAGAATCCTGGGGAAGACAGAGGAGGTTTTCACAGTTTTTAAAACAGCAATAGGGAAACAAAAATGTATCCATGTCCAGCTGGCGTGGGAATCCCCCACTCCTCCCACACAGTTCGGGGTGTCGGGGTGGCTGTCAGTGTCCTGGGAGCTCCCCTCTTCCCTTCCGCCGCCTCCACCCAGCCGCACTGCACTTTCTCATCCTGATGTCCCCACACGCTGCTGCCTGGCTCGGCCACTGCCTCTCCAAGGCTACACTGCTTTGCAGGGAGGGCCACTACCAGCCACCTCCCGCAGCATGGAACCTGGAGACTGACCACGGAACTGCCTGTGTGTGTCTACCCAGAAAATGAGGGTCGCTGAATTCACGGATGGTTCTAATTTTTGTGTCTTCATGGACTGTACCTGGAAACCTTATTAACTGAGACTACCTTAATTTGGAATTTGGAATAATTGGAACTTAACGATGATTTGGCTGGATTCAAGTTTACCTTCTGACTTTCTAGTGAGAAGGGGGTTTGCCAAGCAATTTAATCTCTTAAAACAAGAATGCAAGTGTTTCCTCATGGGAGCATTTTAAAGACTTTCAGAATACTCATTGTTTGCATGCAAATAAGGCTGCTAATTATGAGATTTTTTTTCCTTTTCATTGGAGGTCCCAGCAGGACCTGACTTGAAAATGTGCTATTAGCAATTAGTTCTTGTAATGACATAGACTTGAAAGAAATAAAGGAAAAATTTTTTAAAAACCCTCTAATATAGACTTTTCACAAATTTAGACACCACTTAATCTAGATTATAACAGCTAATGTCTGTAGCTCAACTATGGTTGTCAGAGTATTTTTCAAATGTGTGCTACCTCATTTGATCCTCAAAGCTGCTCTGAGAGGGAAACGAGGCATGTCACATACCCAGTCTACAGGTGAAGGCACTGACAGGGTTAAGGTGCGGGCTGCAGGACCTTCTCACTGTGTTAATAGGTTGTTCCATCCATCCATCCATCCACCCATCCATCTACCCATCCATCCACCCACCCATCCACCCACCCATCTATCCATCCACCCACCCACCACCCACCCATCCATCCATCCATCCATCCATCCCTTCATCCATTATCCATCCATGTCCATCCACCCACCCATCCATCCATTCATTCATCCCTTCATCCATCCATCCACCCACCCACCCATTCATCCAGTTATCCTTCCCTTCATCCATTTATTCACCCACCAACCCATCTATCCATTATCCATCCAACATCCATCCATCCACCCCCATCTATCCACTCATTCATTCATCCCTTCATCAATCCATCCACCCACCCACCCATCTATCCATCCATCCCCCTACCCATTTATCCATTATCCATCCCTTATCCATCCATCCACCCACTCATTCATCCATTATTCATCCATCCATCCATTCTTCTACCCATCCATGTACCCACTCACCCACCCATTCATCCATTATCCATTTAGCCACATTCATCTATTAACTCATCCATCCACCGATTATTTATGCACCCACCCACCCATCCATTCATTCATCCACCCATTCACCCATCCATCATCCATCTATCATTCCACCACTCATCCACCCACCCATCACCATCCATCCATTTCCATTTATCCACCATCCATCCATCCATCTGTCCACTCATTCATCCACCATCCATCCATTCATTCATTTATTCATCGATCTGTCCACCCACCCACCCATTATCCATCCATGTATTTACCCACCCAGCCATCAATTGATCCATTATCCATCCACCCACTCATTTATCCATTCACCCATTCATCATCCATGCATTCATCCACTATCTATTCATCCATCTATCCATGTATCCATCCATCCACCCATTCATCCATCCATCCATTCATCCATTCCCGCTGAGTTCACATGCTTTACTATGCTTTCTCACTTACACCTCATGACAATGGCTGACGCTGAGATTCCAGCCCCACTTTACTGAAGAGTTTGCTAAGGCCCAGCAAGAGCCGGCTGCACCTGAGAGTTGTTCCACTCTGTGCAAGGCTCTGTCCCGACACCTCTGCCAATTGAATTGTTCCAGGCTCTCCCTCAGGCACACTCAGTGAACTGAGACAGGAGGGGATGTCTGGCAGGGAGCAGTGAGAGCCATGGAGGGGAAGGGAGGGCAAGGGACAGGGGTGGCCAGGACCAAGGGCCCCCAGTGCTCTCCCTGCCTCACCCCGGCCCTCCCAACCTTTGCTGGGGGTCAGACCCTCCCAAGCCAGCGCCCAGGGTCCCAGGAGGCACCCGCAGGGTTCTGGGCCCCACTTTGCTGCCCTCTTGTGCACAGATTCACGTTTCCCTGGGTCTGTTGGGTGGGTTCCCTGGCAGAACTGGATCCTGGTGGGGGGCATGTCCCCAGCTTTCTGGAAACATTCTCACAGGGGCCACAGGCCCAGCTCATTTCTGCCCCAAGTCCTCCCCATATCCCTGTTATCAGGCCCTTTGGCCAGGCTGTCCCTTCTTGTCCTGGCTGCTGGTGATGGACGGCTGGTGTTTTACTCCAGGATGGGTTTACTGGTTATTCTTGGGGGCCAGAGCAAAATCCCTCCCCGCTGACTCATCTGCCTCTGCCAGGAGCCTCTCTGAGATGAGACAGGCTGGTGGTGCCTGGCAGGAGGGTGTCTGGAGATGCACGTGTCACTCTGGGCAGCTGCCCCGGGCTGTGCGCTTAGTGTGTGTGCGCCGTGCGCCTGGGGACAGGGAGACCAGGCCTGGGGAGGGACAGGAGGCCCTGAGAGGGGAGCGTGCTGAGTAAGTCAAAGCCAACATGACACAGCCCTGGGTTTAGCCCAAGTTACCAACTATGGCAGTTTCAGAAACTTTCAGAGCTTTCTGTGTTATCATACTGATATTTACAACGACCAGGAAGATGTTTTTGTGCCTGGGCCCCAAACCATGACTGCACGATGGCGGAATAGCTCTGAGTCCTGAGGGGCAGCCAGTCAGGCTCCCTTGAGGGGCCTGAAGGACCGTGCATCCCCCAACCTCCCCACGGGAGGCTCCCAAGGCAAATCCACCCTCAGCTTGTCATGGCCGGGGCTGAGGTTAGGGTGAGGTGCTCATGCCTGGCTCCCCGGGCACCCCCTCGCCCCACCCTATCTGGGAGACACGGCCTCACCACTGCCCGGCCCAGCCGGTGCCCAGGCTTGCGAAGGCCGCTGGTGATGGCCACTGCTCCGTGCTGAGGAGCCCAGGCTGATGCTGGAGGAGCTTTGGGCCCGGTCCCGCTGCTGCCCCAGGAGCCCTTCCCAAGACAGCACTGGCTTCCAAATGATGCTGGACCCGTCTAATCTCTGGCTGTTGGCAGCCTTCACCGCGGGCCACGTTGTCCTGTGGAAAAGCTGCCACGGCCAGAGCTGTGGGGGGCGTGAGGGGCCTGGGCTCCTTTGGGCCCCATGAGGGCTTCTTTCCCGAGTGACTGCCACGACTGTGTCCATGTCCTCAGGGCTCTGAGCTGAGCCAGCTGGACCAAGGACAGGGGGCTGGAGGGAGAGGCGGCCCTGAGGCCAAGCCCAGGGGCTCCCTAGGACAGGGCGGGCCAGCCCTTCCCCTGGCAGCCCTTCCCCTCTCTGCTCCTCACCCTCTCTCTGTGTGTGGAGGGTGGGCGGGACCCCCAGCGAGCAACCCGCCCGGCTGCAGCCGCCCCGCTTTTCCTTTTCCTGGGCCTCCCAGATGCCCGGGTTCCCCCTCCTCCTCTGCCCCCCACCACCGCCGCCAGCACCCAGACAGCAGGCAGTGGAGGGCCCCCACCTCGGCCTTTGGGAAAAGACAGCGCCCTCTTGTCTGCAATGGCTGGGGGCAGGCTGGCCCCCCAGGGTGGCATCCACCCCTCAGGCCGCCCCATGTCCACAAACAGCCCTGCCTGGGGAGCCTCCGGAGGGAAGGAGGGAGGTGGCCCTTGCCATGTGGTGAGGCAGGAACACAAACTGCTGGTAGGAAGTAGGAAGCCCCCGGCAGGGCTCGGTCCCGGGACCCCCGGCCACGTGGCGCAGACCCCTCCCCTCACGGGGGCCCCCCGGTGGCTCCTCTGTAATCTACAGATGTGGAAAGAGCTTCACAGTCCCTGCAAGTCCAAAATGTACAGGGCTGTTTCTGTCAAATCAAACATGGTCATCATCTTGTCCCAAAGCTGTGAGGGCCTCTGCCCTTTCTTCAGGGATCCACTGTATTCAAGGATTTGAAATAGAGTCTCATGTTGGCCACCACTGAAGGTGCTGGACTAATAATACGTTTGCAGAAAACTTCCAAGAAGAGTTTCTAAGCTCCGTTAACCAGGCCATCCATTTCCTGATCCTTCCATTAACCAAGAAATTCTGGGTTGTGTTTTGAGGGGCTGCGCTGAAATCCCGGGAGCGTTTCTGTTAATGAGAAGGAAGGAGCCGGTGCTGGGGGGTCTGCACCCGGGGAAACAAGACACCCCTGCTGTTCCTGCCGCCCCGAGCTGGAGGTTGAGGTGCCCCGCCCCACCCCATTACCAGCGAGAGGATGAGGAATGAGGCTGGAACACAGCGCTGAGGCCTGATCCAGCGCGGCAGACGGGTGGATGCTCGGGGCTGAAGTGGGAAGATGTTTCCCAGGGCCAGGCAGGAGCTACCGGCGGGGAGGGACCTGGGGGCGTGGACCCCCAGGGCAGGTGCCGTTGGCCAGGGCGGCTGCTCGAGGGCTTTTGATTGTGGTTTCTGTCCCCACAGGAGGCATTTGTGTTTGCTGGGGAGATGGTGCATGTTAAACCTCTGGGCTCCAGGAGAAAAGTCCGGTTTTATTCAACTTGCGGGATCTCTCCTCCTCGCTCTTTCAGTAAAGAGCTCATTGCCCAAAGCTGGAAGACACGCTCTGGGCCGAGGCTGGCTGCACGCAGGAGGGGCCCTGAGCGCCTGTGATGTCACATACGGTGCTGTTGTGGCCATGGCTACCGAGGCCCGGCGGGATCTGAGTGCTGAACTAGTGACAGCAAAGGGAGGCAGGACCCTGAGGCCCAGGGCAGGGTGCGGCACAGTGAGCGGGCTCAGCGCTGCCTCACATTGTGAGGGTGGGCGAGACCTGCACACACAGCCACGGTGGAGGCCCGCACCCTCACGGACCTGCCTCCCCGCCCGGCAAACCTTCCAGATGCTTCCTGGACTCGCAGATACTGAGCAATGTGGCTCCATCAGGCTGCTGTGGCCTGGGGATTTTTATTTCTAGTAGATGTAGAAACCCTTTTCTTCAGCCCTTAATCTCTGCCAGCCTGGCACCCCCAGGGGCAATGGGGCCTCATCTTCCACTCAGCACCACATGACACCCGTCAGGATGGAAAGGTGGTACCCACACACCACCCTCACCCTCTCCACACTCACCCTCTCCACATTCACCCTCTCCACATTCACCCTCTTCACACTCAGCCTCTCCACACTCACCCTCTCCACATTCACCCTCTCCACACTCACCCTCTCCAGGCTCACCCTCTCCACATTCACCCTCTCCACGCTCACCCTCTCCACATTCACCCTCTCCACACTCACCCTCTCCAGGCTCACCCTCTCCACATTCACCCTCTCCACACTCAGCCTCTCCACACTCACCCTCTCCACATTCACCCTCTCCACACTCACCCTCTCCAGGCTCACCCTCTCCACGCTCACCCTCTCCACGATCACCCTCTCCACATTCACCCTCTCCACGCTCACCCTCTCCACGCTCACCCTCTCCACATTCACCCTCTCCACGCTAACCCTCTCCACGCTCACCCTCTCCACATTCACCCTCTCCACGCTCAGCCTCTCCACGCTCACCCTCTCCACATTCACCCTCTCCCTGCTGCTGGATGGCGGCTGTCAGAACCCATGGAAGATTATGCCTAACTTGCTGGTGTAACTCACTGGCCTGGCTCCACCAGGCAGCCCCGGGCCCACATGTCTTCTGTTTGGTCCCTCCCCTGGGCACTGTCCACTCCCCAGCAGGCTGGGCTGCCCACCCCTGCCAGCTCCTGCAGACAGGCCCCTTCCCTGCTGGCTGAGCGTCCCGTGTCTGCGGAGACAGAAGCTCCACGCTCGCTCTGGGCATCGTGGGGCGGGGGCTGTGTGGCCTGCTGACGCAGCTGCTGGGCGTGGACGAGGCCACGGAGCTTCGCAAGGGTGCATGCTCTTTAATCCTCGCGGCAAGTGAGACGGCTCAGTGCCCGCTTTGTTCACGAAACAAGGGTGCATTGTTTCCCCTCTTTTCTTCTTGGTGGGTGGGCAGAATTTTTTTAAGTGCTAAACTTGTGGTTTGCAAAGCAAATCCCACCGTCGCTTGCAGCCAAGGCCTGTGCTGAGTCCCACACCGCAGTGCAGACCTCCGGAGGCCGAGTCTCAGTTTAGCTTCAAATACAGGCTTAGAAAATGGGAGACTGGGGAGCCCACTGTTTAGATTAAAAACAGTTTTAGAAGTTTCCAGGAGTTTCACGAACCTAAATGTGGTGATAATGGAGTTTAAGGATCAAAAGGAAAGGACTCTCGCCTCCCTGACAACGTCTGGAATGAAACAGTCTTCACTTCCCTGAGACTTTACCCCGGAGCCCCACGCAGGCCACAGCCGGGACTCTCGGGAGGCAGAGCTGGCAGGGCCGGAGCAGATCTGGGTCAGTGCCTCCCCCGGGGGGCTGCGGTGTCATTCAGCACCTTCCCGGGGCTGGGTCCCGGGGCTGGGTCAGCACTGGCAAACGGCTCTTTCCCAGCGGGCGCCTCCGCACCCAGCAAACCAGGCCCATCCAGAACGGCAGCACAGGCGCCTGGCTCCAGCGGAGGCGGCCCTGAGCAGTGAGCCCTGTGCCCCACTCCACAGGAGGGCTGGCCCCAGAGCGCGGGCGGCCCGCTAGGAGCCACACAGCCGACGCCTCGGGCTGGGCATGGAGCGGGGTCTGTCTGTCTGGTGTGGCTGCAGCTGTGTTTGGAGCATGCAGGAGAAGCCCCTCCAGATGCCCACGAGCCCCCACCACTTTGGTGCCCGTCCTGCCAGCCGTGCTGCGGGCGCCCTGGGCTCGCTCTTGTCACCCCATCCCCCGAAGGCCTCCAGGGCCCTCTGTTGGCTGCTGACCCAGGGCCTTCTCTAGAGCACCTGACTCGGGCACACGGAGGCTGCTGGAGGAGTGAGAGAGTGAGTGGGGGGAGGAATTGCAACCAAATTCAGAATCCGCCCGGCCCTGAGGCCGCCCCTTGCCTGCCACCCACCCGGGTGGGGGCTTTATTTCGACTCAGGCACAGGCGCACCTGCCGGACCCCCGGTGTCTCTGCGACTCCTTCTCCGCACTGGCCTGGGCCCGGGCTCCCAGCCCTCCGCTCTGTCTCGCTGGGGCAAGGCGTCCCTCACTGGCCAGTTCTGACATTGGTCCCGGGGGAGCCGCCTTCCACCTGCTGGCCCTGCTGGCCCTGAGTGTGACTCAGCCGTGCCCGGCAGGACCACGAGACGTCCGCTGAGCACGATGTCTACCTGGCATTCAAGGTAAGTCATCAAGCGCCCCCCGGTTAGGCTGGACGTGTCTGTGAGGGTTCCGGATGAGCCTGGCATTGGGATGAGCCAGGCCGGCTGCGGTTTGACTCAGTGAGGGAAGAGGCCTGGCTTGGGACAGGAGGAAGCTGCGTTCCAGCCTCAGGGGAGCCTCCTTCCCCTGGCCGCCTCCTTCCGCACCCTCAACGCAACAAAAAGGTGATTTCAGAATTGTAATTACTAAAGAAAACATTACCAAGAACGACTCTGCAGCACCCCTCGTTCACGTCCCCACTCAGCATCTCCACGCGGGGGCCACGCGTCCGTGTTTGCTGCCGGCAGCCATCAGCATCCGCAGGGGTCCCCCGTCTCCGCGCACAGCTCACAGCCCCGCATCCACCCCAGGCTCACAGGGAGCCCGGCTCCCTGCGTCCCGCCAAGGGCGGCGGGGTTTTGTTTGGCAGGAAAGGTGAGGAAGGAGGGAGCTGTTGTTAGTCTCACCCCTGGTCGGCTGCTACATTCACCCTCTTCCTGTTGGAAGCAAGAGCGGCTCCTTCCAGCGTCACAGGATCCCTTGGGAGCACGAAGGCACTGAGGAGCCGGGACAGGGTCTCCTCCAGTCTGTGAGAATGGGGGGTTGAGTCAGTGGCATGGGTGTCAGGGAGGGATGAGGGTGCAGCGTCCACTCGAGGGCAGGCAGGGGGAAAGGAGAGGCCAGTGGGTGGGACGGTGCCAGGAGCCACCCGCCCTGCAAATGAGGCTCGTCCTGACACAGCTGGAGAGGCGCTGGCACCCACGGGCCGAGACGGGAGGGCAGCTCCTGCAGGTGGTGTGGGCGCTGTGTCAGGCTGGGTGTCAGGGTCAGTGAGGCAGACGCCCAGGGCCTGAGCGAGGAGAACGGCAGGAAAGAACAGGATGTGGCACCCCAGAGGCTCTTGGAGTTCGCCGTGCTCGGGTCTGGGGGCCTGGCCACTTCCCCCACGGCCTCCTGCTTACACCTGGGGATGCTTGACTCCAGAGGGAGGAAGCCCGAGTGGGGCCCTGGGCTGGGGTCTCGGTATCCTCACGGGGTCACTCACACGCTGGCTCCCCCAGGACTGGACCCTTCACACCGGTGGCGTCTCTCGGGCCCGGCCAGGCTCTGGGTCCCGGGCTGTGGTGTCCTCCAGACCCAAGGCATCCGAGGTGCCCACTGCATGCGGGGTTTATTACGTGTTGCCAGGGGCGCTGGTTATTTTATTTTGCTTCTGGTTTTGCTCTGCCAGCCGCTTGTCTCCTGAATTCTCTGACTTTTTCTCAGCACCTCTGCTGGGACCTGCCCAGGAGCTCGGGCAGATGGGTTCCGCCAGCGGCGCCAACTCCCACGGCTCGCGGGGATGGGGAGTTGGGGGCTCTGAACCCGTGTGTGTGGAGCAGAAGGAGTGTCACCTCATCCCCCGGGGGCCCTTCACATCCCAGGCCCCACTGGACTGTGACGGGCAGTGGGAAGGGAGGACGTGTGTGGGGCCGAGAGGGAGCTCCCAGGAGACCCCGTCGTTGTCCTGGGGTGGCCGAGACAAAGCCTCACAGACCCCCAGACAGGGCCGTGCGGACGGCGGGAAGGCAGGTGACAAAGCCTCATAGACCGACAGGGCCGTGTGGACGGCGGGAAGGCAGGTGACAAAGCCTCACAGACCCACAGACAGGGCGGTGCGGATGGCGGGAAGGCAGGTGACAAAGCCTCACAGACCCACAGACAGGGTGGTGCGGATGGCGGGAAGGCAGGTGACAAAGCCTCATAGACCGACAGGGCGGTGCGGATGGCAGGAAGGCAGGTGACAAAGCCTCACAGACCCACAGACAGGGCGGTGCGGATGGCGGGAAGGCAGGTGACAAAGCCTCATAGACCGACAGGGCGGTGCGGATGGCAGGAAGGCAGGTGACAAAGCCTCACAGACCCACAGACAGGGCGGTGCGGACGGCGGGAAGGCAGGTGACAAAGCCTCACAGACCCACAGACAGGGCGGTGCGGACGGCGGGAAGGCAGGTGACAAAGCCTCACAGACCCACAGACAGGGCGGTGCGGACGGCGGGAAGGCAGGTGACAAAGCCTCACAGACCCACAGACAGGGCGGTGCGGACGGCGGGAAGGCAGGTGACAAAGCCTCACAGACCCACAGACAGGGCGGTGCGGACGGCGGGAAGGCAGGTGACAAAGCCTCACAGACCCACAGACAGGGCGGTGCGGACGGCGGGAAGGCAGGTGACAAAGCCTCACAGACCCACAGACAGGGCGGTGCGGACGGCGGGAAGGCAGGTGACAAAGCCTCACAGACCCACAGACAGGGCGGTGCGGACGGCGGGAAGGCAGGTGACAAAGCCTCACAGACCCACAGACAGGGCGGTGCGGACGGCGGGAAGGCAGGTGACAAAGCCTCACAGACCCACAGACAGGGCGGTGCGGACGGCGGGAAGGCAGGTGACAAAGCCTCACAGACCCACAGACAGGGCGGTGCGGACGGCGGGAAGGCAGGTGACAAAGCCTCACAGACCCACAGACAGGGCGGTGCGGATGGCGGGAAGGCAGGTGACAAAGCCTCACAGACCCACAGACAGGGTGGTGCGGACGGCGGGAAGGCAGGTGACAAAGCCTCATAGACCGACAGGGCGGTGCGGATGGCAGGAAGGCAGGTGACAAAGCCTCACAGACCCACAGACAGGGCGGTGCGGACGGCGGGAAGGCAGGTGACAAAGCCTCACAGACCCACAGACAGGGCGGTGCGGACGGCGGGAAGGCAGGTGACAAAGCCTCACAGACCCACAGACAGGGCGGTGCGGACGGCGGGAAGGCAGGTGACAAAGCCTCATAGACCGACAGGGCGGTGCGGACGGCAGGAAGGCAGGTGACAAAGCCTCACAGACCCACAGACAGGGCGGTGCGGACGGCGGGAAGGCAGGTGACAAAGCCTCACAGACCCACAGACAGGGCGGTGCGGACGGCGGGAAGGCAGGCGACAAAGCCTCACAGACCCACAGACAGGGCGGTGCGGACGGCGGGAAGGCAGGCGACAAAGCCTCACAGACCCACAGACAGGGCCGTGCGGACGGCGGGAAGGCAGGCGACAAAGCCTCACAGACCCACAGACAGGGCGGTGCGGACGGCGGGAAGGCAGGCGACAAAGCCTCACAGACCCACAGACAGGGCGATGCGGACGGCGGGAAGGCAGGCGACAAAGCCTCACAGACCCACAGACAGGGCGGTGCGGACGGCGGGAAGGCAGGCGACAAAGCCTCACAGACCCACAGACAGGGCGGTGCGGACGGCGGGAAGGCAGGCGACAAAGCCTCACAGACCCACAGACAGGGCGATGCGGACGGCGGGAAGGCAGGCGACAAAGCCTCACAGACCCACAGACAGGGCGATGCGGACGGCGGGAAGGCAGGCGACAAAGCCTCACAGACCCACAGACAGGGCGGTGCGGACGGCGGGAAGGCAGGCGACAAAGCCTCACAGACCCACAGACAGGGCCGTGCGGACGGCGGGAAGGCAGGCGACAAAGCCTCACAGACCCACAGACAGGGCCGTGCGGACGGCGGGAAGGCAGGTGACAAAGCCTCACAGACCCACAGACAGGGCGGTGCGGACGGCGGGAAGGCAGGTGACAAAGCCTCACAGACCCACAGACAGGGCGATGCGGACGGCGGGAAGGCAGGCGACAAAGCCTCACAGACCCACAGACAGGGCGGTGCGGACGGCGGGAAGGCAGGCATCCTCCCTCCCCTGAGGCCGCAGCCGGTGCTGAGCTCTGCGGGGAAGCCGTCTCAGCCTCCCTCCAGCCTCCCTGGGCCTGGCGCTGCTTCGCTGTCTCTGCCTCCGTCGTGTGGTGTCTGTGTGTCTGTGTCTCTGTGGGCTCTTCCTCAGGGCCTCGGTTGTGGAGTGTGAGGGCCCCTGCCCGGGACCTCATCCCAGCTGCTCACCTCAGCAACAACCCTGTTTGCAAACAAGGCCCCACTCTGAGTCCCGGGCTCAGGACTTCACCCTGTGAGTTTCTGGGAGACACAGGTCAACCCCCGGCAGAGGTCCCGGACTTGGTCTCTGTGGGGATGGCGGGGGTCGGACGCCCACCCCACCACGGGCCTCCCTGCTCCAGGTGGATCCGTGGGCTGCAGGCCCCACCCTCACCCAGAGGACTCTGAGCTGGGGAAGAGGCTGGAGGAGAAAGGAGCCTCTGCCTTGCTGAGGATTTCCCAAGCCGAGACCTTGGACGACCTCAGCCCGACTTCATCTGAAACTCTGATCAATAAATAAACATCTGATAATGACATCTTCCCACGGCATCCCCCACGCCCGTGGGTCCCGGGGCCGCGTCCGCCCTGCTGCTCTGGGATGGGAGTCGTTTTACCCATGGGGCTCCCTGGGGTGCCCGCCCTGCAGATCCTGAGGCTCCGGGAGGCCATGCCCGTGACTCAATGGGGAAGAACAGGCTGGGACTGCCGGCGTCTGAAGCCCTCTCCTCCCCTGTGAGCTTGGGCAACGCGGCGGCATGCGGCTGCAGCCACTGGGAACGAGCCTGGCTTTGGGGACTTGACTTGGCCGTCAGGCGTCGCGGGAGCCCCTGCTGCGGGCTGAGAAGAGCAGCCATCCTGGTCACACCCCTCGGAGCAGCTTCTCAAGGCTTTTGGAGGGAGGAGCTTTCACAGCCTTAATGCCACCGTGGGAACCGGGAGAGAGAGTCCCACGGAAATTCATGGAAAGCTCTGCTGAAGACCATTTAGGCTTCTGTCTCCTGAACTTAAACCTGGGTAAGGCGAGTGTAAAGGAAACGCCTGCGTTTGGCGGGGCTGGGTTTCAGCAGCTCACACCCAGGGAGACACATTTGGCAGCCGAGGCCACCGCCGTCCTCAGGCGTGGGTTCCGTGACTCAGGGAGGACCCGCCCACTGATTCACCGGCGCACCTGCCCCGTCCCGAGAAACCTGGTTCTCCTGGGGCTGACCCAGCCTAACCCAGGCTCCCCAGGGAGACTCGGAAAGCACTTCCAAGAGGCTTCTGCTCACCCGGGCCCTCCACGTCCACGGCTGGATGTCTCATCAACAGTCACCTGTCACTGAGTGCCGGATAAAGAAGGCGGTGAATGAACTAGCGGTGGGTGAATGGCACCTAACACTTAGAGCCGCATCAAGAACCCACGGAAAAGAGACGGGCAGGCCAGAGGCTGCCTCTCGGGCGGTTCCTAATCTCAGGGGCAACAGGCGCCCACCCTGCTGTGCCAGCAGCCATGCCACAGCTGTCCCCACGCCATCTCCTGCCCCCACATCGTCTCCTGCCCCCACATCGTCTCCTGCCCCCACGCTGTCTCCTGTCCCTTCTGTCCCTCCTGGGGTCCCTTGGCCTCGAGGTCTGCTCCCACCCTAACCTCTCAGACCGCATGGAGGGGCAAGTGGCTGAAAACTCCTGAAGGGCTGCACTGTGAAGAAGGACGGGACTTCAGCAGCACGCGGAGCCTGAGGCTAAATGCTGCAAAACACAGCACCGGCCTCCCGCTCCCGTTCCCGCACCCTGAGGACGCGCTGGCTGATTGTGGCACGCGTGCCTTCCGAGCCCAGATGTCCCTTCCTGACACGCCGGCAGCAGCCACCGCGGATTGTTGGCCTCTTTGCCGTTCTGCCTTAAGCTGACGTTTTGGCGATGTTGGTGCTGGAACTTCAAACCTCGGTGTGGAAGGAAGGGACGCCGAGGCCCCTGGCCTGCCCGAGGTCATGCCTCCCTCTTGCCTGAGGTTACCCCTATTCTAGGGACACCCTTAGAAATGGCAGCATTGCTCTAACTGGCTGATTCAAACAGAGGGCTCTCCAGGGTAGAATGTGTTTCTGCATTGGGGTGCATGGCACAAGAGCCTCCGTGATTCACAGGGAAGATGGACCTGCTGGCTGAGGGTCTCGCTGTCGTCTAAGGACGACTAAAAACAGAGCAAGGTGGTTTCTGCCCCCACAGTTGTTGATCAGTTTCACGTGTCTGTCCCATTTGGCTTGAAAAACTAAGTAAGGGGCGAACCTGAGCCCCAAAGTCGTGCATAGCCGTATTTACCTCTCAGTCCCCGGTAACTGGCAGGTGGATGTCACAGTCTTCACTGTCCCCGGTATCTGTGGATGTCACCGTCTTCACTTTAAGGGTGACTGGGTTAGCCTCAGAGGGTCGGCCTGCAGCCTTCCCGGCCCAGTGTCTGGCAGAGCTTTGCCAAGCGGCTCCCAGAAAGTTACCACCCAAGGGCATCTCACGCAATCCTTCGTGAAACTCTTCGATACCCAGGAGTATTAACATTGCTGTTTAAACCACATCTTGTTTGTCCTCCTAAATTCTAAGCAGGAGGTGGAAAGCACATTACAGAGAGCCTGTGGCACTCACACAAACACAGCAAAGCTTCCTGATTTGGTTCCAGTCCTGGACCAGCAGCTCCTTGGAGTGGTGGTGAGATGTGAGGATCCCCAGGCCAGCTTCCCTGGGCGAGGAGAGCTAAGCCACCCTGGCAAGTGCCCATCCTCTTCCTCCTCCCTCCCCTCCTCCCCTGTCTTCTTTTTTACTGGGAGAAAATGCTTTATAGTTTCTGCTTGGTCCACGGCCCAGGGAGGTCTTGTGGTTGGAGGGAGAGCTTAGACAGAGGCTGCAAGGCTGAGAGTGGGCCCTGCAAGGCAGCCGCTGCTGGGAGTCTCCTGGTCAGCTGGAGACCCTGCCTGGCCAGCGGGGTGTGAGGTCAGGGATGGCCTGCCTTCCAGCGAGTCTCACTGCCTTTGTCAGGAATGATTTCAGGAAGTCACAGAGATGGGGTCTGTGCAGGCAGAACCAAGGCGTGCGGACCAGCAGGGCTCCGCTGTTCTTGGGGCTCAAGGTCAGTGGCAACCAGCGGCTAACAGCAAAGAGGGTGTGGGGCTGGTCCTGGAGGCAGGGACAGCCAGAGACAGGCTGCAAGCGGGGCTGGGGGCCACCAGACCATTCCTCAAACACCAAGGGCGCAGGAGGCTGGCAGTGGGAGCCCTGGGTGCCCCGGGGGCGACTTCTGGACCCGCTGGGCTGTTTCCGCACCCGGCTTCCCTCCCTCAAGCTTGCGGCCGGGTGTGGCTCCCTCAACCTCAGCGCCGACCTCCGTGTCTGCGCGCTCTCTCTCTACCTTCCTCATCCGCGGGGTCAGGGGTCACACGGCACCGTCGCCTGGGTCTCCGAGCAGGGAGAGTCGAGTGCTGACTCTGCCAGAAGGCTGGAAACGTTACCTTAGGTGGAAAAGTATCTTCAGCCATCTCAAACTCCCTGAGAAGGTGACGAAAGTTATCCGGAGAATCCAGAAGTGCGACGAGAAACAGATCACAAGCTTGATTCAGACGGGTGTTTAGGAACTAGGAACACAGTTTAATTGAATTTTCTGGTGAGTGCATGATTAACAGGAAACCCCTTTTTTCTGTTGTATTTTGTTGAAAAAGATCTTGCTGAAATTATACCTATTGTCCTTCTTAGTAAGTAGATAAAAACAAAGAAACTAAAAAGCTCCTGTCTCTGATTGCTGGCATCTTAGCTGGTTTCCCCTCAAGCGAGCAACAAAGGCTTCTGTGCTAGCGGCGCCTTTCGGGATGGGGCCCCGACGCATGTGTGGGGCTCTGGAGTGGAGGCGCAGAGGGGCTGAGAGCCGAGGCTGGGACGCCTTCATGGACTGGTTATCATGGCCGCGTTGCAGACGACCCCAACACTGAGCCGCGTCCAGCAGCAAACGTGCACCTCATCCCCAACACTGAGCCGCGTCTGCAGCGAAGGAGCTGCGTGACCTCCCTGGGTTTGATGGGCTCAGGGCCTCTTGCTAGTGTGAGCCTAGCTGTTGCTGTGTCTCAGCACCACCATCATCTCCAGGTGCATGGGAGAACCCTCTCCAAGAGAACCCTACCCCAGGAGAACCCCCCCAGGAGAAGCCCCCTCCAGGAGAAGCCCCCCAGGAGAAGCCCCCTCCAGGAGAACCCCCCCAGGAGAAGCCCCCTCCAGGAGAACCCCCCCGGGAGAAGCCCCCTCCAGGAGAACCCCCCCGGGAGAAGCCCCCTCCAGGAGAACCCCCCCGGGAGAAGCCCCCTCCAGGAGAACCCCCCCGGGAGAAGCCCCCTCCAGGAGAACCCCCCCGGGAGAAGCCCCCTCCAGGAGAACCCCCCTGGGAGACTCCCCCCCAGGAGACCCCCCCCGGGAGACTCCCCCCCCAGGAGACCCCCCCTCCAGGAGAACCCTCCCAGGAGACTCCCCCCCAGGAGAACCCTCCCAGGAGACTCCCCCCCAGGAGATACCTCCCAGGAGACTCCCCCCCAGGAGAACCCCCCCAGGAGACTCTCCCCCAGGAGACTCCCTCCTCCAGAACCCCCCAGGAGACTCCCCCCCAGGAGACTCCCCCTCCAGGAGACTCCCCCCCAGGAGAACCTCCCCAGGAGACTCCCCCTCCAGGAGACCCCCCCCTCCAGGAGACTCCCCCCCCCAGGAGACTCCCCCCCCAGGAGAACCCCCAACATCCACAAGCCCCCATAACTGGCTGTCAGCTGGAATCTCAGCTTCTTGCATGGCAGCAGCTCCCCTCCCAGCACGGAGGGAGAGTGGACAGCCTGAGATGCTGTGAGCACCAGGGGGTGAGGTCACTGGGGCCGTCTAGAGGCTGCCCAGCCCGGCAGACAGCACGGCCACCTTTATGGCCAAACCCTTCTGGAGGCCTTGCTGGAGTCTTGGGGCTGCTGACTCCACAGACGAGGAAAGGCTGAGGAGAGGCCATGGCTCCTTTCTGCAGGGAGTAGTGGCCCAGCGAGAGACGGTAGAGGGGACTGAAGCAGGTCCACAGAGGTCCCCACATGCTGGGGATTCCTGAGGCCCTCACTCCTCACAGTGCCACGAGTCTGGCCCAGTGACCTTCGCCCAACCTGGCCCTTCTCAGCAACATGCAGTAGAGGCGCCCAGGTCTACAGAGAGGGCAGGCCCAGGCGGGCCGGTTCCATGGAGAGGGGGCCTCCTGTCTGCTTCCGGTTCCTGGTGAGGGACGCCCCCGGATGTTCTCCTCCTAATGGGACCGCCCTGCTGAGGGCTGGGGAGCCTGAAACGCTGTGGGTTGAGACTGAGGGCTTGTCCATGGGCCCCCAAAACCAGGGCACACGTGATGGGCATGCCCCCGAGACAGGACTGGGAGGGACGCACTGCGGGTGGGACAGGAGCCTGGAGAGGGAGGTGGCTGAGCAGGCCAAAGGGGGGTACTGGGGCTGCTCCCAGGCCGAGGGCAGCCAAGGGGACCGAACGTGGCTCCTTCCCAATCTCACTCTCCCTGTCTGTCCCAATCTCAATCTCACTCTCCCTGTCTGTCCCGATCTCACTCTCCCTGTCTGTCCCGATCTCACTCTCCTTGTCTGTCTGTCCCGATCTCACTCTCCCTGTCTGTCCCAATCTCACTCTCCCTGTCTGTCTGTCCCGATCTCACTCTCCCTGTCTGTCCCGATCTCACTCTCCCTGTCTTTCTGTCCCGATCTCACTCTCCCTGTCTGTCCCGATCTCACTCTCCCTGTCTGTCCCGATCTCACTCTCCCTGTCTGTCTGTCCCGATCTCACTCTCCCTGTCTGTCTGTCCCGATCTCACTCTCCCTGTCTGTCCCAATCTCACTCTCCCTGTCTGTCCCGATCTCACTCTCCCTGTCTTTCTGTCCCGATCTCACTCTCCCTGTCTGTCCCGATCTCACTCTCCCTGTCTGTCCCGATCTCACTCTCCCTGTCTGTCTGTCCCGATCTCACTCTCCCTGTCTGTCTGTCCCGATCTCACTCTCCCTGTCTGTCTGTCCCGATCTCACTCTCCCTGTCTGTCCCGATCTCACTCTCCCTGTCTGTCCCGATCTTGGCCGATCCAGACAAGCTGCTCCCTTCAGCTGCTCAGGTTCAACCTCTCAAGACTCCGGTGACTCGGTGGCCAGCCTCGTACTTCCCCCGTCCACCTCCTCACCACTGTCCTCTGCCAGGGGCCCACAGGCCGCCTTGTCCGGCGAGCAAGGACTTGCTACCTCTCAGGCTCCCGGCCCAGCCCCAGGCACCTTCCCCGACCCTGGTCTGCACAGCTCCAGACCCTGCTCGGAAGCTGCAGAGCTGGGAAACCTCATGGCATTGCGGCTGTGCTCAGAAGGCATGACCAGCCCCTCCGCCAGCCTGAAGTGGCCAGGCGTGTGCAGGGGGCTTGAGGGGGATGGGGAAAGGCAGGGAGGGTCTGTCTGGTTGGTGAGTCCAGTCCCCTCAGCTCTGCCCTGGATGCCTTGTGTAAGAGCAGGGGCTGTCTCGTGTTCACAGGTCGCAGGGCATCGTGACCATCTCAGATGTGGGCCACCATGACACGGGCGTGACATGATTGAAGAGGAAGCCCTGAGCTTCAGGCATGGGGTGCTGGGTGACGTTTAATGATGTTCCTCAGGAAATTCCTAATGATCGGTGAAATTGAGGATCTATTTTCAGAGAAGGTGCCAAGAAAGGAACTCCCCCACAGAGTGGGGAACGCCTCCTCCTTCTCCACGTCCAGGCTGGAGGGGTGTGGAGCCCTCCCTGAGCACCAGGGACCCCTGGAGACCCCTGTGGACCCCTGGAGACCACTCAGATCCCTGAGATCCCTGCCAGCCTCCAAGGGCAGCTCTGACCAGGCAGGAGGCCCCAGCCTTGAAGCCCACAGTGAAAAGTGTCCAGAAGAGAAGCCGAGGTTCTGCTTGGAGCCAGTGAAGCCCAGGAAGCTCGTGGTGCCCAAATCTCAGGCAGGGGATGGAGTTGGGAGCAAGAAGGCGGGCACCCACCTACCCCAGCATCTGCCGTGTGGACGGGAAGTGCACGCTGTCTGCCATGGGGATGGTGGGTGTAGCGATTTGCAGTGCGTTTTTCTGGGTGGGCGGGAAAAGACCTTTCCTGTCTGCTCTGCCGTGGCCGATGGCATCTGCCATGTGGACGGGAAGTGCACGCTGTCCGCCATGGGGATGGTGGGTGTAGCGATTTGCAGTGCGTTTTCCTGGGTGGACGGGAAAAGACCTTTCCTGTCTGCTCTGCCGTGGCCGATGGCCTCTCCCTCCTCTCAGCTGCTCAGGTTCCACTGAATCTTGACCTTAAGGGGCCTAAAATCTTGACCTTAAGAGGCCTGTTGGTTGTTAGTTGATAGATACCTGGACCAGGGGTCTCCAAGTAGGGCAAGAGTCTCCACAGGACTGTGACTTTAGCCAGGCGTGGTGGTGATGGAGCCTGTGGTCTCAGCTACTCAGGAGGCCGAGGCGGGAGGATTGCTTGAGCCCGGGAGGTCATGGCTGCTGTAAGCCGAGATTGTGCCATTGCACTCAGCCTGGGCAACAGAGCAAACCCTGTCTCTAAAACAAACACACGGAAAACGAAAGAAGACGAAAGAAGAGCCTGGGTTCGTGTGTTCGTGGGTTCGTGGATTCGTGGGTTCGTGGGTTCGTGTGTTCATGGGTTCGTGGGTTCGTGGGTTCATGGGTTTGTGTGTTCATGGGTTTGTGGGTTCGTGGGTTCGTGGATTCATGGGTTCGTGTGTTCATGGGTTCGTGGGTTCGTGGATTCGTGGGTTCATGGGTTTGTGTGTTCATGGGTTCGGGGGTTCGTGGGCTTCTTTGGGTGCCACATAGAACATTTGAGGGTGTGGATTTTAGCAGGGAAGGGAAAAGGCACAGGAAGAAGTAGGGGTGCAGAGGCAGCTATGGCTTCTCGAGATATAATTTTGGTGTGATGGAAGGTTAAGGGCAGGCGTTGATAGGAGCAGCTTCACTTTTCTGTGAGCTGAGAATGGGACCATCGGTCCGCTGGGCCCTGCGTGGCGCTGACCTCTGTGGTTGGGGCCTGGTGGTGTGGGCTGCTGGGTGTCTGCGGATGGCTGCATTTCAGTCTTGAATGCTGGGAAACTCCCCGCAGTCCGAGGATGCCTGGCCATGGTGTTCTCTCTGATGATGCCACACGTATGATCATCCCGGGACCACATTCTCACAGCAAGGAGAGGGAAGAACACAATATTCCCTGCCGAGAATAAGATGCCTCTTCATGATGGCAAGCCTGGTAACTTGGCAATTAATCCTCGGTGCCAGGAATCCTCATGCCGAGAGGGACAGATGCTCCTTTGTTTGGCTCCCGGCACTCAGTCGACACCTCTGGTT
The DNA here is from genome assembly GCF_000001405.40 of Homo sapiens. NCBI lineage: Eukaryota > Metazoa > Chordata > Mammalia > Primates > Hominidae > Homo > Homo sapiens. The sequence goes on from NC_000018.10 coordinate 79,560,523, forward strand.
ACGGTGACACAGGAGAGCGTCGCTAGAGAGGGTGGTGGCATCCCAGGCTGTGTCTGCTCTGCCGGGCCAAGGCGTGGTCACCTGGCGCCCAGGGAGTAGAACAGGAAGTGCTCAATTACCAGGCCCCTGACAGGCCACGTGTGGGGGGCACGATTCATTGATAAAGCAGGGCCCGTCCTGCAGGTGCCCCCGGAATGGCCCTGCTCCACTGGGAGTGGCGGGGGTTAGGGACGGCAGTTCCCTGACCTGCAGGAGGGAGCGGAAGAGGCTCGCAGGCTTGTGCAGGGGAGTCGGGAGGCGGGCAGAGGACGGACCCGGTGGTGAGGGCTGAGCTCTTGCCGTCCTGGTGGCCTCATCCCATCTGGGCTACAGCATGGTCAGCGCCTTTCTTAGAGGGCACCTAAAATGAGACCTCCCTGGAGATTTGATGCCACCAGGAACTTACTGCTAAACTTGTATGTGTGGGGAGAGTCTGACGGTAATGTTTTCTTTAAAGATTCTTACTTTTCAGAAACAAATGCCAACATATTTTTATAATGAAATAGTAGAATGTCCAGAATTTGCAGGGAGTGGGGAGGTGGATGAAACAAGAGGGGCCTGAGTTGGCCCCTGGGAAGCTGGACGACGGGTGCTTGGGAGGTCTATTGTGCTATTTTCTCTACTTTTGTTTGTGTTTAAAATTTTTCCATAATATAAAATCAGACCGGGCACAGTGGCTCATGCCTGTAATCCCAGCACTTTGGGAGGCCGAGGAGGGTGGATCACTTGAGGTCAGGAACTTGAGACCAGCCTGGCCAACATGGTGAAACCCCGTCTCTACTAAAAATACAAAAATTAGCCAGGCATGGTGGCGGGCGCCTGTAATCCCAGCTACTCTGGAGGCTGAGGCAGGAGAATCACTTGAACCCGGGAGGTGGAGGTTGCAGTAAGCGGAGACTACACCACTGCACTCCAGCCTGGGTGGGACAGAGCAAGACTCTGTCTCAAAATAAATAAATCAATACATAAAAATAAAAATTTCCACAACATAAAGTCGAATATAGTCCTGGAGTAGAAGTTGCCCATTCACATTTTCTGTGTCTTCATTCTGAGAGCTGAAAATATCTGCAAGACAAGGGCTCATGAGACCCTCTGTTTAAAACCCAAGGCTCGCAGACTCTCCGTCCACACCACGTCAGCCTGCCGTTGCCACCATCCCCCAAGTCAGCTCGGCTGTCTATGCCAGACTCCTCCACAACTCTCCGCACTATTTGGTATATAACATGCTCAACAAAATGCGGCTCTTATCACCATCAAATTATTTTCCATGATAGGAGTTTTGATAGGGGTTAGGCGGAAAAAGTATGAGGTTGGAGGAAGGGATGACCAAGGATGCAGAAACAGGTACTAAGGGCACCAGAACTAACCTTTGCTAATTTATGGCGTGTCGTGGGCATTCAATAGATTGCCTATGGTAAGGAGTTTAAACTTGCGTATTGAAGTAGCCCCACATTAAAATAATAATAACCAATGGGTTGAAGATTATATTGTCGGCAGAAGTTTTATGTTGGACTCATCCTAGTTTGTACTTTCAGCTTGAGCATGAGTGGAAATTAGGAAGCTCATCTCATCTTCCGACACCATAGTTCTAAGGGAACGAGCAGAAGGAACCTGTCTCAGATCTCAGGGGTGCTTACAAATCCCCACAAATACCTCTGCTTATGTCGAATTAGGGCATCCAGGAACTTCTTACCGCTTAGAGAACAGGCCTGATTGCCAAAATAACGTTCAGGCTCTGTAAATATCAGCCCGCTGGCCTCAAGTAATTCCCCCCGTGTTTAAGAAGGCCAAGCATTAGGAAACCTGAGCGTTAAGAAGCCTGAGTGTGGGCCAGGCACGGTGGCTCTGCCTGTAATTCCAGCGCTGTGGGAGGCCAAGGCAGGTGGATCACAAGGTCAAGAGATGAAGACCATTCTGGCCAAGATGGTGAAATCCCATCTCTACTAAAAATACAAAAATTAGCTGAGCGTGGTGGTGCACGCCTGTAATCACAGCTACTCGAGAGGCTGAGGGAAGAGAATTGCTTGAACCCGGGAGGCGGAGGTTGCAGCAAGCCGAGATCACGCCACTGCACTCCAGCCTGGTGACAGAGCGAGACTCCATAAAACAAAAAGAAAAAGAAAAAAAGCCTGAGTGTTAAGAAGCCCGAGATTTATCATCAAGTGTCACCAAGTCGTCTTGTCATTTTAAATAAGTCAATCATTAAGGAAGATTTTTCTATGAATTTTTTATTATAAAAATAATCATTGAAGAAGAATTGCCTATTGTTTCCTTTTTTCTGTTTTTTGTTTGTTTGTTTGTTTTTATTTAAGACAGGGTCTCACTCTGTTGCCCAGGCTGCAGTGCAGTGGCTCAGTCATAGCTCACTGCAGCCTCAGCCTCTTGGGCTCAAGTTATCCTCCTGCCTCAGCCTCTCAAAGGGCTAGAATTACAGGCACATGCTACCAGGCCTAGATAATGTGTGTGTGTGTGTGTGTGTGTGTGTGTTTTTTTTTTTTTTTTTTTTCAGATTTTTGTAGAGATAGGGTCCCACTATGTTGCCCAGGCTGGCCTTGAATTCCAGGGCTCAAGCAATCCTCCCACCTCTGCTTCCTGAAGTGCTAGGATTATAGGCATGAGCCACTGTACATGGCCAGAATTTTATTTTTCCATGATAAAAATTATAGCAACATTATAAAACTTCTAGGCATGTGAGGAAAATATCACACCTAATCTCACCACTCTACCTCATAATCAGCATTTGGTGTTCTTATTTCTGCCTTTTGTCTTACACATTTTTAACCTTGCCATAACCAAGATCCACTGGAGTTTTGTGTTCTGCTTTTTTTCTAAATATCTAAGCATTTTCCTCTCACATGATTACATAACCCCCTTAACCATTTCTTTAAATGGCAACATTATTGTGATGGTCAGTTGTATTTGTCAATTTGGCTGAACTGTGGTGTTCAGTTGCTTGGTCAAATACTGATCTAGATGTGAAAGTTTTAAAATACGTTATTAAAATTCGCCGTCAGTTGACTTTAAGTAAAGCAAATTACCCTCTGCAATGTGGATTACTCTTATTCAATCAGTTGAATCCTTTAAGAGTAAAGACAGATTTACTGACGAAGAGGGAATTCTGCCTCAAGACTACACCACAGAAATCTAGTCCAACTGTTCAGCCCACTGGCCTGCCCTGTGGATTTTGTTTTAGTTTCCAGTCCCCAGAGTTGCACGGTCCAATTCCCTAGAATAGGTTTCTCTCCCTCTCTCTCATGTTTGTGTATGTGTGTGTGTTTATATTTGTGTATGTGTATATGTTTATATTTGTGTATGTGTGCGTGTTTATATTTGCGTATGTGTGTTTATATTTGTGTGTGTTTACATTTGCGTGTGTGTTTATATTTGCATATGTGTTTATATTTGCGTGTGTTTATATTTGTGTGTGTGTTTATATTTGCATATGTATGTGTTTATATTTGCGTGTTATATTTGCATGTGTATGTTTATATTTGTGTATGTGTATGAGTTTATATTTGCATGTGTTTATATTTGTGTATGTGTTTATATTTGCATATTTGTGTGTATGTTTACATTTGCGTATGTGTTTATATTTGTGTGTATGTGTTTATATTTGCGTGTGTGTTTATATTTGCATATGTGTGTTTAGATTTGCATATGTGTTTACATTTGCATGTGTTTTATATTTGCGTATGTGTGTTTATACTTGAGTGTTTATATTTGAGTGTTTATATTTGCATATGTGTATGTGTTTACATTTGCGTATGTGTATGTGCTTATATTTGCATGTGTTTATAGTTGCGTGTATGTTTATATTTGCCTGTGTGTGTGTTTATATTTGTGTGTCTATGTGTTTACGTTTGCATATGTGTATGTGTTTACATTTGCGTGTGTTCATATTTGCGTATGTGTGTACATGTTTATATTTGTGTATGTGTATGAGTTTATATTTGCGTGTTTATATTTGCATGTGTGTTTATATTTGTGTATGTGTTTACATTTGCATATGTGTATGTGTTTACATTTGCATGTGTGTTTCTATTTGCGTGTGTGTGTTTACATTTGAGTATGTGTATGTGTTTATATTTGGGTGTGTGTGTTTATATTTGCATATGTGTGTGTTTATATTTGCGTGTGTGTTTACATTTGCATATGTGTGTGTTTATATTTGCATATATCCTGCTGGTTCTATTTGTGTGGAGAACTCGGACTGATACAATTATATTCTATTGAGTTCTTAAATTTATTTAATTGCTTTGCTATTGTTGGATATTTTAGCTTTTTCCAAATTATGCTACTAAAACAATACATCAGTAAATATATGTACACACTTGTTCATATTTGGATTACTCCATATTAGATTCTTAGGCATTGAATTACCACACTAACAGTGTGCCCACATTGTTGGCATACATACTTTCTTCTGCCAACACCAACAATGTAATCTTCAACTCATTGGTTATCATATTTTTAAAAATGTGAGCCAGTTCCATAAATAAATCCAAACCCCTCATCATGGGTTACACCTTCAATGCTTACTCCATGCCAGACTTTGTCTAGCTACAGGGAGCTTGCAAAAAATAAAAAAAAAAAAACATAAAATTCAAAAGAAAGAAAATGAAAATAGAGCACTCCAGGCAAGGGAACAGCAAGTGCAGGAGGAAGGTCTTTAAGTAAAAACAATGAATCCCCAGCAGTCTGCACCAGGATGCAATCCATGCACTGCTTCCAGAGAGACTTACAAAAACAATTAGTAATTTAATGTGTCTGAAAATTTTTGTGCAAATATATGTTATCTTCATCAAAACTACGTACAGTACACTTAGGAAAAAAGTTTAGTTGCAAGCAACTTCACATTCAAAAATTTGTACATGTATGAATACACAACATGTCCCAATTCACGGTGGTTGCACTTCTGGTCTGACTCCTTCCAGCCTCCGAGGAAGCTTGGAGGACATGATGCAATTATGTTTTCATTCCTTGGCCACTGCTCTGGTCCAGAAGTCGTCTTCTGGAAACAAGTGTTCTTGGTTCCAATTTACCCATATCTTCCTTCCTAAAGTAAATCCCTACAACAACCCATGCTGATTTGTGTGTGTGGTGGGGGGCGGGGTGGGGGTGTACAAAAATACAAATGTAAAAGTAGACAGGGAGATGCCATTATTTATTTATTTATTTATTTGTTTTGAGATGGTCTTGCTCCGTTGCCCAGGCCGGAGTGCAGTGGTGCAATCTCGGTTCACTGCAACCTCCCCCTCCCAGGTTCAAGCAATTCTCCAGCTTCAGTCTCCCAAGTAGCTGGGACTACAGGTGCCTGCCACCACGCCCGGCTAATTTTTTTATTTTTTTATTTTTATTTTAGTAGATACAGGGTTTCGCCATGTTGGCCAGCCTGGTCTCGAACTCTTGACCTGAGGTGATCCACCCGCCTGGGCCTCCCAAAGTGCTGGGATTACAGGCGTGAGCCACTGCGCCTGGCCAATGCCTTTATTAATCACGGATATAAAAGGAATTTGGGTGGCTCAGCGTCTTGAAAGGAGAAAGGAAAGAGTCTCCACTTCTGACCATATTATGAAAAGGTAAAATGCCTTGTTTTTGCTGTGAACATGCTGTGACACAGGTGTGCGACTGAAGCTGACACGGCGGGGGGCCGCGTGAAGGGTCACAAGTCGTGTGCACGCCTGCCTTCCTGTTCCTTTGAGGTGAGGGTCCCGGGTCGTGTGCACGCCTGCCTTCTTGTTCCTTTGGGTCTTTACTGGAGCTCATTTCTGGGCTTGTTCTAAGAGTCATTTCCGGAGAAGTCACTTGGGGAAAGGAGGAGGAACAAGAGAAAGTGGGACGTAGCGAGGGACCACCGCAGAGACGGATGGGGCTTAGCCGCAGCAGGTTCTGGAGGGACCGTGGCTACATCAGAGGAGCTCCGAGGGGACTAACTCAGCGTGCCCTGTGCGTTTGTGTGAGATCCGTCAGCCTCGCATCCGCGTGCCCCACCGCCTGGACTATCCTTGCTTCCAAGAGTGCCCCGTCCCTTTCTCATCTACAGAAGCTTAAACTGTCGTCACATGTGGCCTCTGAATTCTTTCTTCTTCTAAGCCAGGGCTTTGCAACTTTTTTTAAACTGAGACCCACAATAAGAGGCACATTGTACATCACAACCAGCACGTACACGCAGAAGTGAAATAAGAGTTTGTGAAACAGCACTCCCTCTGATGAGTGATTCCCTGATAGAAATCACGACTTCCATTATGGTCATAGAAATAGGTGCTTCCATGCTGCTCTGCTCCTTTTTGAAAATGCTCGTTAGGACTCATTAAATTGATTTCACAACCAGCTGTTTCACAAACAGGTCTAAGTCGTTGCAGCCTGGAAGCTGCTTCTCTGAGGAGGCTGCGGCAGCACTGACCCGAGGGCCCGTCCTCATTTCCGCCTCTTCCCGGCCTCTCTCGCACGGGTCGTGAAACCCACTGTGTCCCCATCACCCCATCCCAGAGGACTCTCTTCTTCTGTCCCCACCCCACAATCCTCCTGCTGTACCTTTCCCCAGGCCCCACCGAACTGCACGGTGTCAGTGACTCGCCTCGGTGCCCGGGCACCCACCCCTGGCCGGCGCCAAGCCCGGCCTCATCCTCGTCCCTCTGGCCTCAGGCTGTGGGATCTGCCCTCATTCTGTAAAGGCTTTTGTGTCCCTGAAACGCTTCCTTTGTTGTGACGAGACTAAGGTGTGAGACAGGATTACAACACACCAAAATGCAGCCACGTCTTAGGCCTGGAGTTGTGGGTGACTGGTAGCATATTCTTTATATATTTGCATTGCATTTTCCAACTTGTCTCCAATGGATCACGTTACTTTTAGGACCAGAAAGAAAACTGACATTAGGATGAGAAGAAGTGGAAAGGCATTGCTGGTCCGTCTGTCTGGGTCTCGCTGGTGCCGCCCCTGGTCAGGGGGTGCTGGCTGCAGGTGGTCTGTCCCGGAGCCTGTGGCCCATTTTCAGTGAGGAGCAGGAAAGCCCAAAGCTGTTGCTGGCGGCTGGTGGTGCTGCTGCGGGGGGCTCCACGCGGCGGGGCCATTGCTGCCCCTCAAGGGCACCGTGGGGGCCCCCAGTCTGCGGGGCTGGCGAGTGGCTTCCTGGCACAGATGTTTTTTATATGTTTGTTCCAGCTATGTCTGGCTAAGCCGCCTCTTTCTAAATGCAGGGCCTGTGCACACATTTGCTCCGGGGATTTTTTTCTACTTTGAAAGGCAGCTCTCGGCAGGGCTGGCTGTGTTTCCTTTGCGATGTGAGCTGCTCGGTGTCGGATGTCACGGATCTGGGGTGTTGGGGACGTGGAGGAGGGAGGCGCAGGCCTCTGCTCGCCAAGGCGGATCCCAGCCCGTCTGCAGCCTCACCTCCTGTTTCAGTGGCCATGCTGATGATGTCACCCACATACCGAAGTGAACATGCTATTTCCTGACCTAAAGTCAGCCAAGGGGAGCGGGCAAGTCTGTGTGAATCTTCCTTTCCCCCTGAGATGGCGAAGTCAACACAGAAGACGTGGTTTCCCTGAGCTCCGGCTTCTGGGCTCTGAGTTTCCCCCCAGCTCCCTCCACTTCTCCGCTGTCCGTCTCCTCCATTTGTCTAAGGGAAGAGACAGGGAAGAAGAAGTGTGGCCTGGGTGGATTCTGGCCCTAAAGTGAAGCATAAAAGAATAAAGAGAAAGAACAGGACATCTCCACGAGCTCAGGGCAGGCAAAGCTTGCTCAGGGCAGTCAAATAGGACACAGAAAATCCAAGCCATACAGGAAAAGGTTAATCTCATTTGACTTCGTTAAAATGATAAACTTTTGTTCATCGAAAGACATCATTCCAAAAAGAAGAGGCAAGTCAGACTCAGAGATTGGTGGTCCATGCAGCCAACAAATAACCAGAATATATATAAAGAACACTTACATATCCATAAGAAACATGCTAACAGCTCTATTTTTTTAATGGGCAGAATACTGGCACAGGAGTTTCACAGATGAGGATATCCAAATGGTCAGTCCACATTGGAAAGGTGCTCAGTGTCACCATTCATCAGGAGGACAACCACGAGATGCCATCATCCCCCCACAGAAGGCTTGAAGCCCAGAGGACTGACGGGGCCAGTGTCAGAGGGGGTGCAGGGCAAACAGCCCATTGTGGACAGAAGCCTCAGTGGACGCAGCCACCTTGGAAGCGCTGGTTATTGGTGATTCTTTCTCTGCAGGTGGTCCGACCTGTGTGCCCTCACTGGCTCACCACTCTTCCCGTGAGCTTAGGGCAAGCAAAGATTTCTTACACAGGTCCCAGAACATTCTTGCATTCCATGCATCTTGGAAAGCAACCCTGTCCACGGCTTTGTTTTCTGCTCCACCTGCGTGGCTGTTACCTGTGGCACCTAAACATTGCTCAAGGACCTGGCAGCAGCTGCAGCCATGCTCCTGCCAGGCTCCTGATAAGATTGGAAATCACGTGCAACGCTGAGCGCCATCAGCTGAGATTTGGACCTTAAAGCTGCTCCTTATGCTAACATTTTTTTTCTCAGCATGGAACTGCGAAGTGTCCTAAATGTGGAAAATCGAATTGGGTGTCAGAAAAAAACCAATAAGTGCCTCTTCAATAATTAACAGATGGAGATCCAGACCAACAGCAAAGTTAATCAATGCAAAAAGGTGGTGCAGGACAGACAAACAGAAACTCAGGAGCTCCTTTTAGAAACCAGAGGCTCCTGGCGGGAGCACTCACGACCTCCTCAGGTCACTAAGCTGGGGTATGCGCCACACTACCTGGCCACGGTCTCTTCCTCAGATTTGCCATAAACCTCACCTGGCGTCCTCAAGTACACTTTGACCACATGGGCATCAGAACATCAAGTGGGAAACACGCATGAATTTTCCACCCCAGGATCCTGGAAAAAGAAGCACTTGTTCCTACAGAACCTGCTTATTCTGATCTTTGGGTAACTAGATAATTCTTTCTAAATCCTGCTGAGGGTGAAGAATATTGTGTTCCATGTTTTAAAAACACATTGGAAGAACACCGTTCTTTCTGAAGCCAGAAGGGAAATACATCAACAGCTGAGGTGAGGTTTCGCTACGGTGCTCAGCAGATTTAGATAACATGGTGTCTGAGTCCAGTAGTACATGCTCTCACCTTCACTGTCTCAGTACAACAGGACACGCTCTCACCTTCACCATCTGGGTACAGCAAGACACGCCCTCACCTTTACCGTCTCAGTACAGCAGGACACACTCTCACCTTCACCGTCTCAGCGCAGCGGGACACGCCATCACCTTCACCGTCTGAGTGCAGCAGGACACGCCCTCACCTTCACCGTCTCAGTACAGCAGGACACACTCTCACCTTCACTGTCTCAGTATAGCGGTCCACGCCCTCACCTTCACCGTCTCAGTACAGCCAAACACGCCCTCACCTTCACCGTCTCAGTACAGCAGAACATGCCCTCACCTTCACCGTCTCAGCACAGCAGGACATGCCCTCACCTTCACCGTCTCAGTACAGCAGGACATACCCTCACCTTCACCGTCTCAGTACAGTGTGACAGTGCTCTCACCTTCACCATCTGAGTACAGTGGGACAGCACTCTCACCTTTATAGTCCCGGTGAGTGATCTATGGAACTGGTGCTTTTTTTTTATTTTTATTTTTTTGTGGAGTGTCTGAAAAATCTCTCCAGTGGTGGTGACTGGGGTGAGTTATCAAGATGAAGCAAATTGGACTGAACTATATGAGAAAAAGCCAGGCCTGCAGAAGATAGGCTGATGGAAGCCCACAGAAATGAGTGAAACTGAAGGCGGGGCCGAGGTTGCCCCAGACCTTCGCTACACACACCCCTCAGAGCTGTTTCTCAAAGATGTTTACACTAGCAAGAGGCTCAGCGTTCATCGTTTATAACAGCTTCTGGGAGCCACAGTTGAGTTTACCGTCTCGCCTTTCAGTACTTATGTATGCAGGGTGGCAACTCAAGCTATCATGGTCACAGAATTAAGAGGGACGAACGTGGATAGGTAGGGTTTCATTTTCCATATCCCTCCAGCAAGCAGGGTGGGTGAGGATGGGGACGCTTTCCTCTCCTGCTTGAGAGCCGACTTCTTAGAGGCCTTAGTAGACATCCACCAAACATCCAACCACCACAGAGGGCGACGGGAAGACCCCCTCATCCAGGGCAAGCAGCTGCGGAGCTCACACGGGGTCGGGGCGAGGGCATCCCGCTGGCATGCGCTTGTAGCCACGGCAGGGGCCCTGGAAGAGAGACAGGAATTAGTCATCCCACGGTTTGTCGTCTGGCGGTGTAGTTTGACACTTGAGAGATGTGATCTTTATTTCAGAAACACCATCTGGCCATCAGCCCAATTCTTGACTTTTTCATTTCTCTCAAGATGATCATTAGGAGTGGTTTCAACAAAACTGAACACAGAATTTTGAGGGCCCCAATCATGACTCAACCAGAGCCCTCCCTGAATTCTTCATGAGTCAGCCCGGCCCTCCCCACTGACTTCACCCTAGCGGGCACCTGTCTTTCTTCTTCTTTTATCACTTTTTGCTTCTCTTTTGGTTTCCAGCTCTGACTGAATTCAGACCCAACACCTTCCAATTCTTCCCGGCCCCCTCAGGGAAACCCAGAGGCAAATTTGAGTGCAGGGAGCGGGGGCTTCGCGTGGAGCTGGGACTGCCCCACGCTGAGAGGGACCTGAGACGCCGTCGCCTTCCCAGGCTGCTCCCCGCTGAGAGGGACCTGAGACGCCGGCGCCTTCCCAGGCTGCCTCGCGCTGAGAGGGACCTGAGACGCCGGTGCCTTCCCAGGGAGCTCTGGAGAGGGGCCTCAGGTTGGGGAGGAGGGGGTCTGCCATCCTCCCTCTCTACGGGGAGGGCTGCCTTGTGATGGGGGCTCAGGATCCACTACAGGGCCCCGACCCCGAGGCAGAAGTGGGGGTGGTGCTTCCTGCCACCCCTCACCAGGCAGGGATGCCAGGGATTCCGCAGCCGGAGTCGAACCTACGTTTACCTGAATGGAAGGAGAGAGGCATCTCTGGCCGAAGGAAGAGGGGAAGTGGCAACTCCCAGTGAAGAGGTCGTCCCCAAGCCACAGGGTGGCTGGTGGCCACTTCGGGAGGAGGCTCCGGGACCTGGGGAGGAAAGGCCAAGCGAGGCGGGTGTGCGTGCAGAGGACGCTCTGTTCAGATTCCTCCCCAAATAGTGATGGAGCTCCAGGAGCTGCCCTGTCAGGGATCTGTGGGGCATGTGTGTTTCCTTTACCACCTCCGGAAACTGCGCTACAATGGCAGTGAGTGGAGGGGATGACCCCGTGGGATGAAGAAAACAGCAAGCCACAGTGGTTCGGAGGAAAGGCCGGCAGTGGCACAAAGTGGGTCTGCAGGGGCGGGCGAGCTGCATCCCAAGCCCAGGAAAAGCCCGAGACACCAGGAGCTGGGCTGCCCTAGGAGGCTGCAGACAGAGGTGGGGCCACCAGTTCCAAAAGCAACTCCAAGACCTCAAGGCTGTCTTCCAACAAGCTCGGCCGTGGACGCACGTCCTCCCACCAGGCGGGAGCAGGGCACCCTTAGCCAGGGCTGCAGGGAGGGCGGACGGATGCCACGGGTGCTGGGCCCTGCTTCCCGCAACAGCAGCCCAGCTGCAGAAGGTCACCAAGATTTGATGACAGGGAGCACGTGAACTCTGGGCTCACTCCAGCCCTCCTGGCTGGCTGCCGAATGCTGGCCACATGACATTTTGCAGTTCAGAACCCAAGTTGAAGAGGGGTATGTGGGACCCCTCAACAGCAGCAGGGAAACCCGTGGGCCGTGGGCAATGCCTTGGTACATTCAGGAAAAGGATATCCTACCTAGAAGTGGAATCCAACCATATTATCAGTCAAGAGTAAAGAGAAAAAGACGTTTTCAGACCAGTACAGAGGCTGCTAGAGGAAGTGCTTCACCAAAACGAGGCATCAGCCCTGAAGGAGGACCTGGCGCCAGGACACAGGAGAGACACGGGGGGCTCTGGGGATGTGGGGAGGGGCTCCTGGGTGACAGTGCAGGAGAGCTGAGGTCTTCCAGGGGGGTCTGAACCACCATTCTCATTGTGTGGAGAGATTTCCATTTCTGACCGAGAGGTTGGGAGAGAATTGAGGATGGATATATGAGCAAAGCCATTTGAAAATCAAGGCAGTTATTAATTCCAGGCAAAATATAATTTTATAAGATGGGCCATGTAATCACAACACATTAGGCTACATTGGCTGCTGTGACCAAGGCCAAAATAACAGTGGTCTAAATAATCTAGAAGCTCACTCTCTCAGGAAGCTGTTGGCATGGAAGTGGATACAGCAGCTCTGCAGGGCCAGGCCTGGCTGTCCTGAGCATATGGCAGGCATCTGCTCACAATCTGCCCACCATCAAGCCCACACTTCCCTCAGGGGAGACCAGGGGAGTGGTGTCTTTCCCCTTCCCATGTCCTGCCAGGAAGCTGTATGCTTCATGTCCACTCATGGGCACTGACCAATGGCCAAAGCCCAGTCCCACAGCCCACTGCAGAGGAGGCTTGCGCACCTGCCCACAGGCCCAGCAACACTGGGATTTCTATAAAAGATGTCTCAAGGCAACTGGAGGACGTTGGGCCTTGGATGCTATTAAGGGATGACTGCTAGTTTAGCTGGGTATGATAGCAATATTGTGGTGATACCGGTAAAAGCCCTTACCCGTAAGAAATATAAACAAAAGTGTTGATGGATGAGATGACACGGTGCCTGAGGTCTGCTTCAGAATATCCCACATGTATTTAGGTATTACTCGTGTGATTAAGAAGTAAATTTTTTAAAAGATCAAAGAATTTCTCCTGCCACATCTAGAAGAGGAGGCTGGAAGGTGATGGGGGACCAGCCATCCCTGTCCATGGGCATACCCACAGCTGCTGTGAACACCCACAGATGAGCTGATGCCCACCCAGCGTGGGGTCCACCTCCACCTGGGCCCGATGCAGGAGGGGCCCAGGGAAGGAAGCAAACAGCCCTTGAGGTGGACATTTCCAACAGCCCCAAATGGTCACCCTCCCCAGCAGGACATTAGCAGAAAATACCTATAACTTAGAAATCATTGAAAAGCAGTGAAACACTTTTTTTTTAATTGAAGGTGAGAACCAAAAGGAAGTTTAAAGAATATTCCAAGTGAGCAGAGGGGGTGGCGGGATCACCCAAAAATGCTACTTTGTGGTTATGGTCATTATAAGCATAAAATATATCTAAAATACTTGAAAGTTATCACTTTAATAAAACAACAAAGAGATAGAAAAAGCCTTGCTGAAGCAAGGGAGGCTGATGTGCACAGGACGAACAGAAGTGAAGTGAGGAAGAACAAGGGAAACTTCGTGGCCCAGGCCCGCGTGCATGCCTAGCTGGGTTTACCACCCCCGCGAGGGCCTCATGCCACGCGTGGACACCGTCAGCCCAGTGGCCAGAGCCTGGCTGGGTTTACCACCCCTGCAAGGGCCTCATGCCACACATGGACACCGTCGGGCCAGCGGCCAGAGCCTGGCTGGGTTTACCACCCCCATGAGGGCCTTGTGCCACACATGGACACTGTTGGCCCAGAGGCCAGAGCTCCCCAAAGCCAGGGCTGCTGCCTGGAGAACAGTTACCCTTGGGGTGGGAGCGGTACCTCCCACGAGCTGCAATGGGACTGTGTGTGCCGCCGGCACCTGGCATTGCGCATTCTGCGTGTGTCCCAGGAGGACCCTGTGCGGTGACTGTTCCACACTTTCCACATTTGCTTCTCCTGCGAGTCGCAATGGGACTGCGTGTGCCGCTGGCCCCTGGCATTGCACATTGCGGGTTTGTGCCAGGAGGACCCTGTGTGGGGACTGTTCCACACTTTCCACATTTGCTTCTCTGGTAGCAGGTGAGCTCCGGGATTCCGTCAGCGCTACCTCCGCGGGTCCCCTGAAATATTCAAAGAGTATGAACAGGTTAAAAGTTTTAACCCCTGAATAGCTGGGATGTAAAAAATGAAATCTGGCAAGTGGTTAAACGAAATTACAGACCTAATTGCTTACACTTAAAATAATACTAAAGCAAATGTGAGATTGTGTTTAACTTGGAGGACCAGCACCGTCGGCAACGTGGTTCTGTTCTAATTTTTCACCAGGGAGGGCTCTACATTCCAGGCTGTTATGAAATGAAGTCCTCAGTGTCTGTGAAGTTCAAGTGTTTTAAATGGAGCAGAGGCCTCTCCAGGGATTGCCCACCCCATTTCCACCTCAGTCCTGTTGGGAAACCATCCCTGCTGCCATAAGCAGAGAGCAAGAGCTCCCACCTTCTGATGCAGCGGCTAGATACCAGGAGGGCCACGGAAGCTGGGACCCTGAGAGACTCCGAACCACAGATCCAACTGGGGGATGCCAGGCACTGACAGAACCACGGGGCCCTAAAAGGCGGAAACCGTGACTCCACAGGACTCCTCTCTTCTGCAACCTGCTCCAAGGCTGCCCCTGTGCAGAGCTCAACTATGCAGCTGTGGCCCTGACCCCTCTGCCAGGCTGCCCGCACCACTCCAGGGGACACGGTTTCCACTGTGGGCAGCTGGTGCAGTGTGACCGTGGTGCAGGTGGGGCCTCTGGGCAGAGGACATCTTGGTAAACTGGGCTGCAGCAGGGCCCAAAGGTCGGGATTGAGGGGAGGCCCTGCCAGGTGACCTCTGCAAGGACCTGGGGAACTGCACGCAAAATCGCAGAGAGAGAAGGATGTGGTTCTTAACCAGCTTCCACCCTGTCTTGCAGCCTCTGTGTTTACTTCCCAGTTGATCTTTAATTTCAGTTGCCAAAGCAGCTGTTTGCACCGTGCAGATGAGTCCCAGGGGCCTCAGACCCGCCCAGCCGCCCGCCCAAGGCGAGAATTGGGGCTGCGGCTGGGCTGGGCAGACGGGGTTGGGGGGCACAGCTCACAGGGCCCCCCACATTCCGCGCTGCCAAGTCTTCTTTTTCCAGTAGTCCCAAGCTAACTTGAAGAAAGAAAAATATGAGGGAGGGAAAGAGAGAAAGAGAGGTGAAAAAATATGGTCATAAATCTGGGACCTGTTTTTATTGGTGCTTCTATTTCAGATTTCCAGTTTGGAAAAATACTTTTTTATGCATCTCAGGCACCTTGGTGATGGTGGAGTGATGATGATAAATGCAAAAAGTTTTTAAAAGTCCTTTTTGTGCCCAGGAGAACAAAGTCTGGTACAGTGCGGCCACCTCAGGGCCTCTGTCATCCTTAGACTAAAGAGGGTTGGCTTGTCCAATTTAACTTTGCCCCATGCCTCCGTGCTAGTGTGACTGGGCCAGGATGCCCTCGGTGCCCTGAGACCCTGTCCATGCCTGGCTGCGCCTCCCAGGTTTGTCTTAGGGAGCAGAGGTTGGCCAGGCGCCCTGTGGGAGGCTCAGCAGGGAAAGCGCCTCTTGTTGGGGAATAGCTCGGGGGAAGCGCTTTCAGATGAACTGCAGGGAACAGGTGAAGAGTGTGGACACCGGAGCATGGGGCGGTGAGAAGACACAATACGAGGCCTGCCGTCCGAACGCGGACCCTGCAGCCCCTGCGGCGGGAAGCCGTGAACACAAGGCTGAGTTTGCGCCTCTGATTTGCGCCACGTGATGGGACTTGCCGGGGCCTCCCTGCCCGTGAAGAGGCTGTTTTTGCTTTGAGTCTGCGTGCACGGTGGGTCTGCTGCGCCTGCATAGGTGGGTTTAATTGGCTCCAGCTGCACTGGCGGCGCCTCTCCTCCACTAGGATGTGGCGCATGGAGTTATGGGTGGAGCCCTTTGAAGCAGCTGCAAGTCATTCTGTCGTATAAACTGAAATAAGAAGAGGGTGAAAAATCCAAGCCCGTGACTCTGCCCGCTCCACAGCTGTGCTCACACAGCTCCGCGAGACGGCCGCCCAAACAAAGCTACCTCCGTGGGCCTTGGCCGGCTGACAAGAGGAAGAGAAGGAGATTACTCTAAGCTCCAGGTATTCTGGTGAGCTGGAAGCTGGCCGGGAGGGCCAGGCGCCAGTGACACCTCCAGCCAGCAGGCCCATGTGGAGGCCCCATCCCGAGAGCGTGCCCGGGGCGAGGCGTGTCCGGCCACCACCGACCACCAGCCGCCCAGGAGGCAGAGGTGACCGGAGAGGGGGCTGCTCGGTTCAGGGAGGAGCCCAGCCCCCAACGCAGGGCACGGATGGAATCTCTCAAGGTTCCCTGGGCATCCTGCCCACCCAAGCTGACTGCTAAGGTCATCGATACGGAGCAGGAGCCCAGGCCTAGAGTGTCCAGGCCAAGTGACCACCATGAGTGCCTGAGAGGCCGGACGTGCAGGCTGGCTCCTGGCTTCTCACCTGAGCCTCCCCAGCCCCTTGCCTCCACGTCTGAGAATGCCCGGCGCCCCAGCATGGCCTTGGGGAGGCGGCGGTGCTGAGTGCATGGGGCCGAGAGGATGGCTCTGGGCCAGTCGGGTGCTGGGACAGTGGCTGGCAGGGGACCCATTTGGAGAAGAGCCCACTGCTCTGAGCAGCTCCAGCTGCAGCTCCCACCGCCCTCTTGTGAGGGCCTGCCTGGGCCCGTGTCCAAATCCCAGCACCACAGGCCACATGGCCGGCAGGTCTCACGGGGTGAGCACAGCAGAGGCCGCTTTTACACAGGGACCCCTGGGGCCCCCTCCAAGGGCTGCTGCCTGAGAGGGAGCGTGGCCCACGGAGACCCCCTGGACTTGGCCTCTGGGGCCCACCTGGTGGTTTCTGAGGGTGCTGCCAGGCCAGAAGCTCAAATCCTGCTGGCTGCGCTGTCCTGAGGCCACAGCCAACACCCACTCCTGCCTCCAGCCCGCTGTCCCTTCCCACTGTTAGCGGGGCCTGGGGGATGAAGGAAGACCACCACAGTGCGGTGGGAGAGAGAAAGCCCTCGGCTTCATCCTGGGTGTGTTGTGGAGATGCAGACGGGTCCGAGGTCAGACGAGGGTACTGGACTTGCCGAGGTGTCCACACTCAAAGGGAGCGTCTGGAGCGGGGGGCGGCGTGAGGAGTTCAGGGGCTTCCCGGGAGCAGTTCCAGCTGACAGAGCTCCATGGAAATCAGACATGACCTTGGGGACCGCCGACCTGTGGGGTGTGCACCAGAACCCCACACTGTGGGAGCCCAGCCTTCCTCTCACTGGGTGGCAGTGGCTGGGCTCACACAGACCACAGCAGTGTCCAGCTCCCCTGTCAAGGAGAGACTCCTCCTCAGGGTGGGCTGCGGGACCAG
Source organism: Homo sapiens (assembly GCF_000001405.40). NCBI lineage: Eukaryota > Metazoa > Chordata > Mammalia > Primates > Hominidae > Homo > Homo sapiens. The sequence continues at coordinate 79,577,832 of NC_000018.10, forward strand.
CGCCAGCGGTGATGGGGTCCATCCTCACCGTCTCCTGAAGGGCCCGGCCTGGCCTGAGACTTCGATCTCGGTGATGACAGCCACCAGCTGGATGAACTGGCCCCGCGTCCTTCCTACTCCTCATCTCCCTTCTCTTGCTGGGACTTCACGAGAGAGCCCGAGTTACTGAGTCAACAGGAAGTAGAAGAGACTCCCACGCAGCTCAGGCCCCCGTGGCAGGACCAGGAAGGAGGGAGAGGTGGCGCGTTGCCTGGGTGCTCATGGACACCAGGTCTGCTCCCCATGCACTTGTCGTCTGTGCCACGCTGCAGGGGCCAGGCAGCCACAGGCATCGTTTGGGCCCCGAGCTGGCCAGGCTGGAGTCAGGGCCCACTAAGCCGCAGGTGCCTCTTGCTTGGGGGTGGGGGCTGAAGGGTGTCTTCCTGCCGTGGAGCTATAGCTGGTGCCTGGTTCCCTCTGTCCAGACACAGCTCTGGGCTTGCAGCCTCTGCCTCCCTGATGGGACAGCAACCCTGGGCATCGCTAGAGGCTCTGAGGTCTGCACGGGGCACCATCCCGTATTCTGCAGGGTCCAGAGACACAGAGAGGGAGGCCAGCCCAGCACCATTGTGGGAGAAAGGCCAGTGATGTCATCAGGGGGCTAAGGCTGGCAGCCACCTTCTAGTGGACATTACTGCTGAGAACTGGCCAGGTGCCTGCACTCGCTGCCATGAGTAATTGCCCAGTGGCCCGTGAGGTGCTGGCAGCTCCTCCATTTACAAGTTAGGAGACAGGTACAGAGAGACCAGGTGGCCTGTTCCAGCAGCACTGCTCTGGCTCTTGACCACCACCACATCAGCAGCAAAACCGCCAGGGCTGAAATCAATACAGATTTATCCATTCTCACCAGGCTGCGGGCGCCTTGCAGGTCTGTGCTCCTAGCTGGGGGCCCAGAGAGACTCTGCTTCCAGGACTGCCCGAGTGTGGAAGGAACCCAGCTGCCAGCTGCAGGACTGAGGTCCCATCTCCTCCCTGGCCTCGCACAGGCCCTCCTGCCTGCCAAGCAGCAAGTGATGCCGCACCTCAGTCTCTCCCTCTGCTCTCCAGTTCCCTGGACCCCCAGCCCAAGCTCCGGTGATTACCAGGTAATTCCTGTCCCAAGACAGCCGCGCCGAGTGTCCTAACACAGTTGCCACACGGCTCCATGTCCTGTGCACAGGCCAGGGGTTCGAGTGGGCATCAGCAATGCTCACTTCAGAGCCCCTCCGCCACGACGTGGCCATGTGCACACAGCTCCGTGGCCAGCGCTGGAAACTGCGTCTCCTGCCTCCAGCTGCGTTACTTGGAGAAGCAGGAACCTCTCCATCCTCACTTTCCATCCGCACATCCAGGGCCGCCCACGTGCACCCACACCGTGCGCTCACTGTGTGGCCTGTCGAGAACACAGTGTCCTCTGCCCCTGATTTCCCAGGAGAGTCGCACGTCTGTGATGGTGGTCTCCCAGGCACGCATGGCCATGGAGCACGGGAACGTGTGCGCCTGCTGGGAGCACATGGGAAGACTGCACGCCGGGTGCTGAGGCTTCCTGTGAAAAAAAGAACCTGAAACAAGTACTAATTTTTTACATTGATTACAGATTTAAATGATAATTTTTTTATAGATTGGGTTCAACAAAATATTAAAACTAATGACACTTATTGGCCGGGCGCGGTGGCTCACGCCTGTAATCCCAGCACTTTGGGAGGCTGAGACGGGCGGATCATGAGGTCAGGAGTTTGAGACCATCCTGGCTAACAAGATGAAACCCTGTCTCTACTAAAAATACAAAAAACTAGGCGGGCATGGTGGCGGGTGCCTGTAGTCCCAGCTACTCGGGAGGCTGAGGCAGGAGAATGGCGTGAACCCGGGAGGCGGAGCTTGCAGTGAACCGGGATCGTGCCACTGCACTCCAGCCTGGGGACAGAGTGAGATTCTGTCTTTAAAAAAAAAAAAAAAAAAAAAAGACACCTATTTTTTATTCTTTTTTTAATGTGGACATTAGAAACCTTAAAATAGCATATGTGGTTCCCATTAGATTTCCATCAGACAGTGTGTGTCTAGAAAATGGCTATAAAGTGTTCTACCTCCTGCTGATTTTATTGGAATCGTGTCTGATCTGCAGGACTAAGCACGTGGGCCTGGGAACTGTCCACGCTGGGGCACGTAGCGTTGCTGAGGAGCAGGTTAGATGTTGGTTTTGTTTTGTTTCCGATTTTTGAAGATTTAATTTGGAAAGATTTTGAGGTCATGCATGGTCTACAAATGACTTTTCTGTCCCGATTCAGGATGGACGCCCACACACCTGAGTCCACCCACGCAGGCCTGTAACATGCATGTGTGTACATGAGCACGTGTGTACGTGAGCGCGTGTGGCGGTACCAGCACAGGGGTGAGCTGCGGCCTCACAGGCTTCTCACTGCTGCAGCTGGATGTGCCACTGTAGACGGTCGGGGCAGGGGCCTCCTGCCCTCAAGCTGTGTGTGGCAGCCACGGGTCCCCGTGCCTGCAGCCTGAGACAGGCGCCTGGAGTCGCTGCCTGGGGCAAGTGAGTTCTGCTGGAGGAAATGATGTAGATGCTGCAAGAAGGCAACAGCAGAGTCAGAAGTTGAGGAGAAGACAGAGGTAATAGGGAATTGCTCCTCAGCAACGACACATGAGAGTCGCGTGTGCCGTGATCCCAGGCAGCTGCAGCTGCGTGGATGCCACATGGGGAACCCGGCTTCCAGACCCGCCCTCAAGGGCCGAGCGTCTCACGCCCAGCTTCATTCCTCCCCATCTTGGGGGTGCTGCTCTTGTGCTGCCCAGGGTCCCCCAGTCGTGCAAAGCCTGTCTTTGTTTTGTTAGCCAAAGTCCCAGGACGGGGGCTCACCCGAACCATGTCACCCTGTGATGAGGACAGGAGGGATGGAGCCTTCCTCGATCTGAGCTCGGGCTGCAGCCCTGCGGCCTCTCCCGCTCCATATGCACGGCTGCGGTTCCCTCTGCTGGGCGGTCCCAGTGGATCCAGGAGCCGGGGGGGCCCTATGACCTGGCTGAACGGAGCCCTGGGTGTGAAGTGCTCTTATGCAGCCTCAACTGCTGCCCTCACCCCAGGGCCTCCTGGAGAGGACAGAGCCACCAGCAGACAGCTTCTCCCTCACAGCCCAGGCAGCATCTGTGCCCAGGGAGGCCTGCGCACCCCCGCAGGAGCCTCGGTCACCCCCATTTCTGAGTGCCCTGCCACAGGCAGCCCTCAGGAGCCCCCGTGTGTTGGCCACCACCGTGGAGGGCTTGGCGTGGACAGTAGGCCATGGTAGGGGCATCTGGGGTGCCCCGTGGGGGCCAATGGGGGGCCAGCCACCCCGCAGCATGGGCTGACTCCTCCCTCCCCCAACATGCTGCAGTTCCCACTTTGTTAAGCCCCTGGAATGCAACCAATTAAAGAGCTGTTTGTGTTAAATGAGATCCTGGTCTGAAAATGCAGATGCGTCTGGATTATTAAAAGGCCATCAGTCACCCACGCATTAGTCTAAGTTTGGTCTGCTTGACTTCTGCTGGTCTGACTTTTGGATGGGGGTCTAGGCAGGAGCTTCTGGGGCTCCAGCAACCCTGAGGGATGGACTAAGGGTCTGTCCCCCTCACCTGTTTGGTCCTGCCCCTCAAGGTCTTCCTGAGACCCAGGCTGGTGTGGACACAAGGAAGCCCCGCCGGAGGGCCCTCTTTACATGGGGAGGCCTGAACCCTGAGCAGTCAAGGAAGTTTTGGAAGTGAGTAGCTATGGCTTCTCCACCTGCTCCTGCCTGGACGGCGCCCTTCAGAACTCAAGCCCATCCATGAGACAGCACCCACCGGGGCCAGTGAGTCACTCCATGAAGGCCAAAGGTGAGCACGTAGGTATTTCTCTCCAAAGAGAGCAGCAGGTACAGACATGGGTGTTGACACACAGAGGGACACATGCACATATGTGCACACATGGCACGTACATGTGCACTGTGCACATGCACACATGGCATACATATGCACACATGCACAGTGCACACATGGCATATGCTTACATACACAATGCACATGCATGGCATACATACGCTCACATGCACAGTGCACACGGCATATACATATGTTCATGCACAGTGCATGCACATAGATAGCATACATATGCTCACGTGCACAGTGCACATGCACGGCATACATATGCTGACATGCACAGTGCCCACACACACACGGCATACATATACTCACATGCACAGTCCACATGCACACATGGTATATGCTCACATGCACAGTGCACACATGCACACATGGCATACACATGCTCACATGTGCCGTACACATGCATACATGGCAAACATGCTCACATACAGTGCACACATGACATGCTCACATGCACACTGCACACATGGCATACATATGCTCACAGGCAGTGCCCGCACACAGCGTACATATGCTCACATGTACAGTGCACACATGCACATGGCATACATATGTTCACATGCACAGTGCCCACACACGGCATACATATGCTAACTTGCATAGTGCTCACGTACATGGTATATATATGTTCACATGCATGCTGCACACAGTGTACATATGCTCATGTACAGTGCACACAGCACACATATGCTCACATGCATAGTGCACACACGCATACATGGCATACACATGCTAACATGCACAGTACACAGCATATATGTGCTCACATGCACGGTGTGCACGCACATGGCATATATATGCTCACATGCACACTGCACACGCACACACAGGATACATATGCTAACATGCACAGTGCACAGGCACGGCCTACATATACTCACATGTACAGTGCACACACATGGCATACATATGTTCACATGCACAGTGCACACATGCACACAGGATACATATGCTCACGTGCACAGGCATGGCATATATATGCTCACATGCACAGTGCACACAGCATACATATGCTCACATGCGCAGTGCACACAGCATACGTAAGCTCACATGCACAGTGCACACATGCACACACCGTACATATGCACACATGCACAGTGCATACACGCACACGGCATGCATATGCTCACATGCACAGTGCACACACACACGGTACACCTATGCTCACATGCACAGTGTACACATACAGCATGCATATGCTCACATGCACAGTGCACACTCATGGTATACATATACTCACATGCAACGTGTACACGCATATGGCATACATATGCTTACATGTGCACACATACCATTCACATGTATATGCACTCGATTCATGCACACGTGCCACCTACATTCCACCTACATGCCACCACATGCACACAGGTGCACATTCGCAGGCTCACACACTTCCTGATGCCTGTGTGGACACCACGCCAGTTCTCCTTCCCTGGGGCGCTCCTGTCTGTCTGTATTTTGGTTGTGCCTTGGGAGCTGAGAAGGCTCTAGCCTGTTTTCACTGGGATTCAGAGGCATTGTGGACCGCAGAACTGTGTCAGCCCCACCCATCTTCTCCACAAATGTTCTTTATTAAGAGAACCTTAATTGAGACCATTAAGCAGAAACTGCAGAGATTGTTGACTTAATAGTGGAAACAGCCCCAGTGCACATCGTTTTGAGGCCTGGGGCGAGTCATTAGGCTCCTGCCTCAGCTTCCCCTCTGTGGGCCGGTGGTGTGGCCTGTGTGGGCTCTCAGGGGATGAATGCTATGAACCACCGCGGGAGGGGCTGCTCTGTGCTATTTCAGCAGGTTTTTCATCACCTCGCAAGGGCCTGGAGTTGGGAGAGAAAGAGCAAAATGAAAAGGCACCTCTGATGACAGCCGCCACCCCTGAGCCCCGAGCCATTCTCTCTCGGAGCTGCAGGAGACATGGCCGCATATGCTGCAGAGGGGCTGCCTGTGTGCAGCCTGAGGACATGGAGGCTCTATGTGCAGCCAGACGGAGTGGCCCTGTGGCTCTCCACAGCCCTGACCTGTGCCCCTGCACAGAGCTCAGCGAGGACGCTACCTTCTAGAGCGGATACCTTCTAGAGCGGATACCCACAGATGCACCGTGGAGTCCCCTTGCAACCCCCAGGAACCATGTTTTTCTGCTTAACCCATTGTTTTAGGGTCCTGGGGCTGCCAGGTCAATGTTCCACAAACTGGGGGACTTAACAATTTATCCTCTCAGAACCCTGGAGGCCAAAGTCTGAAACCCTGGCACAGCAGGGCATGCTCCCCGGGTGCTCCTGGGCATAGGAAGGACATGCCCCCAGGGTGCTCCTGGGCGTGGGCAGGGCGTGCCCCCCCCCCCGGGTGCTCCTGGGCGTGGGCAGGGCGTGCCCCCCCCACCGTGCTCCTGGGCGTGGGCAGGGCATACGTGCTCCCCGGGTGCACCGGTGGCTCCTAGCCACCTGTCCCAGCATCTGCTGCTCTCAGCTTCCCTGGCTTGTGCCGTTGCTCCAACCTCGCCTGCCTCCCATGGCACCGTGTTGGTCTCTTTCCTCTTAGGAGGATGCCTGTTCCTGGACTTGGGCCCCGCCCAGCCCAGTGCTTGTCTTGACCACATCTGCAGGATCCTGTTTCCAAATGAGGTCCCACTCTCAGGTCTCAGGGGCTGGGACTTCCACATGCTTCTGGGGAAACAGTTGAACCCACAGCTCCCCCTCTGTGTTCCCATCTTTCCCTACTCTGGAGTTCACAACACTTTTCTGGTGCAGAGATGGCCCTCAGGCCCTGCCCCCAAAAGCCTCGTCTACACAGCACTCCCTGCCCCCAAAGGTCTCATCTACACAGCACTCCCTGCCCCTGAAGGCCTCGTCTACACAGCACTCCCTGCCCCTGAAGGCCTCGTCTACACAGCACTCCCTGGTGGTGTTCAACCCAGCTGCACCTTGAACCCTGGGAGCCCTGAAGGGACCGATGCCTTTGTGGTGGGTTCAGGTGGCCTGAGGGCTAGAGAGGCAGAGCTTGTGTAGACGGGAAACCCCAGCTGGGAGCAGGCAGCCTGGGCAGAAGGGGCCGGGAGCCAAGCTGCAGGCCTTGGGGAGGCTTGGGCCCACGTGAGCAGGACCCATGCTGCTTGCTCTTCTGCTGCTGCTCCTGCTGGCACTGGGTGTGCTGGGGGCTGGGCAGGTGCATCCGCTGCTCCAAAAAGCACTTGTTCCTCCTTTCCACTAAAGTGCCCCTGCGCGCCCCACATGATGTCACATGCCTCCACATGCTCCCCATGTCCCCCTGGCCCCTGCGTGCCCCATCCCTATGTGCTCCCATGTGGCACCTCCCAGATCACCTGGACACGAGTCTCGGGGTAACCAGCCCCCCTGCAGACCTGCAGAAGCTTGGACAGCAAGTGGGAGTCAGCAGTCAGGAAACTCGGGGGCTTTGCACCTGGAGGGAAGCCCACCTGATATGAAAATGCTTTCGAAGCTTGTGGATCGGAGAGGCCAGTGGTGTACCGGGTGGTCCAATCGATCAGTCAGGACGATCATCAGCCCCATTTCTCAGGTAAGAAAACCAGGCTCCAAAACTTTCAGTGACTTGCGCACAGGGGCAGGTGGGTCACCTGTCAGCAGCAGAACCAGTGCAACCCCAGCAGGTCTGGGGCTGGAGGCACCCCTGCACCCCACACCCCCTGCACCTCCCCACTGCACCCGAAACCCCCCATACCTTCCCCACAGCCCCCCACCCTGCACCCTGCACCATGCACCATGCACCCAGCACCCTCGCATCCTACACGCTTCTGCAACCCCCTGCCCCGCAAACCCTGTCCCCACACCCCCGCACACCTAGCAGCCCCCACCTGACACTCCATACCCCATGCTCCCACTGTGTCCCCGCACACTCCCACACCCCATGCTCCCACATACCCAGCATCCCGCACCCCACACTCCATACCCCCCACACCCACTGTGTCCCTGCACACTCCCACACCCCATGCTCCCACTGTGTCCCCACACACTCCCACACCCCACGCTCCCACATACCCAGCATCCCGCACCCAGCAGCCCCCACCCCACACTCCATACCCCCTGCACCCCCTGTGCTCCCGTACACTCCCACACACCCAGCATCCCCCACCCCCCCAGCCCACACTCCATACCTCCCACCCCCTCAGCCCACACTCCATACCCCCCACACCCGCTGTGCCCCTACACACTCCCACACCATGCACCCCATATCCTCATCCCCACTCCATGCACCCCATATCCTCATCCCCACTCCACGCACCCCATATCCTCATCCCCACTCCACACCACTGCACCCTGCACTCCCGCACGGTGGACACCCTGCACTCTGGTTGCTGTGCCAAGCCCCGGGGGTGCCTCCCTGCCTGTGTCCTCTGCTCTGAGCCTGGCTTCACAGCCCACCTCTCCCGGGGTGTCTGGAGGGGTTCGGGTTCCTGGTAGCAGCCCAGCTTGCCTGGCTCCAGCACTCCTCCAGGTCCTCCTACACCCCGCCCAGGCTCCGTGCAGGCCTAGCACGCCCCTCCCAGCCCCTGTGGTCAGAGAAGGGAACAGCTTTCAAAAGAGGAGCCCCTTGGAGTCCAAGATTCTTCAAAACTTCCAAAAGAAGTTCTATATTTTGGACAATATTAGTTTCTTTCAAATAACTCATTTCATGAAAAATACATGACAATTGTAGGATGGGAAAAGGCTTGTGGAGCCGTGGCACTGGGGGGGAAAAGGCATGTAGAGCCGTGGCACTGGAGTGGGGGAAGGCGTGTGGAGCCATGGCACTGGGTGGTGGGGGGAAGGCGTGCGGAGCCATGGCACTGGGTGGTGGGAAGGCGTGCGGAGCCATGGCACTGGGTGGTGGGGGGAAGGCGTGCGGAGCCGTAGCACTTTCCTTTAAAGGTGCAGTACAGCACGTCCACGTCCTCCCGACACCGTGAGTGCGGCCACACCGAAGCCAGGGGAGCAGGTGCGCTTCTCCATAGGTCCTGGTTTAAAGCAAGCGGAAACACCACAGGCTCGGGATTGAGGTGGTAAGGGACGTCCAGTCCTCAGGTGAGGTTAAGTCCTTCTACAGAGACAGCACTGGGGGGACCTCACAGTGCCCCCCGGGAAGCGCTGTTTGGGCAGGCTGCAGGAGCTGAGGCCAGAGTCCTGGCACGGGGCTACGGGGCCCTTGGTGTCTTTCACTGCTGTGACGGGGGCTCCCTGCTGCCCCGGCACCTGCGGGCCTTGGCCAGTCCCGAACACCAGGTTGTGGCAGTGGAGACCTGGGGGGTGGCCAGCGGCCCCCTATGGAGGTTCTGCCGTGCGTGTCAGGGCCCCAGGCAGGGCTGTGCAGCGCCAGCCTCACTATCAGTGTGGACACACATCTGTGGGAGGGGCTCTCGTTTTCCCCACCTTCCGGTGAGGGAACCAAGGCAGACTCAGCACCAAGCAGGGGTCAGGCCCTGGTGGAGGTGGATTTTCTTCACTGTGGCACAGTCCTGCTCAGTTTCTAGTCCTGATGGAGGTGGTGGAGGCCCTGGTGGAGGTGGATTTTCTTCACCGTGGCACAGTCCTGCTCAGTCCCTGGACTGCCCCCCTGCACCCAGCAGCACAGGCCGCAGAGCCCAGGAGATGTGGGCAGGAGCTTTCCCCTCGCCTGCCCCACTCCTGCCCACCCAGTGGGCACCCCGTAGATGGGAGCAGCTCTCCGTCTAGCACTTGGACTGCTGGGCTGAGTCATGGCTGCAGGCAACGGCTTAGTGGCATCTCCCAGGTGCCACTGCAGGGATAGCCTCTGTGTCTCCAGGCTCTGCTGTGGCCCCGCGGAGCCAAGCTTACCCATGCCGCTGAGTCGGGGGCTGCAGAGGCCTGTGCGGGCTGCGGTGGCTAGACCTGGGCCTGGCTGCTCAGATGCTGCTGGAACCCTGCTCTCAGCCTGGAGGCTGGCAGGTCTGCCAGGGGCCAACGGGCAGGCATCGCCCGTCTGAAGCTCTTTGCCTCTGAAGGAGCTTCAGCGCCAGCCAGGGGCAGTTTATGAGAAATTCAGAGAAACATGTAGGCTTCTCTGTGTCTTCTGAAGAACTGCCAATGCCTCACCCACCTCTGGCCAGAGGACTCTGGAAAACTTGCGTTTCTGGTATGTATAGAAAAGCGACATGCTAAGCCGCAAAGCCGCCCCCTTCAAGACGCAGCACACGCAAGGCTCACCCTGCCACGAGCACTGGTACCGGCTCACTTTCCGCTCTGCTCGGCGGGACTCCGGCCAGGCCCAGCGTGCAGCTGCAGAAAGGTTTAGAGTGAGGCTTCCACTTCACTCTCCGGTCCAAGAGTTATACTATCTGGTGGAAGTGTTTCTTTTTCCTTTTTTGGACAGTTAAGCTACAGCGATGGGCCAACTGGCACCAGTGTGGAGAGACAGGTATTCCTCACTTTGTGGCACCAACGTGGTTCTGGCAAAGTGGCCTCTTTTCCAGTAAAACAGTCTTCTCCCCTCCCTCGCCTTCCATTTTAGGACCAGTGGTTTGTCCCTGGGGAAGCAACCCCAATTACAGCCAGCTTTGCCATCTGTGGAAATAGCCTGGTCACCAGAGGCACAGAAGCCAGATGCGTGGCCATGCCGGCGGCAGCACCCGCGGCAGCACCCGGGGCAGCCCCTGCCCCCGACCCATGAATCTCAGTGTCCCCCAGGCCGCCCACGTCCCACTCTGCCCAGCCTACACCACCTCCCTCACCGCAAAGTGCCCGCTCTGCAGCTCCATGCCCCTGCCCAGTGGAGCCTCAGCCCCGTCCCACCTGCAGCATGCCCAGCCCAAGTGCCCGAAACCCAGAGCCTCGGACTCAGGGCAAAAGGAAGCCGCCCCATTCCACCACATCAGGGTCTCCACTGTGCTTATTTAGAGCAGAGCACAACTCTCCTTGCGTCTGAGTCCCTTCACACAGGTGACTGAGAGGCTCAGGACAGAGCATTGCAGGGGAGACAGAGGAGGGGCTCGGCCTCGCCAAGCAGCTGGCTCTATTCATTTAGCAGAACCGCTGCCCCACCCCCTCCCAGCCCCTGCACGGAGGGAGGCCACTGGGGCCGGCCCGTCCCCAACTTCTATTTTGTTTTCGCCAGAGCCGCCTCCAGACTCCCTCTTCACATTTTATGTCAACTCTGGGGCCCTGCTGGCTGAAAGTGAGTTCTGTTTTCCGGCAGCCCTGTGGCTTTTGGACTCGGCCTTGAAATTAGTTCATGGCGACCCAGGCACACATCGCGCTGGGAAGCCACGTGGGAGCCGTGCGGGTGGAGCGGCCGCCACAGCCAGACTGAAATGTAGCACAGCGCCTGGGCCTCGTCAGGCCTTTATGACAGAGTGTAAAGGGAATTGCTGCTTAGTCACCAATTTGCTTGGCAAGATTGGATGGATTAGGAAACACGTCGAAGGTCAGACAGTAGGAGTTTGTCTAGACGCTCTATTTTGGACTCGGCGCTGACCCGAGGTGTTTCTGTAGCAACCTTTACAACACTGCTATTCTGGCAATATTGGAGAAAACATGATCCCTCCCATCATCAGGTAGGGCCCGCTCTGAAAATCCTCGCCCCATCGCTGGGTTTGCTGAGGCGCCTCCAACTCCATTTAGGACGAGGAAGCCCGACGGGGAGGCCCCTGGGAGGGACCGGCTGCTTGGGCGGAGGCCAGGCCTCGGGAAGCTTGTCCAAGGCTCACAGGGAAAAGCGCCAAGAAATGGAAGTGGCTCATTTTTCCTCTGGGCCTGAGGGGAAGGTTTTGATTTTACAGCCGCCCCTAGTCATTTCTCACAGGTTTGAAGCAGACCTTTCCAGGGACGGGGGAGGGAGAAGGGAGATGGGGAAGGATGGGGAGACGCCGTGAGGAGGCAGCCACCTCCGGGGATCCCCGGAAGCCTGGACGTGCTCTGCCCGGTGGTTCTGTCCCCAGGGAACACGTGGTCATGTCTGGAGGCATCTGTGGCTGTCACAGTCATGGTATGGGGTGCTCCTGGCATAGAGGGGTGGGGCTGCTTCCTTTTGCCTGTCCCTGCTGCCCTCCCCGCCCTCCATGTCTCCCTGCCACCTGCCCTGCCCTCCCCACCCTGCATGTCTCACTCTCCATCGTACCTGAGGGCCCTCTGCCAGCTGGGAGAGGGGACAGCCCAGGCTTCAGTTTCCCTGCATTTCCCCGGGAGTAGGGGAGCCACGAGCAGTCCGTAGGTTCCCTCTTCCTCCCAGGGCCTCAGCACCAGATCCTGGAGCTCCGGACCCCGCAGTGGGTTCCCCAGCCTCACAGCCCTCCTGGGGCCCCACAGGGGAGGGACGCAAAGCTGGCTCTGCAGCTCCTTAGCGCGTGACCTCTGGCAACTTCAGCCTCTCCTGCCTCAGTTTCCCGAACTCTGAAGGGAGGGCGAGTGACACGATGATTCCTCAGCAGAGACCCCAGGCCTCTCTCTCCCACTGACCGCCCAGGGGAGTGAAAGTCCAGGACTCCGTGCATGCCTGGGGACCCGGGCAGTGGGGGAGCAGAACCGGGGACCCGGGCAGCGGGGGAGCAGAACTGCAGGCCCGGCCGCAGCACCTGCCCACCTTGCTGGTGAGGGGTGAAGGCTTCCAGGCCCTGGCCTCCACATCCAGACACCACCCTCACCCGTGCAGGAGCGGGACTCGAACCCACCTCTCTCGCCTCCTTGTGCTGCAGGGAACATTCAAGTCCTGATGTGGACTCTGTCCTGCTGCAGCAGGAAATCCAGAGATGCCTCTGCCACCACGGCAACGGGCTCTGGCCAGAGCAGCAGGAGGGAGCTGGGCCCACATGGCCGTCACCGTGGTTTGCCCACAGCTGCTGTTTCTGAGCCGTCACAGGGTCAGGGGCATCCAGGGAACACGCTGAGATGCAGCCTCTGCTGCAGCCCGACAGATGTGTAGCTGCTTCTGGAGCACGCCCGGGGAACACCCTTTCTTCCTATGGATGCCAGCTGGACTCACTGTGCAGACAGGGCCTGAACCAGACCAGAGGCACTGGCTTCTAGGCGAGGGACCTTCTCAGCACGGGACCTGCAGCTGCCTTTCCCACACTCACACAGGCTCTTCCCATTGTCCTAAGAACCCTGTGGAGGTACAGGCAGGGGTTATCCAAATGCTGACTCATGTGAGTCCGACAGGAGCATGGTGCCCGCCCGAGGAGTGTCGACCTCACGCTAGCCACTGTGATTATTGTCACTGTTACTGTGTGAGCTGCTCTGTTCGGGAGGGGAAGCCACGCTGAGGAGCAGCTGGGACACGTGCCTGGCCCTGCCCTCCAGCTGGCCTCCGTTCCACACATGAGAGCCTTGCCTAGAAGGCCCTTGGTGGTGGGGGGGGTGGGGGTTGGTGCCTGAGCCCCCCACCCTGCAGCTCTCCTCATTCTCGTGCAGTAGGTCCCCTTTGCTGTTGGACTTGCAGCTTCTGCAGGCAAGAACAAGGTGACGTCCCCTCCGTTCTCCAGCAGCAGCTGTGGGCCCACTTGGGGTAGAAGTGAATGAATGAGTGACAAACTGAGGATGCAGATGCCTCGGCTGCAGAGGAGCAAAGACAGACATTTCATTTGAAAGCTCGGAAACCACACAAGCAGGAAAAGAATGAAACGAAATATTTAAAGTGTTGAGAAAGGAAAAAATAGACCCCAACCTACAATTCTGTACCCTGTGAAGTTATCCTTTAAAGTGAAGGAGAAAAAAAAGACTTTCCCAGAAAAACAAAACTTGAGGGAATCAGTTGTCAATAAACCTGCCCTGTGAGAAATGAGAAAGGAAGCTCTTTAGAGTGAGAATACTACTCAGATCCAAAGACAGGAAGAATATTGGAAGAGGAAAAAGTAAAGTAAGATAAAAACACTGTTCCGATTCTCCACTGATCTAATAGATAAGTTTGTCCAAAGTAATAGCAACAATGCATTTGGTCATGTGTGCTTATATACATTAAATATGTATGCTGACATGTGTATATACACATGCTTGCCTAGGTATGCTAATGTGTGAGTGAAATCAATTGCAGCAATGACACAAAGGATGGGAGGAAAAAATTAAAGTGATTTTGTTATTAGAAGGTGTCACACTATCCATGAAGTGGTATTGTATTATTTGAAAATGGGCCTGGATTAGTTGTTCATGTATGTTATAAACTTTAGGGCAACCATTAAAAAAATTAAAAAGTATAACTGATATGCTAAGAAAGGAGAGAAAATGGAATCATATAATTAAAACCACAAAGGACAGAAAAAGAGTAGAAGACAAAAATAAGAACAGAGAACATGGGCAACAAATAGAAAACAGTAACAGACATGGTAGATATTAACCCAACTGTATCCATAATTACCTTGAATGTGAATAATGAAGATGCACCAGTTAAAAGATAGACTGTCCAGGAAGCAAGACCCAACTAGATATTGTCTATAAGAAACCCACTTTAAATATAGGTACATGTAGATTAAAAGTAACTGGATAGAGAGATTTCTACCCTGCTAACACTAAGAAAGTGGGAGTAGCTATATTAATTTCAGACAGTACACTTCGGAGTGAGGAGACGGTCGGGGATGAAGCAGAGCATTCCACAATGATAAAAGGGTCATTTCTCCAAAAAGATAACAATCCTGAAAGTGGGTGTGACTGCCAACAGAGCATCAAACTACATAAGGCAAAACGGATAGAAATGCAAGGAGAAATAGATGAGTCTACTATTAGAGTTGGAAACGTCAATGTTTCTCTATCAGAAATGGATAGATCCAGTAGGCAAAAGAAAAAAATCACTAAAGTCAAACTCAACACCATCAATCAAATGAATATAATTGACATCTATAGACTAGACTACTTCATCCAACAGCAGAATAACATCCTTCTGGAGCTCACCTGGAACATTCACCAAGACAGACCACATTTGGGTTATAAATCATACCTTAACAAATGTAAAAGAATTGTGTATTAGTCCACTTTCACACTGCTATAAAAGAACTATCTGAGACTGGGTAATTTATAAAGAAAAGAGGTTTAATTGACTCACAGTTCTACATGGCTGGGAAAGGCCTCAGGAAACTTACAACCATGGTGGAAGGCAAAGGGGAAACAAGGCATGTCTTACGTGGTGGCAGGAGAGAGAGAGCGAAGGAGGAAGTCATACCCTTTAAACCATCAGATCTCGTGAGAACTCACTATCATGAGAACAGCATGGGGGAAACCACTCCCATCATCCAATCACCTCCCAGCAGGTCCCTCCCTGGGTGAGAGCAGACATTGCCTGATTTCTGTTTGATATGGTTTGGCTCTGTGTCCCTACCCAAATCTCATCTCAAATTGTGGGGATTACAAATTTCAGATGAGATTTGGGTGGGGAGACAGAGGCAAACCATAGCAAATAGAAATCAGGCAATGTCTGCTCTCAGACCACAATGGAGCTAAACTAAAAACCAGTAACAGAAAGGTAACTAAAAAATCACAAAATACACAGAGACTAAACAACACATTTCTACATAACACATGAGACAAGAAATACCAAGGGAAATTTCAAAATGTTTTGAGCTAAATGAAAATGAAAACACAACTTATCAAAATCTGTGGGATGCAACAAAAGCAGTACTTAGAGGGAAATTTATAGCATGTATATATATTAGAAAAGAAGGAAGATCTAAAACCAATTACCTAACCTAGTCATCTTAGGAGACTAGAAAAAGAAGAGCAAATTGAATCCAAAGTAAGCAGAAGAAAAGACATAACACAAATTACAGCAGAAATCAATAAAATTGAAGACAGAAAATCAATAGAGAAAAGCAATGATACCAAAAGCTAGTTATTTGAAAAGACAAAGAAAATTGATATGCCTCTAGCTAGGCTAAGAAAGTAAGAGAGAGGACACAAATGAATATCAGAAATGAAAGAGGGGACATCACTATGTAAAAGGATTATAAGGGAGTACTATGAACAACTCTATGCCCATTTGTAACCTAGATGAAATGGACCAACTCCTTGAAAGACACAGTCTGTCAAAACTCACACAAGAAGAACTAGCCAATCTAAATAGACCCGTATCTATTGAAGAAATTGAATAAATAACTAACAACTTTCCAGGCCAGGCACCATGGCTCATGCCTGTAATTCCAGCACTTTGGGAAGCCAAGTCGGGAGGATCACTTGAGGCCAGAAGTTCAAGACCAGCCTAGCCAGCATGGCGAAACCACGTCTCTACTAAAAATCCCCAAAAAATTAGCCAGATGTGTTGGCACACACCTGTAATCCCAGCTACTTGGGAGGCTGAGGCAGGAGAATTGCCTGAACCTGGGAGGCAGAGGCTGCAGTGAACTGAGATCACACTACTGCACTTCAGCCTGGGCAACAGAGTGAGACTGTCTCAAAATTAATTTATTTATTAACAAGTTTCCAAATCAGAAAACATCAAATCTAGATGGGTTTACTAGTGAATTTTGCTTAACATGTGAGGAATAAATTGTGCCAATTCTCTACAACCTCTTTCAGAAGATAGAAGCAGAGAAAATATTTCCAAACTCATTCTATGAGGCCAGCATCACCCTACTACCACAACAAGATGAAGAAAAAACCACAGACCAATATATCTCATGAACATAGATGCAAAAATCCTCAGCTAAATATCATCAAATTCAATTCCATAATGTAGAAAGAGAATTACACACCAAGACCACATGGGACTTACCCCAGGTGTGCAAATCTGGTTCAACATTTGGAAATGAATAATGTAATCCATCACGTCAACATTCTTGGGAAGAAAAATTGCATTATCGCATCAAGAGATGCAGAAAAATCACTTGACAAAAAACCAGCACCCATCCATGATAAAAACTCAGTGAACTAGGAATATAGAACTTCTTCAACTTGCCATAGAATATCTACAATAATAATGGTGAGATACTCAAAGCTTTCCTACCAAGATCAGGAACAAGGCAAGGATGTCCTCTCTCACCTCTTTTCAATATCACACGAGAAATCCTAACTAATGCAATAAGACAAAAAAGGGAAATAAAAAGTATACTGATTGGAAAGGAAGAAATAAAACTGTCCACAGATAACATGATTATCTATGTAGAAAATCCAAAAGAATTGACCAAGAAAACAACAAAGAAAACCCTCCTGGAACTAATAAGCAATTATAGCAAGTTTGCAGATTATAAGATTAACATACAAAAGTCATTTGCTTTTGTGTATACTAGCAACGAACAAGGAATTTGAAATTAAAAACATAATACAATTACATTAGTTCCCTCAAATGAAATACGTAGGTATAAATCTAATAAAATATGTACAAGTTCCATATAAGGAAAACTACAAATCTCTGATCAACAAAATCAAACAAGAATAAAGAAATAGAGATCAGGAACAAGGCAAGGAGAGAGACCTCTCTCCTTGAGGACACTGCAAGGCTCACTGCAGCCTCTGCCTCCCAGGTTCAAGCAACTCAAGAGGCGAGGTTGCTTGAACTCTCAGCTCTTCTCTCATGTTCATGGACAGAAGATTCAATATTGTCAAGATGTTCATTCTTCCCAATTTGATCTATAGATTCAATTTTATCCTAGTCAAAATTTCAGCAAGTTATTTTGTGGATATTGACAAACTGATTTTAAAGTTGATGTGGAGAGGCAAAAGACCCAGAATAGTTAGCACAGCTCACTACAAAGAAAGGGTGATATTGGCAAAGGAAGAGACAAATCAACGGAGCAAAACAGAGACCTCAGACCTAGAGCCACATAGATACAGTCAACTGATATTTGACAGAGGAGCAGAGGCGATACAATAGAGAAAGATGGTCTTTCAAAAAATGGTGAACAACTGCGCACCTACATGCAAACAAATGAGTCTAGACTCAGACCTTTCACCTTTCACAAAAAATTAACTCAAAATGAGTCTCAGACTTAGACATAAAACACAAAACTACAAAATTCCTAGAAAAAAACGTAGGAAGAAATCTAGATGAGCCACACCAAAGGTATACATTGTGAAAGAATTAGTAAGCTAGACTTTCTTAAAATTAAATTTTTTTTGCTCTGCAAAAGAACACTGTCAAGAGTGATGAGAAGAGAAGACACAGACTGGGAGGAAATATTTACAAAAAACACATTTGATAAAGGGAAAAATACGAAGAACGCTTAAGAGTCAACCATAAGAAAAGCCCAGTTTAAAAGTGGGTCAGAGACCTTCGTGGACCCCTCGGAAGATGGCAGATACACATATGAGAAGATGCCCCGTCACAGTCGTCAGGGAAATACAAGTTAAAATGAGGAGACACCTTCACGCGCCTGTTAGAACAGCCGGCCTCCAGAACACCGGCAGCATCAAGGACCAGTGACGACGTGGGGCTGCAGGAACGCTCATTCGCTGCTGGAGGGGATGCAGATAGCACGGCCACTTCGGGAGACAGTTTGGGAGCTGCTTACAAATGTAAACATGGGCTCTGACCCTGTGACCCAGTGTGCACGCACCTTGGTACCTGCCCAAAAGAGCTGAACTCCTTCGTCCACACGGAAACCTGCACTCAGAGGTTCACACAGCTTTCCTCTCACTGGCCCAACGGGGATGCGATCAAGATACCCTTCAGTCGGTGAATGGATAAACTGGGCACTTCCAGGCAGCGGAGTGTCACTCAGCGCTAAAACAGAAAAGGAAGCATCAAGACATGAAAAGACAGGGAAGCAGCTTGAATCCACAGCACTAAGGGAGCAAAGCCAGTCTGAAAAGGCTACTCACCGCGTGAGTCCAACTAGATGACATTCTAGGCAAAACTACGGAGACAGTAGAACGATGACAGGTAGCCAGGGGCTTCGGGAGAGAAGGACAAACAGGCAGAGCACAGAGGATGTTTAGCAGTGAAACTGCTCCGGGGGACACCACAGGGCAGATGCCTGCGATCACACGTTTGTCCAAACCCACGGAGTGAGTGGCCCCAGGAGGGAGCCCCGTAGTGAGCTCCGGGATCCGGACCATCGGATGCGTCCGTGCGGGTTCATCGCCCGGCACAAATGCACGTCTCCAGCCTGGGAGGTTGGTGGTGGGGGAGGCTGTGCCTGTGTGGGGGCAGGAGGCATATGGAAACTCTCTGGACCTTCTTCTCCATGTTTCTGTGACTGTAAAACTGCTCTGAAAAAGTAGTCTTTTAAGAAAAATCAAACATTAAAAAAAAGAGGCATAAACAATGTCTACGATCACCCAGAACCTAAGTGTCAGCTGGGATTGAAACCTGCGTCATGGGTTTGGTCTGAGGGTGACATTGATGGGAGGTCACCTGGCTCTGCTCCAGCGCCTGACCCGGCTCCAGCACCTCGCCCAGCTCCTGACCCGGCTCCAGCATCTCACTCCCTGGGCTGCCCGGACCACAGGAGGTGTGGAGTGGGAGCATTTTCATCAGTCCCCAGAAGGCAGGATGGGGAGCTGCTCGTGGTCCCTGGAGGAGTAGCACCCACTATCCCCAAGACAAATGCCCGCAGTTCACCACCTCTAAGATCTGATGTGATCTAGACAAAGGCATTTCAAATCCATGACTCAGGAAAAGCAGGGGAATTAATGGCGGGTTTGAGGGATGGGGGGCCCTCCCTGCCTGCATCGTGTCCAAATTCGCACCCAGGGAGACGCAGACCCCATGTCTCCTCTCCTCCGGGAAAGCACACATCACACGCTGGCATCCGACAGTTTCTGCAGCGAGGGTCGCTGTGTGGGATAGAAGGTCCTTCGGAAGTGTCTGTGGAACAAGGTGCACTGTTACTGAGCTACATATTTATATATAAAGTGCAGGGAGAAGTTCATGATGACATTGCACAAGATTCAGACTGGTCTGTGATGGAAAACCAAGGCTGAGCCCAGGCAGCGTGGGGGACCCCGTGCTCTGTCCTTGTGGGAGCAGAGCCTGTCAGAACAGCCAAGGGCTGTGTGACCCGGAACAGCTGCCTCTGCCTGAGCTCGCGGGGGTCCCACAGGTTCCGGACTCCCTCGTCCAAAAATCTGTGATGAGGCAGATGCCAGGGAGCTGAGAACGCGCCCACTTCCTGCTGGGGGCCACCCAGCCTCCTCCTGAGGAAATGCTGGTGTGGAGCTGGGCACTCTTGTCCAGCCGTGGACCTCACAGGGGTGGGGATGAGGGTGAGACCCGAGGTCATGAGCTGGGGGCACCACCCATGCCCGGGCACTGACAGCGGGTGGCTCGCAGTGAACCCAGCATCGCCTCCATGGCCTGTCATCATCGGGACTCTGCCGCAAGTGAAGACGTGCTTGTGTCCCAGGGTACAAGCCGCCAAAGCCCCAGAGGAGGACGAGGAGGACACCCCCGGGAGAGGGCCGGGAGCTCACAGCAGGGTGGGCACCAGGTAGGAGGCCTTGAAGGACAGCGGGGATCCCCAAAGCCAGGAAGGTGTGCACCATGTAAGGAAATCTCACTCACAAGGGATGAGAAATCGTCGTCCCTCCCTCGGCTCAGATTAGCCAAGATGGCAAGTCACATCCAGGGTGAAAGCCACAGCACCGGCCCTGGTTTGGGATGACACCGCGGCTGTGATCTCGGCAGCCACAGGCTTCCCCGTCCGACTCGGCCGAGAAGCCTCTCCTGCCACCTCTGAGCTCTAGGCTTGGACTCTGGAGTGGTTGCTGGAGTCACTTCCCACCGTGCCGGGCAAGGGCTGCAGGAGGGCACAGCGTGCGGGACGCTGGCAACTCACAGCTGCCTCCCAGCCACACCCCCCACCTCCTGCAGGCTCCAGGGCCCTTTGTCTCTGAGAACGAGAGCTGCATCTTGTCCAGTGGGTTTCACAGGTCTCAGGACTGGGAATGGCGCTGGGCGCGTGGACAGGTGAAGTCCATTGTTCCTGCTGCTGCCGGTGTGAGCCGCAGCCCACGCCCACCACCAAGGAGGCAGAACGGCGGTGTGAATGGAGAACCACTCATTTGCCAAATCATTTAAATCAGACTTTTCACAGCTGAGAATGCCACCGCAAAGCACAAATGACTTTGTTCCAGAGAGAAAAGGGAGAGCAGGGCACCGAGGCAGACCACGGGAACACGAGCAGCGCCTTCCACGCTGTCCGGGCAGGGCACCGAGGCAGATCAGACTGCAGCACAGTGTCTGGGGAGCCCTCTCGACCAGTAAGGAAAGTGGCACTTGAGGCTGAGAGGAAGAGAGCGATTCCAGGTGAAAGGACTATTTTTAAAGACTCCCCAGCTAGCCGGTCTGTTTCTTCATTAATTTTCCTTAAAAGCTCCACTTGTGAGACAGGCAAATGCTCGCCACCTGCCCCCGCCCCCGCCCCCATCATAAACCAGCGCACCTGGAGGCAGGGGCTCGAGGCAGGCAGGCCTGGGAAGGTGGTGGGGCTTGCAGCAGACGGGCCTGGGAAGGTGTCGGGATGTGCACCATGACCCACCTCCCGGGATGACCACAGAGCTGGGGGTGTATTTTCTGCACTTTTTAAAACGACTGAAGCATTTCTAAGGTCAAAGTGGAAGGTTCAAATAGCCCAGCCAGAGCCCAGAGCAGCCCCTGGAACGTCCTCTCCAACACATTTACAAGGAAAAACCATCTGATTGAAAGCGAGAGACTCCGTGGTCACGTCCGTAATTGGCCAGAAAATCACCCATGAAGGCAGTGTGTTGTTTGAACTATGTCTTATTCCAAAAGAATTTCATTAAAGCAATTATATTTTAATAAATGTGGGAGGTTACAGATGGCACTTCAGTTCATAACAGAGCCTGTATGCCCTGGCAATTAGCAGCGGAAAATGAGCAGGACTGAGCCCATCGTTGTGCCTGCGTAATGTTTTCATTACAGGAGTTACAAATAATCTATTACTCTTCCTCTAAACACCCAGCAACATGCAAGCATTCCTCACCTCAAAGTCGGTTCTAAGTAAACAAAATAAGATGCCAAGAGGCAGCGTGTCAGCATAGGATTTACGGAGTGAATCAGAGGCCTTTGTACGATTGAAGACATCGTTAGCCCTCGGGAGCCAAGTGTGGCAGCACTGGGAGCCGGCCTCACCACCGTGCAACTCTGCCTGTCCAGCCTGGTGGGTCTTTCTGGAAAGGTCCGTCTGCCCGGGTCCTGCCTGCCCCCTGCCACTGCTGTCGGAGGAGCCTCAGGGACCCCAGTGGGTCCTGTCCCTCGGGAACCAGCTGCTGCCACGGCCGCCACAAGCCACGTCCCAGAATGAGGGGCTCCCTCAGGAGGAGCGTGTGGCAGAGGAGAAACTCCCCAAGCCTTTCAGACAAAAATGTTAGGTCTATTGAACTCTCCTGAGTGGCAGACGGAATGGGATGGCCCAAATCCGAAAGAACATCTGGAATCTCATCTTTCATCTTCTCCAACAGAAATGGACACCAGACTGGCTTTTGCCAAGAATATCACAGCCCTGGCATGATTTTTTAAGATCTATACATTTATGGTAAATTTCTTCAAAACCAAATATTACAGAATTAACGAGGCTGGGGCTGGGCTCTGGGGAGGGGAGGTCCAAATAGACCTGCTGGGAGCAACCCTGGGACCCCCTCTGGAGTCTCCTGTTCTGTGGGGGAGACCCTGACTCTCAGGACGCAGCAGTGGGCGGAGTGCGGTGGGTGACAGGGACATGGCCCGTGGGTGTTGGAGCCACTATCAAGACGGCTGAGGTGGGAGATCCCTGGGAGACTTGGCCCTGGGCCACTGGCAGAGGGCAGAGGGGTGTCTGTGTCTGAGGTCAGGCAGCCTCTGCCAAGGCACCTGTGCTGAGAAGCCACTGGTCCCTGGAAGCCACCTCCCTTCAGACATAGATGGCCCTTTTTGTCTTGACTGCTAGGAAGCTGAGTGTTCAAAGGTTACCACTCTCTGAATCCCACGACACCTGCCCTCCGCCATCATCTTATCCCTGTGGAGTTGTCTGTTCT
This sequence comes from Homo sapiens, assembly GCF_000001405.40. Classification (NCBI taxonomy): domain Eukaryota; kingdom Metazoa; phylum Chordata; class Mammalia; order Primates; family Hominidae; genus Homo; species Homo sapiens. The sequence continues at coordinate 79,600,614 of NC_000018.10, forward strand.
TGATTGAGAACAACCTCAAATCCCTTTTGGAAACAAATGGGCAATAAATGAATGTGTGGTGGGAGCTCAGGCCCCCAGCTGGCTAGGAGACTCTTCCCCCACCCACAGGGGGTCCCTCCACACAGCTCCCAGACCCCCACCTCTCTCACATCCTTCCCCCACCCACAGGGGGTCCCTCCACACAGCTCCCAGACCCCCACCTCTCTCAGACCCTTCCCCCACCCGCAGGGGGTCCCTCCACACAGCTCCCAGACCCCCCACCTCCCTTCTCAGACCCTTCCTCTGCACACAGGGGGTCCCTCCACACAGCTCCCAGATCCCCCACCTCTCTTCTCAGACCCTTCTCCGAGAAATGTCTTTGAATATCAGGACTAAGCTCTAATTTTTTATCTTGCCCCAATTCCTATCTAAGGGGTCTAGGGAGTCATACCCTTCAACCATAAATTCTCATCAGATGGGTCTTATTTGACCCTATATATATCGTGACTTACTTTCCAGTCTGACTCTGGCATAACATTATAAGACAATAAAAAAATCAAAATATTTCATCCCAAAATATATTTCCTTGCCAGACCTTGAAATTGCCCTGCAAAGTCTCTTGTGGGAAAAATCCACATTCTATAGCGAATCCCCTTCCCCTTTGTTTTCCTTCCTTCCTTTGCAGATCCAGGAGATAATTAGCTAAGAGCCAGGCACCTTTTAGGTCTGATAAGAAACATTTCACAATCTGCTCCCTCTGAAGTCTGCTATCTGAGAGCTTCCTCTGCACAATAAGACTTGGTCTCCGCAGTCCTTTATCTCAACCTCGCATTTCCTCTCTGTTGATCCCAGGTCTTCTTAAACTCAACCAACTGTCAACCAGAAAATGTTTGAATTCACCGATAGCCTGGAAGGCCCCGCTCTGAGTTGTCCCGCCTTTCTGAACCCAACCAATGTATTTCTTCAATGTATTTGACTGATGTCTCGTGACTCCCTAAAATATATAAAACCAAGCTGTACCCCGACCACCTTAGGCACATGTTCTCAGGACCTCCTGAGGGCTGTGTCACAGGCCAAGGTCACTCATATTCAGCTCAGAATAAATCTCTAAAAATATTTCAAGGAGTCTGACTCTTTTCGTCAACAAATGTACAAAGCAGTTGAAACACAGTATCAAAACAGTTATGAAAGTTTTTTTTTTTTTTTTTTGAGACGGAGTCTCGCTGTCGCCCAGGCTGGAGTGCAGTGGCATGACCTCGGCTCACTGCAAGCTCCGCCTCCCGGGTTCACGCCATTCTCCTGCCTCAGCCTCCCAAGTAGCTGGGACTACAGGCACCTGCCACCATGCCCGGCTAATTTTTTGTATTTTCAGTAGAGACGGGGTTTCACCGTGTTAGCCAGGATGGTCTCGATCTCTTGACCTCATGATCCACCCACCTCGGCCTCCCCAAGTGCTGGGATTACAGGCGTGAGCCACCGCACCCGGCCTTCTTTTTTTCTTTACTTTTCTTTTTTTTTTTTTTTTCCTGAGACAGAGTCTCGCTCCTTTGCCCAGACTGGAGTGCAGTGGCGCGATCTCAGCTCACTGCAACCTCCCACTCCTGGGTTCAAGTGATTCTCCTGCTTCAGCCTCCCCAGTAGCTGGGGTTATAGGCACGCGCCACCACACCCAGCTAATTTTTGTATTTTTAGTAGAGACAGGGTTTCAGTATGTTGGGCAAGCTGGTCTCAAACTCCTGGCCTCAAGTGATCTGCCCACCTCGGCCTCCCAAAGTGCTGGGATTACAGGTGTGAGCCACTGCACCCGGCCAAAAGTATTTCTTAAGAAACAAAATCATAATGCAGTGATACATCCTTTCACACCCGAGCAGTAAGAGCAGCGTCCCTCGGTGGTTCCAGTGAACTCCATCATTCCACGTAGGGACGGGCAGACAGTGTTGTTAGTGATTTGCAACAGCTGCAGTGTACAAGAAACCACAACTTCTAGGGCAGGGGATTTAGCTCGCAGCATGAAGAAATGTCAGCTTCTTTCCTGTCTCCATGTTCTCCTGCTTTGACCCCAATCCTGCCTGGGCCCTTCAGTGGGTCCCAGCTCCCAGATGGGTCTGGGAGAGACCCCGCCCCTGCCCTGGCCCTGATCCCTGACCCAGGAGCCTTGCCGCTCATTCAGGCTGCAGGCCGAGCCAGGTACCTTCCAGCTACCCTCGACTATTCTGAAATACACATTTGGCCTTCCTCCCTATTTCCTGGCATACAACTCCTAAAGTCCCTGGGGTCTCATAAGTGATGTCTGTTTGTCTGCTAAGGAGATGACAGTGCTTGGCTACTCAAGCTGATCCCCAGCAGGACTGTCAGGGGGCTTCCGGATAATGGACTCTGGAGGTTCCTGGAGGGCGAGTGCCCAGGGAGGGCCTGGGAACTCCGGCCCCTTCCCCACACCTCGCCCCATGCGCCTCTCCATCTGTATCCTTTGCAATACCATCTATAATAAACCTGGTACACGTAAGTGCGTGTCCCTGAGTTCCGCAGCTGCTCTAGAGAATTAATCGAACCCAACCGGGGAAGGGGTGGGGGGGGTGGGGGCGTGTCATAGGAACCCAGCCTGTGGGCCAGAAGTTCCGAAGGCTCAGACTTATACCGCTGGTGTCTGAAGTGGGTGTGGGTATGGGGAAGAGTCTTGGGGACTGAGCCCATAGCCTGTGGTATCAGACACTGTCTCCTGGGGAAAGAGTCAGAATGAATTGAACGCAGTTGGAGGGTTCCTGCTGGTGTCTGTGCAGAACCGACTGTTTGCTTGGCGTGTGGGAAAAACCCCACACGTCTGGTCATGGAGTCTCTGTTGATTGTTGTGGGTAAGAGCAGAGAAAAGTCTGTTTCTTCTACTCAGGACCCCCAGGGCCACAGCCCCTCCCCGCTGAGATCCTGCCAGGCGGGAGTATCCGCAGGAGCCTGTGTAGCCCCATCTCCACCCCTGCCCGTAGCCACAGAGCGAAATACAAGCAGTTGCTTTTGGTCCTGCAATTCCAAAGCCCCTTCCCCAGGCAGGAGACCTGGAGGTCTGGCCACCTTCCTGCAGTGCCGCCCTCCGCCCCCGCCCTGAGAGGGACTGCGGCGTTCTTGCTGGCGGGGTCTTGGGTCACTGGCACGGACGCCCCTCCCAGGCCTGCGCTCTTGCTGGCGGGGTCTTGGGTCACCGGCGTGGATGCCCCTCCCAGGCGGTGGGCTTTTCCAGGGCCTGCAGGGCTGGGTGGGTGCCTGTGAGGGCCCTGTGTCTGGAGCTCCACACGCGGCCGCAGTCCCAGCTCACTGGTTCAAGCAGAAGTTCTCCCACAGGCAGCGGCAGAGACTCCCTTCAGACCAGAACGTGGGCTGTTCACCCCGCAGGCCGTCCCCGCCTGGCACCTCCAGGATGGCGACCGCCCGGCTCCCTGAGGCTTTCCTGGGTTTTGCTCTGAAAGCCCCACACCCTGGAAACCCCTCAGTCCTGGGCAAATTGGCCGCCCTAAGGCCCAGCCTTCCTGAGATCCTCAGCCGGCCTCTGCCTCACAGCTTTGGAGAAGTTGCCTAGGGTCCCTTCGAGGAGCCGAAGGCCTGGCAGGATGAGTCCCCAGAGGGCAGCGTGAGGCCACCACACCCACCCAGGTGAGGTCCCAGGCTCCTCTGTGAGCTGCATCCCTGTAGCCTGTCCTGAGACCGTCCTGGCAAAGAACCACACACTGGGGACTTAAAGCAATGGCACGTCACCCTCTCCCAGCTCTGGAGGCCCCAAGCCTGAAACTAAGGTGCCTCCGAAGGCTCCAGGGGAGGATCCTTCCTGCGTCTTCCAGTGTCCCCAGGCGTTCCGGGCTTGTGGCTGCGTCATTCTGCCCTCTGCCCCCTGGGCACGCAGCTGACTCCCCTGTATGGGCCCATCTCTCCGAATTCACATGACCGTCCTTCGGTAAAGACACCAGCACCAGTCCCTGACTCCGGGCCTTCCCTAACCCAGTGTGGCCTCATCTTAACTAAAGATGTCTGCATCGACCCTATTTCCAAAAAAGGTCCCATTTGAGCTTCCTGAAGGACACGAATTTGGGGTACTGCTCAGCCCAGTACTCCAGTTTCTGCAACAGACAGCAGAGCCCCCACCGTGTCTCTGTGGCCAGGACAGTGCCCCTCACCAGCTGGACTCTGAGGTCCTGGGACCCCCAGGGGAACCTGGGCCGTGGGTCTTTCAGCTGTGAGTGTTCTTTATGGACACCGTCTGCCGAGGGCAACTCTGACCCCCAAACTCTCAGCAGCCAAATGTCCCTGGGACACCCCCACCTGTGCTGAACAGCGCTTCCCAGGGGGACCACAGGCCTCAGGGCACACTGCTGATAGATGCGCACACACACGTGTGCACACACATGCACACATACACACGCATGCACACACAAATGCACACATACACACGTGTGCGCGCACACAGGCACACATACACACGTGTGCACGCACACATGCACACACATACACGTGTGCACGCACACATGCACACACATACACGTGTGCACGCGCAAATGCACACATACACACGTGTGCGCACACACATGCACACACATACACACGTGTGCACACACAAACCCTGCTTCAGAGCTCAGCCCTGGAGGAGCATCACGCTCGCCCAGCCTCCTCACATTTCTGTACTTCTTCAGTCAGTTACAAGAGTATGGATTCTTGGACGCTTACTTTATGTCTTTGTAACCCAACACTACTTTATTTCTTGAGGGTGTAGCATCCAACCAAATTCTCCGGAGTTCTTCTGTAAGGGGACTCTGTCTCTTCTCCCCTAAACTTACTATTTAGCATAATGATTCTTAAGCTTTAGAGAAAGCCATTGTTTAGTATTTGTTGGCAGCGTGAACATAGTTTATCATCTTTTCCATCAGAAAATGCAGCACAGCACAGCTGTCCTCTGTCTCCACCTGTGTGCCCAGAGCCAGGGATGCCCCTCCTCGCCCTCCTGCGCAGCAAAGCTTCCCTCTGCCTCCCCCAGGGCTCCTTCTCTGCATTTGCCCGTGGCCCGGAGCCCACCCTGCTCTGCTCATCCAGCACCTGGACCCCTCGCCGGCTCCCGAGCTCGTGCCTTGGCTTCCCCACTGGGTCTGCGCTCCTCTGTGTGCTGGGGCTCCCACACCCAGTCTGCGTTCCCCGCCAGGTCTACGTTCCCCGCCAGGTCTGCGTTCCCTGCCAGGTCTACGTTCCCTGCCAGGTCTGCACTCCTCACCTGGTCTGCCTTCCTCACCTGGTCTCTGCTCCTCACCTGGTCTCTGCTCCTCACCTGGTCTGCGCTCCTCACCTGTTCTCTGCTCCTCACCTGGTCTCTGCTCCTCGCCTGGTCTGCGCTCCTCACCTGGTCTGCGCTCCTCACGTGGTCTGCGTTCCTCACCTGGTCTGCGCTCCTCACCTGGTCTGCGCTCCTCACCTCACCTGGTCTGCGCTCCTCACCTCACCTGGTCTCTGCTCCTCACCTGGTCTCTGCTCCTCGCCTGGTCTCTGCTCCTCACGTGGTCTGCGTTCCTCACCTGGTCTGCGCTCCTCACGTGGTCTGCGTTCCTCACCTGGTCTGCGCTCCTCACCTCACCTGGTCTCTGCTCCTCACCTGGTCTCTGCTCCTCACCTGGTCTCTGCTCCTCGCCTGGTCTCTGCTCCTCGCCTGGTCTGCGCTCCTCACCTGGTCTGCGCTCCTCACCTGTTCTCTGCTCCTCACCTGGTCTGTGCTCCCCACCTGGTCTCTGCTCCTCACCTGGTCTGTGCTCCTCACCTGGTCTGCGCTCCTCACCTGGTCTCTGCTCCTCACCTGGTCTCTGCTCCTCTGCTCTGTGTCGCCTCTGGCCCTGCTGTCACCACTGCTCCCAACCTCCTCCACATCCCAGTTCTCCAGGACTGCAGTCCATGTGCGAAAATGCACAGACCCAGGACACTCGTGGAGACTGCGAAATGGTGAAAGGGTGTGGGGCAGGGAAACAACTCTGGCCAGGGCCAGCCCGGCTCCCCACGGCCCTGGCAGCTCCTCACACGTCCAGCTGCACAAGGCACTGAGATTGCACACGGAGGAGCCTCAATGGCCTGCGGGATTCATGGCTGCTGGCCAGAGACACGACCCTCCAGGGTGGTTTTCACAGCAATGGTGGTTTTGAGGATTGGAGCCAGGCCCGGGACCTGCACACACACAGGGAGCCCTGGCAGGGAGACCCCAGATCCCAGGCGGAGGGAGCCACTGCCCCGGCCCAGGCGAGGCACCGTCTCTGCCTCCTGCAGATGTCTTTGAAAAGATCATCTGGACATGCCACAAGAGGCCGTGGAGTGCTGTCCCCGACAACCCGCCCTCAGAGTCCCCGCGTGTGAAACGCCAAGAGGGTTCCATGAGGTGAGGAAGGAAGACGGCGCCGCGGGGGGTGCCCGGCGTTCACAGCGCTCACAGGAGCCTGCCCAGCCCTTCCGCCAGGCCTGGGGCGGCCGAGCACAGACCACACATGCTCTGCCTCTTGCCCCACAGCCTGTGGAGACACAACAGCAGCCACGCGGCAGGCAGGGCCTCCAGCTAACTCTTGTGCACACACTAATGCACACCAGCAACACGCCAGGGGCCTCAAGGGCCAGGGCACAGGGAGGGACCTCTGCTCCTGGGACAGCAGCCCTGTGGGGGGATCCAAGGCCTGAGCCCCGGTGAGCAGCTCCATCAGGGCCCGAAGGCCCCGTCTCCATGGGGCCAGAGGGACGGAGGCTGATCACTCGAGCCAGGCACTTCCCACAATCTTCCTGTCCCTGCCCTCAGTACCCCTGAGGAGCGTGGCCCCCTCCTCACTGTGGGTCCAGGCCCAGAGAGGAGGGCGCTGGGGCTGCTGGGCCTTTTGGGGCAGGCCACGGGCACCCTCAGCTCCGCAGAGACTCCTGAGAGCCAGGGAGATGCCTTAGAAAGGAAGCTCCAAGTCTTCTTGCTGGAAGCTTTCAGCACCGAGTGCAGATGCCAGCCCCAGTCCTTGGCCCACGGACCAGGGCACAGGAGTCTGAAGCCACTCACAACATCCCCTCCTCCAGGGCTTAAAACGCAGCCGGGGCTCACGCCCTCTTGGGGGCTTCCGCGTGGCCTGTACCTGTGAGGATGCCGGCAGGCTTGGCGCACGGGTGGCTCCGGGGTCAACTCCACGGGCGCTGCCCCCACCCTCGCTCCCGCAGTGCCTGAGCCCCACTGCCCTCCCCACTGCTGGTGTGCGTGCACCTCAGGCCCCTCCGGGAGCTGCACAGAGTTCACGCCGGGTCAATCCACCATCCACTGCATGGAGAGGCCAGCGGCCTGGGGCAGCTGTGCTGGGTAAGGCAGCGAAACCCTTAATCTAATGATGTTTTTCTCCAACTGCAACCCTTGCACGCTAGGAGCCACTCTCTCTTAATTAAGCTCAGCTCCCACATGCTTTTAACCATGCAACTTTAAAAGAAACATGTATCTTTCCAAATTAACTTTGTGTCTAAGAATAATAAGAGAGCAAGAGTTGTACTAATTAACTTACAGTCGGCTACAGAACTCATTTGCCAGTGCCGTGTAGGCTTCAAGGGGAGCCGACATTTATTCAGTACAGAGGACATTCCAGGGCACTGGTCCCACCTGGGCATCACCCCTTGTTTCCACAGAGCCCCGAGGGTCTCAGAGGCAGGAGCCCGGGGACAGTGCGGAGCTGGGACTAGGATCAAGTGTGTCTCCCTTCCGAGCCCATTCCATATTCCAGAAGGATCCAGAGCCTTCCCTCCCACATGCCAGCTCACGGCATTGGCTACAGTAATAGTCAGTCTGCCTAGAGTGTGTGCTTTTGATTGAAAAAGCCAGGAGAAAATCTTTTTCAAAGAGTGGAATGTTCGAAGAATGGAAATCTGTGAAAATCAGTCGTGTGATTTCTCAGGGCTCATTTCCATGAGCCGCAGTTACATTCTCGACTGTGGCCAAGGACGCTGCCTGCCCAGCCTTCGCAGGGTGAGGCACAGGTACACGCGGTTTCCGGGACCTGGCCACGGGCCACTCTCCAGGACTGACTGCAAGGACCTTCACCTCCGAGGAGCCGGGAGAGACGGAGACACCCAATCTGAGATGTTCTGACAGCTGCTTCACAGGCTGAGCTGCGGGAGGATGGCAGCGCCCTTCCTCCACGCTGAGCTCCGGAGCTTGGAAGCTGAGGCCACCAGCTCCGTCCCGGCCAAGCTCTGAGCATCACAAGCTCAGAAGGAACAAACTGCAGAGTCCATGCTGGACACAGAGCGCAGGGAGAGACCCCTTGTCCCTCACCCATGGCACGGAGCATGTGATGGCAGATGCCTCTGCTCCAAGACAAAATGGGCAATGCCTTTGCAACTGACCAAGCAAACGCAGACACCAGAACTGCTTTCTAAAATTCCAGGGCTGTAAATCTCACATGCCCCAAGCAGGCAGAAAAACAGAAGAACGCTCTTACGGAGCGAGTGTACCCAGGGGTTTCCTGGACTTGGAGGGGGCTGAGCCTGGGAGGAGGAGGGGCTGCGTGTGTGGGCAAAGTTGGCGGAGCTGGTTGCTGCATGGCTGAGGGAAGGGGCTGAGAGGCCGTCAAGGCTCACCTGGACGTTCAGTGGCTTCCCAGTGCTTCCCCTCCAGCCTGCAGCCGCCTGCACCAACAGCTGGGCCCAGGTGGGATTTTCCAGCACGGGAGGGGCGAGGCAGCTTCCCCAGGCCGAGAGGCTGAGGAGAGCAGCACCCAGCAGCAGGTGGACCTGAGGTGGGAACACAGCTCAAAGGAAATGGCAGCAGCCAGTGTCTGTGAGGGGACTGGCCATGTGGGCCCAGCTTTGGGGCTCAGGGAGGCCCCAAGACTCCCCACAGAGTGAAGCTGGGCCAGGTCAGATGCAGAGCCACAGCCCCGGACACACGACAGAGATACGGATGCAGAGACACACGCCCTACACAGCCCCCAGAGCAGTGACCTCGGCATTGGTGACTGCAAAGCAGGGGCCAGTGCGCTCCAAGTGATGCCATGTCATTGAAAATCCTCACATTCTGTAGAACACGAGGCCTTTGCTGTGGTTTATGGCCAGTTCTAGAGATGCCTAGGCTCTTGCCACTGGTGTCCCCAGAAAAGGGGGGACTCATAGAAGAGAAGGGGCCCCTGTGATGAACAACTGGGCCCTTCCCCCCCAGCCCAGGGTAAACGGCCCCTCCGTAAGCCCCAGGAAGACGGGACCCCACATGCTCCAGGAAGACAGGACCCCACATGCCCCGGGAAGACAGGACCTCATGTGCTCCAGGAAGATGGGACCCCTTGTGCCCCACCGTGACCACAGGACACCGTGCACTCTCAGGCGCGCCATCCTCCCTGACTGACCGAGCTCCCCCAAGGCCGTCATCACCTCCTGGGTAAGGGCTTTGCCTGGGTGAGTGGAAAGTGACCGCGAAGGACTTGCTCCGGGCTGGGCTGGGGCCTGTCTCAGCACAGTGGCCAGGCTGGTGGCCTTGGCTGGTCAACGTGCCTCCCAATTGGTGTCCCTGCTGCATCTGCTGCTAGATGTGGGTCAGGACCCCAGAGCATAGGGCTGAGCTCGGGGCCTGCTCCAGCAAGTGCCTTTCTTCGTGGTAAAGCCCCCGCCACTGAGCCACCCCAGGCAGGCTGAGCCCCCGCCACTGAGCCACCCCAGGGCAGGCTGAGCCCCCGCCTCTGAGCCACCCCAGGCAGGCTGAGCCCCCGCCTCTGAGCCACCCCAGGCAGGCTGAGCCCCCGCCTCTGAGCCACCCCAGGCAGGCTGAGCCCCCGCCTCTGAGCCACCCCAGGCAGGCTGAGCCCCCGCCTCTGAGCCACCCCAGGACAGGCTAAGCCCCGGCCTCTGCTGCTCTCTGGACCCCGGCATCTGAGAGCAGAGGGTGGGGCCATACTCAGACCCCGGGCCTGGCCGTCCTTCCTCCCAAATCTAACCCTAGCCCTGAGCCACACCCCAGGTGTCCAGCTCTCTGGGTCAGGCTCCCTGAGCCGGCACCCTCCAGAATGTGCCTCCCTTCAGATCTCAGGCCAGCAGGAGGGCGAAGGACAGCACCGCCCCACCTTTTATCTGGGAGCTTGGCCAGGCAGGGGCTGGCCCAAGCAGCAAGAGCCTCCTCCTCCTCACCGCACCGTGGCTCGGAGGAGTTGCATCTTTTTGCCTCGGGAGCCTGGCGCATCGGAGCTTCCCTGCACTCATCCACGCGGGATGGTCACCTCCACTCCGGAATGGGCGTGAGTCGGGCAAAGGGCTCGGTTGGCTGTGCATATAAACTGGGCATGTGCTCTTGGAAATAAATTTATAAAATCCCCCGAGAAAGTAAAGTGGGGACAGCCGAGAGGGCCCCACACACCTCCTTATGGACACCCAAGGCTGAGGCAGCTCTGTTTCCAGCCCCTTCCTCACCGGACGCCAGGTTCACCCCAGGCCGTGAGAACCCAGGCCTGAGGCAGCGCAGCCAAAGGCCCCGATCCGGCCCAGAGCCGTGCCCTGATTAGGCCCAAAGGAGAAGTCAGGATCAGGAAGAGCAGAAAACATCTGAGCAATGAGACACGTTGGGAATAAAGCTCCCGCCCACCGCATGATAACAGGCAGAGTGAGTCACACGGACTGTGGGAATCTGTGTAGACGGGTTTGGTTTGTTTTCTTTGCTATTGTGGGGGTGTTTGTCTCACCTAATAATTTTCATTGTGTGCTAATTAGCACAGTGGGTTGGCCTGCATGGAAACTGCCCAGCCGGCCTTTTCTGTTTGTTATGCAAAGGTGTGAAGGGGCCCAGGACCTCCCAGGGTCAGGGGAGGAGCAAAATACCTCTTCCATGTGGGAAGCAGGCTGGCATGTCACGGCTGTGGCTACGACGCCGAGGAAGCAAACTGACACCGCTGCCCCCACGCCCCTGTGCCCTTCAGAGGGTGGCGCTGACCCATCGCCGGAGGGGCCCACAGGCCCAGGGATGGGCACTTTCCCAAGAAAAGTTGGGGTCCCCTTTGGCAGCTCCCATGGGTGACCAGGAGCACGGCAGCATCTGCAGGACAATGGGAGTGGCCTGGCTGCCCTGACAGCCTTCTTCCTTTGTTCCCTCCCTGGATGGGCCGAAGGGGTCGCCCTGTCTGGTATCTGCTGGATGACCAAGTTCCCTGAGCTAGAGCATCAGGCTGGCCTTCCTCTCCTTAAATAGTCTTCAGGACGGACACACTCCAGCTGTCACGCCGAAAGTAATGGGCCCAGGCTGGGTGCAGGGGCTCACGCCTGTAACCCCAGCACTTTGGGAGGCCGAGGCGGGTGGGTCACGAGGTCAGGAGATCGAGACCATCCTGGCTAACACGGTGGAACCCCGTCTCTACTAAAAATACAAAAAATTAGCCAGGCGTGGTGGCGGGCGCCTGTAGTCCCAGCTACTCAGGAGGCTGAGGCAGGAGAAGGGCATCAGCCCGGGAGGCGGAGCTTGCAGTGAGCCGAGACCGCGCCACTGCACTCCAGCTTGGGCGACAGAGTGAGATTCCATCTAAAAAAAAAAAAAGAAAAGAAAAAAGAAAGTAACTGCCCCAAAACTGTATTTGTCATGCAGGTTCCCAACCTCCAGAGGCACGTGACTTTAAAGACCATATCCTCACAAAATAGGATCAAGTAAAAGCTGCTCAGTGGTGAAGACGCGGAGCTGGACCAGCCCCGGTGCTGGGTGCAGCAGCCGCTGTGCAGGAGGCCGTGTCTGTCCTGTCCAAGAGAGTTGGAGTCAGAACCTCACCTGGAGCCCCACTCCTCCTAGAATAGAGGAACGGCCCAGGCCACACCCCAGCCGCACCAGTACAGCAGCTGCTTTGCAAAGTGGATGTCCGCAGGTGCTTCCAACGCATGTCAGAACTAAGCTGGAGCCCTGTCCACGCTCCTTCGTGCTCTGTCGGGAGGCTCCGCAGGAGCTGGCCGCTGGGTGGGACGCCAGAAGGTGGCTTCATCTTCCCCGCAGGCTGGGTATGCCCCTCACTGAGGGTCCCAGGGTTTTCTTCAAGCCTCTGTGTCAGAGCCAGTGGGCAACTGTGCTGGCTCTGCTCACCCTGCCCACGTGGGCACACATGGGCACACATGGGTACATGGGGGCACACCCGGCTACATGCGGGCACACTTGGGTACATGTGGGCAACCTGGGTATCTGCAGGCACACCCAGGTACATGCGGGCACACGTGGGTATCTGCAGGCACACGTGGGTACATGTGGGCACACCTAGGTACATGTGGGCACACTTGGGTACATGTGGGCAACCTGGGTATCTGCGGGCACACCCGGGTACATGTGGGCACACGCGGGTATCTGCAGGCACACGCGGGTACATGTGGGCACACCTGGGCACATGCAGGCACACCTGGGTACATGCGGGCATACTTGGGTACATGTGGGCACACATGGGCAGGGCAGCACTGGCAGCTGCTCACTGCCTGTCACAAGCCATGAACTCAGCTTTGACCTTGCAGGTATGCCAGGTTCAATTCAAAGGCATGCCGTGGCAATGTGTGTGTGCACATTGTACAAGCAATGTAGCTAGGAACAGTAGCTATTATTATCCTAAGGCTAAACATGGATTTTTTTTTTAGGTGAAAATTCAAAACCAAGGGAAATTACTGCCGTCAGGGTTGCGGCTTCAGCCAGAGCTTGCCTCCCAGTCTCACACTCATGCTCTCCTGTGGAATCAGGCTCTGCGATTCTTTTGCCCGGAGCAGAAAGGACCTGCGACACGGCCTGGGGAGACGGCTCCACCGTCTGAGGTAGCAGCAAACAAAGCAGCAGCATGGAGGGTCAGGGGCGAGGGGAGCAGTCCCGGCTGTCTGCTGGCTTTCTGCTTTCTAAGCTTTTATTTTCATAGGGAGGAGAGAGAGGGCGCCTGAGTCTGACAAGAGGGTCTCAGCTCCCGTGCTGGCAACTCTCCTGCCGGCCACAGGGACCTCCGGGCCATGGCGCCCGGCCGGCCTACTGGGTGACAAGCTTGGAGGGTGTGTGGAAGGGCCCAGCTGCTGTGAGGGTGCCGGTGTTCCCTCCCTCGCCTCCTGCCGCACCTGCTCTGAGCTGAGTTCTGCCATCACAGATGTGGGTTCGGCAGAGAGACCACCTGGCAATGAGGCACACGTGTCCGGATGGAGTGTCTGTAAGGGACGTTTGCTGATGACTTGCCGAGGCTATGGTAGAACCCGCCGGCCGTGGAAAGCAGGAGCTGGCACTGGCTGTAGCGCCCGGACCCCAGGCCTCCCGCCTGTGGCCCAGCTTCCTGGCTGCCTCATAGCTCTAAAGCAAACGCCCTGGCCAAAGAGACGCATCTCATCCCCAGCAGTCCCCAGCTCCTGACGCAGCATGGACCCCTCACTCGCTCCTCCAGGCAGCCCAGGGCCTATGGTGATAGAGCCTCTAGAGTGGCGGACCAGGTTCTGAGGGTCTTTAAAACAGTCACCAATGGGAAGTTTTGTTCACAGAAATTTAACATTGAGAAACAAATGGAAACATAACAGAAAAGACCGATTACGTTTCCCAAGTTGGAAAGAATCGGGTTCCATCTGCCCAGGAGAAACAGGCGTCTCCACGTGCTGGGAGTGGCGCGTGGGAAGTAGAGGGAGTCTCAAGAACAGCAAGCCAGGGGCGCTGACCTGCAGGGAGGGGCGCCAGGGGCCCAGGGTGGCCTCTCAGGTTCACGAACCAGGGAAGGGACCCCAGCAGACGTGGACTTGCCCACATCGCCCCTGGGGGAGGCTCTCCAGCCAGCTGAGGACATACCCGGGGCTCCAGCCCCATCCACAGCCTCCCTCCCGGTCCGTGAAGGATTGGTCTCACCCATGGCAGGAGGTTCTCACCGCGTGGCCTGTGGGTCCTGGCATGGGGTAAGTTCCCAGGGACTCTGCCAGTGGGTCTGCAGATCAGAACTACGTTTGTGACAAAGCTAAGTGACACTGTGTGACAATATGTCACTACTTTTGTGACAATGCCTTCTCCAGCGGGCGACATCTGCGAATGGCGGCTCCGTATTGGGCACAGGGCGGCAGCTCCACACCCTGCCTTCCCACCACCAGCACTTACTGTGCAGTAGAAACAATAGCTCCACTTTTAAAAGGCCCCCTGGGGCAGAAAAACTATCCGTTCTGTTCTATCTCAGCCTTGCACACAGCACAGCAGGGTGCATGGCCACAGGTGGGGCAGTACACGGGAAATGCAGGCAGAGTGCGTGGACCACACATGGAAGCTGACGGGACTGGGAGAAAGTGTGTGGCTGAGTCTGGAGCCACGGCCCCCACCCCCCAGCTACGTCTGTACCTGAAAAAACAACCAACTAGCCACGGTCATCGGGCATCGGGCAGGCATTTTCTTGAAAATGAGCAAAATGAGCCTGTTGCTTTAAGGTAAACTTGCAGTATTTGTTGCCAATAACAAAATTTGAGCTTTCAAGCAAAAATTAGAATTTTGGAAAACTTGTATCCATCACTGTGAGCTTCCCAGTCAGCACTTCAAGACTTTTCCGAGGAAGTTGGTGGTGATATTCGCAAATGTGACTTTTGATATTAAATAAACAAACACGTCAACATTTGGAAGCTCCACATGACTCGGTGAACTGACCTTTTCCAGATGACTGTTGCAGGATGCTACGAAGCCACGCCGGGTGAGAACCCACCCAAAGCGTGTGATCGCCTCACGTCACAGCCTGGCTGAGCGCAGAGCGCATGCACCATGGTCTCCGGTTCCACAGCAGCTCACCTTGAGGAAACCGTCACTTACCACGTGTTGCATAACCCCAAGAAAGACGACGCGTAATGATCCAAAAAGGCTGGTAAATAATCCTCTGTCCCAACTCAATGTCTGTGTGTGGCCAGGTTTTCTTCTCAATTTCAACCAGAGCAACAGTATCACAGCAGTTCAAATCAGAGAACCCAGTGAAAGGGGTTTGCAAAATGTAAGATAATGCCATTCTTTTTACTAAAAATATTACTAAAATTTTATCCTATATGTTAACACTTAATGGGTTTATTATTGCTGTTTTTAAATGGATCAGAAAAGGATGAAATGGTTGCTTTGCAGCAATGTGGATGGAAGTGGTGCCCATTCTCTTAAGTGGAACAGAAAGACAAACGCTGCATGTTCTTACTCATAAGTGGAGCTGAATCACGTGTGGACACGGAGTGTGGAATGACAGGCCGTAGAGTCCGGGAGGGAGTGGGGGGTTGGGGAGAAAGTACTTAACGGGTACAGCACACCTTATTGGGGTTCCCTAAAAGCCGTGGCTTCACCACTGTGCAATGTATGCCTGTAACAAAATTACACTTGTGCCCCATAAATTTACATAAATCTAAAATGTATAAGTAAATTTTGAAATGTAAACATAAATGAAGCCATAAGTATTTTTAAATGTCTCAGCTCTAATTGCTAATACGGTATACATATATATGTATATATGTGTATATATGCATATATGTATATACATACATATGTATATATTATATACATATGTATACACATACATATGTATTATATATATTTATACATATGTATTTATATATACATATACATGTGTATATATTTATATATACATGTGTTTATACATGTGTATATATACATACGTATGTGTATATTTATATATATATGTTTTTTGTTTTTGTTTTGTTTTGGTTTTTGAGATGGAGTCTCGCTCTGTGGCCCAGGCTGGAGTGCAGTGGTGCAATCTCAGCTCACTGCAAGCTCCGCCTCCCGGGTTCCCGCCATTCTCCTGCCTCAGCCTCCCCAGTAGCTGGGACTACAGGCGCCCGCCACCTCACCCGGCTATTTTTTTGTATTTTCAGTAGAGACGGGGTTTCACCGTGTTAGCCAGGATGGTCTCGATCTCCTGACCTCGTGATCCGCCCGCCTCGGCCTCCTAAAGTGCTGGGATTACAGGCGTGAGCCACCGCGCCCAGCCGCTAATACGGTATATTTTGAAGGTTATAATGCACAAAAACAAAAGCTCTGAGAGTCTTCAGTAATTTTCAAAGTGTAAAAATGTCCCAAGACTAAAACGCTTAAGACCCACCGGCGACTACAGCTTGGCACACGCTGGGGTTTCTGCCCATCTGTTGACACAGCCGAGGCCGCCCTGCGCCCACTCCGAGCTCCCGGGCCCTGCGTGTCTTCCCACGTGGAGGCCGCCGGGGCCCGGGCTGGGGACTCGGCCCCGTCTAGATTCTGTCCCGGCCTCTGGGCATCGCCTCTCGGGAGCCGGACCCCTCGATCGCCCGCGGCCCCTCTCAGCTCCCCCAGCACAGTCCGATCCGCGCGCGGCCCTGTCCAGGCCCTTCGCGATTTGGCCGCTTCTCCCCGCGTCCGGCCGTAGCTGGGAACACAGGGACCGGGGCCCCCGGGAAAGGGAGAGGACGCCCCAGGAATGACGGCGCTGAGCCCCTGCGGCGGGACAGGCTCTGAGCGTTTGTTTCATGGGATTGGAAAGAAAAGAACGTTTGACTTTCCCTGAACACCGGCTGCCTGTGACTCACGGACCTGAGGCCCTGGGAGGAGCCGCGGCCCCCGGATCCCCCGGAGAGGCCTTTCGGGGCCGCGGCCGGCAGCCCCGGCCGCCCCCAGCCCCCGCAACCTCCCCCCGTGGCCCCGAGAAGCCGGAGACCCTCCCCGCGGGACACGCGCCCCCCACTCAGAGCCCCCCAAGCTCCCTGGAGAGGAGGAATCCGCCGTCATCTGGTCCCGGGACCCCGCCCCCCCGGGACCCCGCCCCCCCGGGACCCCGCCCTCCCCGGGACCCCGCCCCCCGGGATGCCGCCCTCCCCGGGACCCCGCCCCCCCGGGACCCCGCCCTCCCCGGGACCCCGCCCCCCCCGGGACCCCGCCCCCCGGGACGCCGCCCTCCCCGGGACCCCGCCCTCCCCGGGACCCTGCCCCCCCAGGACCCCGCCCCCCGGGATGCCGCCCTCCCCGGGACCCCGCTGCTGCATCTGCCTCTCCAGGCTCGGCCATTCCCCGGGGGTCCCTTCCCGGTCTGTCCCCCACAGAACGTTCTCCCCCAGGCCAGGCCCAGGCTCCCCACAAGCGCCCCGCGACCCCTGACCCCACGGTCTGCCCTCGCCCGGGGCCGCAGCATGGGGGGCATTGGGGGGTCCTGCGGGGGTTGCTTGGCCGCGCCTGGAATCGGCCTCAAGGTCCCCCTGCGCCTCCCCGGTCGGCCGGACTCATGCGCTCCCCCGGAACCCCCGACCCCGCGCGGACAAGCAGCTTCCCAGAGGCCTCAGGAAGCCCCGCCCGAGGGTGTCAGCTCCAGCTCTGAGCGGGTCCCGCAAACGCCCCAGCGTGTTCCCACCGGTGACCCCGACACCCCAACACCCCAACGCCCCGCACCGCCCTCAGCAGCCGCGCCTTGGCCAGCGGGTGCCCCGGTGCCTGCGGCCTCTGACATAGAAAACGAGGAAGGAGGCGGGCGCGGTGGCTCACGCCTGTCATCCCAGCACTTTCGGAGGCCGAGGCGGACGGATCATTTGAGTTCAGGAGTTCAAGACCAGCCTGGCCAAGATGGTGAAACCCCATCTCTACTAAAAATACGAAAATTAGCCGGGCGTGGTGGCGGATGCCTGTAATCCCAGCTACTCGGGAGCCTGGGTTGAGGAGCCTCCCGGGCAGGTCCTTCCCCCAGCGCTCCGGGCCACGGGCCTGCGCGCCTGACGGGGACTCAGTGAAAAACAGCTGCGAACACGAGGCCTAGAACCAGCTGCACAGCGACGCCGTCGACACTCGAACCAACGCAAAGGGCCTGGCAGCTGCCCTAGCGCCAACTCCAGCCGGCCTCGCTCATCACGCACTCCTGGGGGGGTCCTGCCACGTCTCTTTACATGCTAACAGGATGACAGCAGACATTGTGTGAAATCAGTCAGTCTGAGCACACTGTTTACATGCTAACAGGATGACAGCAGACATTGTGTGAAATCAGTCAGTGTGAGCACACTGTTTACATGCTAACAGGATCACAGCAGACATTGTGTGAAATCAGTGTGAGCACACTGTTTACATGCTAACAGGACGACAGCAGACACTGTGTGAAATCAGTCAGTGTGAGCACACTGTTTACATGCTAACAGGACGACAGCAGACACTGTGTGAAATCAGTCAGTGTGAGCACACTGTTTACACGCTAACAGGACGACAGCAGACACTGTGTGAAATCAGTCAGTGCGAGCACACTGTTTACATGCTAACAGGACCACAGCAGACACTGTGTGAAATCAGTCAGTGTGAGCACACTGTTTACATGCTAACAGGACGACAGCAGACACTGTGTGAAATCAGTCAGTGCGAGCACACTGTTTACATGCTAACAGGATCACAGCAGACACTGTGTGAAATCAGTCCGTGTGAGCACACTGTTTACACGCTAACAGGACGACAGCAGACACTGTGTGAAATCAGTCAGTGCGAGCACACTGTTTACATGCTAACAGGACCACAGCAGACACTGTGTGAAATCAGTCAGTGTGAGCACACTGTTTACATGCTAACAGGACCACAGCAGACATTGTGTGAAATCAGTCAGTGTGAGCACACTGTTTACATGCTAACAGGATGACAGCAGACATTGTGTGAAATCAGTCAGTGTGAGCACACTGTTTACACGCTAACAGGATGACAGCAGACATTGTGTGAAATCAGTGTGAGCACACTGTTTACATGCTAACAGGATCACAGCAGACACTGTGTGAAATCAGTCAGTGTGAGCACACTGTTTACATGCTAACAGGACCACAGCAGACACTGTGTGAAATCAGTCAGTGTGAGCACACTGTTTACACGCTAACAGGATGACAGCAGACACTGTGTGAAATCAGTCAGTGTGAGCACACTGTTTACATGCTAACAGGATCACAGCAGACATTGTGTGAAATCAGTGTGAGCACACTGTTTACATGCTAACAGGACGACAGCAGACACTGTGTGAAATCAGTCAGTGTGAGCACACTGTTTACATGCTAACAGGACCACAGCAGACATTGTGTGAAATCAGTCAGTGTGAGCACACTGTTTACATGCTAACAGGATGACAGCAGACATTGTGTGAAATCAGTCAGTGTGAGCACACTGTTTACACGCTAACAGGATGACAGCAGACATTGTGTGAAATCAGTGTGAGCACACTGTTTACATGCTAACAGGATCACAGCAGACACTGTGTGAAATCAGTCAGTGTGAGCACACTGTTTACATGCTAACAGGACCACAGCAGACACTGTGTGAAATCAGTCAGTGCGAGCACACTGTTTACACGCTAACAGGATGACAGCAGACACTGTGTGAAATCAGTCAGTGTGAGCCCACTGTTTACATGCTAACAGGATGACAGCAGACACTGTGTGAAATCAGTCAGTGTGAGCACACTGTTTACACGCTAACAGGATCACAGCAGACACTGTGTGAAATCAGTCAGTGTGAGCACACTGTTTACATGCTAACAGGAGGACAGCAGACACTGTGTGAAATCAGTCAGTGCGAGCACACTGTTTACATGCTAACAGGATCACAGCAGACACTGTGTGAAATCAGTCAGTGTGAGCACACTGTTTACACGCTAACAGGACGACAGCAGACACTGTGTGAAATCAGTCAGTGTGAGCACACTGTTTACATGCTAACAGGACCACAGCAGACATTGTGTGAAATCAGTCAGTGTGAGCACACTGTTTACATGCTAACAGGACAACAGCAGACACTGTGTGAAATCAGTCAGTGTGAGCACACTGTTTACACGCTAACAGGACCACAGCAGACACTGTGTGAAATCAGTCAGTGTGAGCACACTGTTTACACGCTAACAGGATGACAGACACTGTGTGAAATCAGTCAGTGCGAGCACACTGTTTACATGCTAACAGGATCACAGCAGACACTGTGTGAAATCAGTCAGTGTGAGCACACTGTTTACGTGCTAACAGGACCACAGCAGACACTGTGTGAAATCAGTCCGTGTGAGCACACTGTTTACACGCTAACAGGACGACAGCAGACACTGTGTGAAATCAGTCAGTGTGAGCACACTGTTTACACGCTAACAGGACGACAGCAGACACTGTGTGAAATCAGTCAGTGTGAGCACACTGTTTACACGCTAACAGGATGACAGCAGACACTGTGTGAAATCGGTCAGTGTGAGCACACTGTTTAGAAACACAGATGGAGACAGCTGGAGCGTGTGTGGAGGTGGGCAGGGGGACTGCAGCTTTTCTTACAAGTGTCACAGTCCTATTTAAGCTCGTATGTTATTTTGGTAAACACTTGAAATAACTGTTAGAAAGGAAACCTACAAATCTGAGCACAGCAATCCCGTTAAAACCTTTTGGTCTTTCCCATCGCCGGGACGCCAGGTCCACGCTCCTGCAACCATCACTGCAAGGTCGTCTCTTGCTAAATCCGCGCCCCAAGTGTCCTCAGCCTGCAGCTGGCTCCGCAGTGAGTTGTGATTTTCTCTAAATACACGTACCCTGAACGAGTGAACAATCTGAGAGACGTGGGTACCTTTGCTGAGTACTAAAGCCAAGGTTGATTTGAAAGTTAGGCTGCTACAACCTGGCCAACACGGTGAAACCCCGTCTTTACTAAAAATACAAAAAATTAGCTGGGCGTGGTGGCGGGCACCTGTAGTCCCAGCTACTCGGGAGGCTGAGGCAGGAGAATTGCTTGAACCCGGGAGGCGGAGGTTGCAGTGAGCCGAGACCGCGCCATTGCACTGTAGCCTGGGTGAAAGAGCAAGACTCCGTCTCAAAAACAAAAAAATAATAACGAAAAGAAAAAAAAAAAAAGAAAGTTAGGCTCATTGATTCCCATCAGCCTTTGACAGTGGAAGGGAGGTCATTAAGGGCTGACTGGAGAAGAGTGATTTCCTGAATGGGTTGAAATAAATAATTTATTGCTGACTCTTGTCAACATCAGCCAGTCCTGCTCACCAGGCCCATCCCCTCCTCTGAGGGCAAATTCCAGTGGGGACTTAGGATGGCGGCACCGGGGAGACCAGGACACCGGGGACATCAGTTCTGCAGGCACAGCACAGCTGGAAGCACAGGGCTGGCCTCCCCGGCTGACCTCTGATCCCGGGGTCATCTGAGGCCCGTGTCCACCCCATCATCCTGCTGCCACACACAGGGGTCAAGCGTGTTCCTCACAAGTGTGGCCTGGTTTAGGATCATGGTGATAAAGGGCTCCGTGTCACCGAGTGGGAAGGACAGAGGGTAAACCAGTGTTCAGCTCAGTGCCCCCATTAGCCTCCAACGGAGACGTCACGGCGGCACGGGATCCATGTGGATCCATGTCATGTGGAAAATCCTATCTGGAGCAATACAGTGAGTGGGAATGTAACTGGGCACCCCTGCTCCAGCTGCCAGCAAGATCCTGCATACCTAGCAATTGACGAGACCTGCGCCTGCCCTGGAGATGATTTCAGGAGACTTTGCAGGTGCAACTGTATCTATCAGTAGCATGTAATCAGATGAAAAGTCCCAAATCCACCTGTAATTTTCACGAAAATAATAGGCAGGAATGAGAAGCCACAGGATGCCTCACTAGTGGGCTCATGGATCCTCTGCCTGGCTCCCGCAGCCGGCAGGCAAATGCCCTCATGCTGATACTCATTGTTAGTTAAATTTTCATTGCTTTCAGAGCAATTGCTTAGTTTTCATTGCTTAGAGAGGCCCAATTTAAGAAAGTTTCATATCCCCACATCTAAGTGAACAGAACAAAGAAATTGAAGAAATTTTAAATCTCTTTTTGAAAGATACCTCTACATATAAATTTAGACAGACTTTCTATTAAGCAAAAGTTGGCAACCAAAATTTGCATTAAAAAAACTTTAAACTTCACAATTTATGTTTAGTATTTACAAGTGAAGAAACTCTGCAACCTATGACCTCACAGCACTCCAGTCACCTAACAAGGCAGAGAAGCAGAGAATAGACTCTCAGTTCTCCTGCACTTGTCCCAGTGTCGTAGCTACAACCGAGAGCCTGAATAGACTGTGGGTTTCCACTCACACATGGCCAGACACCGTCCAAGACTCCGCAGAAACAGGCAAGCCCAGGCTCGTCTACTGCAATGAACCCAGCGTTGGTTTGGCATGAAGACCCCATCCTTTCAATGTAGATTATTAAAGGTCATTTTCTTCTGCTGCAATGAACCCAGCGTTGGTTTGGTGTGAAGACCCCACCCATTCAATGTAATTTATTAAAGGTCATTTTCTTCTACTGCAATGAACCCAGCATTGGTTTGGTGTGAAGACCCCACCCTTTCAATATAATTCATTAAAGGTCATTTTCTTCTACTGCAATGAACCCAGCGTTGGTTTGGTGTGAAGACCCCACCCTTTCAATGTAATTTATTAAAGGTCATTTTCTTCTACTGCAATGAACCCAGCATCGGTTTGGTGTGAAGACCCCACCCTTTCAATGTAAGTTATTAAAAGTCATTTTCTTCAGGGGTCCCTTCCTCCAACTTTAAATCTGGAAAACTAGAAAAGGTAAGACACAGACACCAACACTTTGACAATAGCAAATAGCTCTGGACAGCCTGAGGTCGGACGTAAGGAGGGAGAGGAATTAAAAAAAATAAAAAGGTGAAGCAGAGATGCAGAGAGGTAGAGGCTCCTCCTGCAGACATGGGGCCGAGGTATATACAGTAGGTAACAGAGGGGCTCCTGCAGACGTGGGGCTGAGGTGTATACAGTAGGTAATAGAGAGGCTCCTGCAGATATTGGGCCAAGGTGTATATAGTAGGTAATAGAGGGGCTCCTGCACACACGGGGCCGAGGTGTATACAGTAGGTAATAGAGGGGCTCCTGCAGATGTGGGGCTGAGGTGTATATAGTAGGTAATAGAGGGGCTCCTGCAGACACCGGGCTGAGGTGTATACAGTAGGTAATAGGCTCCTGCAGACACGGGGCTGAGGTGTATACAGTAGGTAATAGAGGGGCTCCTGCAGACACGGGGCTGAGGTGTATACAGTAGGTAATAGAGGGGCTCCTGCAGACACGGGACTGAGGTGTATACAGTAGGTAATAGAGGGGCTCCAGCAGACACGGGGCTGAGGTGTATACAGTAGGTAATAGAGAGGCTCCTGCAGACACGGGGCTGAGGTGTATACAGTAGGTAATAGAGGGGCTCCTGCAGACACGGGGCTGAGGTGTATACAGTAGGTAATAGAGAGGCTCCTGCAGACACGGGCTGAGCTGTGTACAGTAGGTAATAGAGAGGCTCCTGCAGACACGGGGCTGAGGTGTGTACAGTAGGTAATAGAGGGGCTCCTGCAGACGTGGGGCCGAGGTGTATACAGTAGGTAATAGGCTCCTGCAGACACGGGGCTGAGGTGTGTACAGTAGGTAATAGAGGGGCCCCTGCAGACATGGGGCTGAGGTGTATACAGTAGGTAATAGGCTCCTGCAGACACTGGGCCAAGGTGTATACAGTAGGTAATAGAGGGGCTCCTGCAGACACGGGGCCAAGATGTATGCAGTAGGTAATAGGCTCCTGCAGACACAGGGCCGAGGTGTATACAGTAGGAAGCAGGAACTGCAGGACACCCTGGGGCTGATGACAGTCATTGGGCCACATTTCAGGGCCAGATTTTCTGGGATTTTTGGGGAGGATGAGCTACATGCCTGGCTTTATGGATTTAGTCCATGGAATTTGCAACATGATTTTCCACAAGTCATTGGCCCTGCCGTTTAGACGGAAGGTATTGATAAGTAATACATTATTTATAAGCTCCGCTCAAAGGTATTTTCACATCTTTCTAGTCCTGGTGGAGACATTGATTTTCCCTGAATATATGAACAGTGCTTAGATTTAACCCCGCTCCAAGCTTTGTGCCCTGGTGAAGCTGGCCGCTGCCACAGCTCCAGGGTGTCACACTGCACATGGTCTTCCCCACCTTCAATGGTCACTTGGGGCTGGAGATGTGGCCTAACACTAGCCCAGTCTGACTCGCCTCCAGGCTCTGGCTTCTGGCACCTGGACAAGGAGACCCTCACTTTCATGGTCCCAAGGCACTGTCAGAAACCACTTTGTGGTGTCAGGAAGAACCAGTCTCAAGATAATGCAGAACAGGGAGATTAAAACAAGACCACGTGGTTGGTGACATCACTGAGCTGCTGGGTCAAACCATCGCTGAAGCCTTCTCTTCTGGATGTCAGCTACAGAAGCCAATAGACCCCCTTTGTTACATTATTATTTAAGTGAGTTTGAATTGTCAGCAATCTGACTGATACAGCTCAGTGAAAGTTGAAAGTTATAGTGTAATTTCCTAACACCTTGAAAATCCTGCCTAGGCTAAAGGAAGCACTGAATGGTGTCTTCTAAGGGAAGTCCTGCTGTATGGCTTGTAAAGATTGGCTATTCGCAGGTTCCTGCGAGGAGGAATTTCACTGACACCACTGTTGCGGCACTTATTTTTCTGTGCATAAAGACTACTAATTTAGGACTTTATATCCACCACAGAAAAGTCAATTTTATGAGACTGGTTCCTTTTTAAAGCCTACCTCTCTGCAGTAAGAGACTATTTAATAATGACAACAACAATATGCTTGTGAGAGCAAACGAGGGTTGCAGCTCCAATTCAAGAGGCCAACCATGGCTAATCTTGAAGATTTTCACTCATTAGCTTTTTAAGGAGCTGTTAACTGCAAACGTGGGACTCAGAGCTTCGGGGACTTTCCGTGTTGAGTGTTCCGCCAGCAGTGCTTGCATGTCTCAGCAGCACAGAGCTATTTCTGGGGAAAGCAGAAATAATAAACTCACTGAAAATACCCATGATTGATCCAAGCTTCCTCTTTCAAAGAAAAACCGGAAGTTCCTCCTTCCGTATTCTTGTGGAAAGCTTTGCAGGTGCAGGGCCATGCGGCCGGGGAGACTGGGGAGCAGCCCTCCTGCCGCTGACGGGTCAGGCCGGCTCCGTGAGTGATTAATTCCCAGGTCACATTTCTGTCCACAGCTGGGAGACGATGATTAAAACTTGAGTGTGTTTATTCCTTTGCATTGGAACTTGAAAACATCAATTTTTATTTCTTGGATAAGTAATCAGAAAAGTAAAACAAGATGAAAGAAAGGAGAGTTTGTGCTACGGACACAGTCAAAGACGTAGAAAGGCACAGTCCTGGAAGGAGTGTGGGAGCAGCTTGAGAGCAGATGGACGGAAAGAGCCACAGTGGAGGCAGCCCAGAGACACCTGGAGATTAGGGGCACGTGGCCCAGGCCACATTTCAAACCACAGGCAAGAGAATGGCTGATTTGATCCCTGGAATAGAGACCATTTTGGAAAGTTAATTTGGAAGCCTGTAAGATGCAAATTCCAAGCAGATTAAAGTTTGTAGTGATGGGGTTTTCTGTAGACAGACTTTTTCTAGATGTCCAAAGAGCTGATCGGGCACGGGGCTCCTGATCCGCCTGCCGGGCTCCACGGGAAGAGCCTCAAGGTTCCATTCGGTGCTGAGGCCGAGCCACACTTGCCTCTGGAGGGGCTCATCGCCGGCTGCATCTGCAGGCTGCTCTTGCAACGCCCTCACTGCAAAATGCAAAGAAGATCCACTCCATGTCCTGTCCAGCTGCCTCCGTGTCTAGAAAGGGGCCTGTCCACTTCATGTCTGAGTGACAGGGGCCTGCCCCTGACAACACAGCGGCCCGCATGCCACTGAGGAAAAGCTTCAGCGAGAACAGAGACACGTACAGGGTGCTGCCCAGAGGGGAACTCGGCTCCTGCAGGAAGGGCTGGTGGGACGGCTGCCGGGGCGTTTTGGAACATAAGCCACTCTGCGTGCGTCCCACACAAGCAATTTCTGCTGCAGCAAAGCACAGCCCTTCTCTAAGCAGGGCAACGCCGGCCACCCTCCTCCCTGCCACTCAGGCCCCGGCTCTCAGCCCAGCCACACACGCTGCAAACCCGTGGATGACATTTCCCCTTGCTTCAAACCTCCATCCCACTTTCTGGTTTTATTTTATTTTATGCATTTTATTCTATGTGATCTATTTGCAATCTGTTCTGGAACTAGGCCAGATTTTAATCAATTAACAAATCGGCTGCTTTAGAGTCTGGCAACCCCAACTTACCAGAGTCATTTCCAGGTGGATAAAGCCCCCAGGTACAGGGATTTGGGGAGAGATTTTGCAACGTTCTGTAGAAGTAATGTTTTTTACACTAACTTGTTAATTACAGAAGATCAGCACAGAATCTGAAACAGATCAATAGGAATCAGAGAACGCCCACGCTGCAGCTGCTGCCCCCAGCCCACGCCACTGCCGTGGGGCAGAGCCGCTGTCCGAGCGTTCAGTCTAACCGATCTCGCTTCCTCCAGAGCTCTCCACCCACCTCCAGAATCTGCACCGAGAGCAGCCTGTGTTTAAGGACTCTGATGGACAGACGGCGGAGTGGACGTCCCACCCTCACGAGGGAGGCCGCCGGACACATCACCGGGCCACTGCGCCCAGCTGGCCCTGCAGAGGCGCTGCAGGAACTCAGGCACGCTTGATTTGAGAGCAGCAAGCACAGAGACGCCCGTTTGTCACATCCAAATAAGCAGGTGTCAGTCTTCCTGCCCGACTCCCAAATCAGGGCCAGAGCCTGCTCTCTTCAGCTTGAAGTGAGTCAGCCCGGGGCTAGCGAGCAAGCTGGGGTTCAAGTCAGGTAACACTGGCCTGGCCCGCCGAGGAGGAAGGGCTCACGCTTCAGGAGCAGAGGGGCCCGACCAGTCACTCCCCAGGAACAGGGCTGCAGGCGAGGAGGGGGCAGAGTGGGGAGAAGAAGCACAGGCGAGCCCCGAGCCAGGTCCACGAGGGGAGGCACAGCTCCCCCAGGTTTCTACACGGCCACCCGGTGTCGAAAGGGCTGGGGAACCAACGTCTACAGGGATGGCTCCCATGGGCAAGCCCCCAGCCTCAAGAGTGGGCTGCGAGGTGACATGGACAGGGCTGCGAGCTGGTACGGGCTGCGTCCACCACTCTGCTGGGGTGGAGGAAGGTCGATCAGGATCTGGAATTCTCACAGGTGAGGCACAGGCATTGGGCGCATATCTGCCTGCTCCTGGAGAACGTGGTTGGAGGCCGAGGGCGTCCTGACTGTAGTGGGGCCGCGCTGTGTCTTCCCTGCACGCTCACCGTGTCTCAGACCGTGGCGCTCCCTGCAATGAGTCCTGCCCGAGACTCAGGCGGGGCGCTTTCATGGGGCCTGATATGGGGCTCTGTGATTCCAAGGGCAGCACGGCTGGGTGGAAAATCGCAGTGAGAAGGTCATCAAGGTGTTTTCCACGCTAGAAGCACCCTCAACTCAAGTTAAACACACAAATCCACCACCCTGTCTCCAACAGCCTGGAGAGCAACTGGGCTCCACTGACTTTAGTGCCACTGGAGGGCTTGTGTAGATGAACCCACATGGGCAGAGCTGCCCAGCGCCCGCCAGGGGTCCTTGCTGACAGGACTCCTGGGTGTTGTGGGGGTGAAAGGCACGAGTAAGTGTGTCTGAAGCAGCAGGGAAGGCGTCACAGAAGAGGTGACAGCCCCGGGGACACTTCAGGCCCAGGGAACCTGGGGAGGCAAGGGAGGAGGCATTTGGGCCAAGGGAACGTTCCAGAACCCGGTGAGGATGAGGGCAGACCCTGTTGTTTTCATCCGTCGTCTGGGTCAGGTGTTGTAAAGACGCTCTTAGAACCAGCTCTGTTGGTTACGACGCGGAGAAAACACGGTTACTTCTGTTCTCTCCTGAGCTTCAAGTACAGTAAAGAGATTTTGTAAAACTAAAAGCAGCTCACACAAGGGGAACGAGGTGGAGACGCCTGCAAAGTGGAGGCACCTGGGGCCAGCATCTCTGTGGACCCCAGAAACGACTCTGACACAGCAGTGGGGACAGGGCACCCTGATTTAGATCCCGAACCCCAAAGCCCCCAGGACTGCGGGCCGAGGATGATGCCGGGGGGAGGGCTGGAGGTGGAGAGGGGCCTGCGCAGGCTAAGGACCCTTCCCTGCCCCTGCCTCCTGGGGCCACCTCCCCTTCCTGTCTCGTCTCTACAGAGACTGAAGCGACCCCTGGGCCTGGGCAGCCATGAGCTCTGGAGGGAGTCCCTCTGCCCCAACGCCAGGCCAGCCTCCTTCCCCGCGTGCTCCCAAGCAGGACAGCCTCTCCTCCAGGGAATCCGACCTGCTGAAAAGGAAGCCCCAGAATACAAGCAGACACACAGATCTGTCGAAACACCCGGGCAAACTCTCCAGCGTGAAATAAACACAAAGCAAAATCATGTGGAAGTGAACGGAAGCCATACGGGGAGAAGAGCGTAGCGTCGCAGACGGTCACCCTGGAGGGGCATCACCGTCATGAGCTGTGGACAGAACCCACACTCTCCACAGGGAGCACAGACAGACCCACGATCCCCACAACGGAACCATCACAGAAAAGAAGGAAATTGGCAAAAGGGCCGAGGTGTGAAGGTGCCGGGAATTGGAGCCTGAAGACAAAGATCAAAGCTGGGATGGAAGGAGAGGCTGGAGGACCAGTCGAGGCCACCTTGCAGGGATCGCATTCCGGAGTGGGGAGCAGATACGACAGAAAGGGAGAAACCACAACCAGCAGCACAAGGACAGCCTTGAGGGATGAAGGACACAGGTCCTCGCTCAGGAAGAACTGGTGGCCACATGGCACGGGGGACCACACCCGGGCAGCAACTCCGTAGAAGGGGAGGGTCCTGCACCTTCCAGAGACCAAGAGGGGCCCAGAGAACAGTGTCCGGCATTTCAAGGGCACCTCGGGGAGCCCAGACGAGGGCATGATCCCAGCCTCCCGGACATGTCGCCCCCACCAGACTGACCATCGAGTGCAGGGAAGCCCCAGGCAGGGGCCACAACAGAGGGACCCCCAGAGCAAGGGGCCTGTCAGCATCACTCTTGTGGGACAGGATCCGGACACCTCTCCAGAACAAAGTGAGTTAGTAGTGGGAGAGACATCACCAGGAAGCCAAAATTAACAAGCGCCCAAGATAAGACAACTGAAGAGGAGACTGAGACACTTGGGGTTCCATTGGTATATACACAGAAAATAAAGTTGATGGAAAAAGCTAATTATTAATTTCAGGAAAACAGAAAACTGCAAGAAAAGCCATCATCGTTTGTGACGGGCTCAGTGGTGCTGCTGTGTGTGTTCATCGCAGTCCTGGCTGATCAATATTTGCTCTCCACATTGTCAGTGGAAAGGTGGCGGGGACGGGAGGCGTGGGAAGGGAGCTGATCTATTGTGGGAGGTGACAGACAATGCCCCAGATTAACCTGCCCAGAGGTAGCAATAGCAGCTAGTTACACAGAGACTGGAGGTGAATGCTGAGAAGATCAGTTTAGAAATTTGGGAATGAATGGTCTGGAAAGATGAAAAGTGCAGTACAGGGTTAAGGACTGCTGTTTGCAGAACAAGCCTTAATAAAAATAAAAATAAACACATCCAAGTACAAACTGACCCTGAAAAGGACCAGCCTCCAACAGAGAAAGACGGGTTTCCTGATGGCAGCAGCCCCCGAGGCGAGAGTCCCAGCAAGGGCTATTGTTCGTTGTTCGGGAAACTTCGCCCGAAATTGGTACCCCCATTATTATTTTTGCATGTGTCTCCTAGGGAAGAGAAGAGGCTGGTTGGGTTGTAGAAACCCAGTCTATGAATTTCAAGTCTTCATCACCCCTGAGGTCTTTTCAGGAAGAGCACCATGTTGGTGATGCTGCGTCTCTGAGAGCCTCCTCCTGCTATTGGCGCCGTGTTAGGGAGCCGGAAGGAGGCTGAGAGGTTCTGAAAATGAAACCAGAATGCTGTCCAGGCTGACGCGGGCACCTGGTGAGCAGAGGGACCGTCCATGAATCTGCACCCCACATGAGACGCACGTGCAAACTGGAACTAATGCCTGCTCACAGCCTAATTACACTCGCGGCGTCAGCGTTCTGGGCAGGCCGTTCACACTGAAACTCGGTCGGCACTGGCGCTGGGGCGGATCCTGGCCATCGACCACTCCATTCTACAGCGGCTCCTTCAGTGAGTCGCAAAAACACTTGCTGATTCTGGGCCTCAATTTCCCCTTGTGCAAGGCGAGGCCAGTGCCTTAGCCTCACAGAAAATAAAAAGTGTCCCAGAAGCAGAGGGAAGTGTGGTTTAAAACCCATCAAAACCACAGCGAGGGCCTGAGATCCTGACTCCCGACGGCACCACAGCCTCACAGTTCTGGCTGTGAGTCACAGACCTTATTCCAGGCAAGCTGGGAACTCCAGCCGGGTCTGGGTTATTATTTCTTGCCAGTGATTTTTCAGAGAGGTTTGTATCCGCGGGGAACCATCAGTCACGTAGTTGCTGTGTGCGTGTGTGTGTACCTGCGTGCGTGTCTGTGCCTGTGTGTGTGCCCTGTGCATGTGTGTGCTTGTGTGTGTGTCTGCACCTGTGCTCAGTGCCTGCGGTGCAATGAATGATGGCGGTGGGGCTGCGTGTGTGTCTGTGTGTGTGTCCGTGCATGTGTGTGTGTGCGTCTGCACCTGTGCTCGGTGGGATGAACGATGGAGGTGGGGCTGCGCGTGTGCGTGTGTGTCTGTGTGTGTGCGTGTGTGTCTGTATGTGTGTGTGCGTGTGCGTCTGCACCTGTGCTCGGTGGGATGAATGATGGTGGTGGGGCTGCATCTGTGCGTGTCTGTATGTGTGTGTGTGTGTGCGTCTGCACCTGTGCTCGGTGCCTGCGGTGCAATGAATGATGGCAGTGGGGCTGTGTGTGTGCGTGTGTGTCTGTATGTGTGTGGGTGGGTCTGCACCTGTGCTCGGTGGGATGAACGATGGTGGTGGGGCTGCGTGTGTGTGTGTGTGTGTGTCTGTATGTGTGTGCGTGTCTGTATGTGTGTGCGTGTGTCTGTGTGTGTGCGTGTGTGTATGTGTGTGTGCGTGTGCATCCGCACCTGTGCTCGGTGGGATGAATGATGGTGGTGGGGCTGCGTGTCCTCCTACCATTGGCTCCGATGGTTGGAGCCAATCTGGCCAGGCCGGTCCATGCATTCTTTCTTTTAAGGATTCCCTTAGGTAAAGCCTCTGCTTGTGAGTTTTCATGCAAGACAACGTTGAGTTAAAGCCATTTTAGGAAAAAAAAGAAAAAACTTGTTTTGAATGATGTCCATGCCCTTCAAAACTGAACACAAAATTAAGAAATAACTGAGTACCCAGAATGGCAGCCTGTCTCAGAGTGGTAATAAGGTCAACTGCAAACCACACGGCCTGGTGCCCTACATGCACTGGGCGGCCGAGCCCTGCTCCAGGGCCTGTAGGGCCTGGGAGGTGTCGGATGTGGCTTGCTGGCTGCAGGGCCTGGTCTGTGGCTGAGAGACCGTGGCGGTCTGTGGACAGGTGAGTGCTGGGCCCACAGGATGTAGACTGTGAGGCTGGCGAGGTGAGCCAAGACCTCTTATCTCCCATCGGGCCTTCTGTTCCCCTCTCAGGAAGCCCGTTGGTGGCCAGCTGAATGTTTAAACCCAAGTGCTGACCAAGAAAAAGTCAAGGGGAAACCTAGGGGCTCCCTGAGATGAGTCTCGAAGCTGGAAAGCCACCCAGACACGCAGGGAGGTTCAGGAGTCTTCATACCCAACCAAAAGCTCTTCCTCAGGTCTGTGCTAAAATGTGGTTTTCCCCTCAGAAAAATAAGCCATGCTCTTATACAAATGTGGAAAGTATGACAAAATAAAAGAAAGAAACTAGAAGTCATTCACAGCATCACTACCAGAGGTAACTCATGTTACCATTTTTGTGGATTTCCTTCCACGTGTGGGCATGACTTTGTGTGTGTGTGTGTGGGTGAGTGTGTGTATGTACACAGGGAGACAGGATAAAGTTGTGTTGAAAACTACTAAAGTCAGGCTGCTTGGGTCGGAATCTGGCCACCAAATAGCAGAGAGTTGAGCAAGTGAGTGAACCTCTCCACGTGTGTCACGTAGAGGTGAGGGCTACCCCGTGGCTGGTTGTGAAATCCTACATGACAAGCCTACCCAGGGCTTACACGGATGCTTAACAAAGTGTCAGCTCTTAGTATTATAGTGATTTTGCACGAATAATCACACCTGCTATATGTACAGTTGTATGTCAGCCCCTTCACTTAAAGTCACAGTGTGCACCCCATGGCACTGCACATTCTTTGAAAATACGACTTTCAAGGGCTGGTGCTTCTGTGACGTGGCTCGGCTACCGTCCGGGGGCTCTTCCCTCTTGTTGGATGCCTATGGCACTTGTGATGATCGTAACACTGCAGTGAAAGCCTCACTTGTGAGCCTCTGTCATTGTCTCTGATCATCCCTTAGAAGGAGCCCTAGGATGGCAGCAGGATGCAGTGGTTAGCATTGGGATTCACGCTGCCCCGTGGCCTGGCCGAGACGCACCCACGAGGATCCCTCGCCCGTGGCCGCCCTCCTCACCCAGCACTCCAGGCAAGAACGGGACTTCACTGCTGCTGTCATCTGCAGCTCTGGGATTATTGTTGAAGTGGAGCATTTAGGGCTCTTCTAAATAAAGTTTCAAGTTCTATTTTTGTCCATTTTTATTAATAAGATTGTCAGTCTTTCCTGACTGATATATGAATACTAGTAAACTTTGATTTAATATATTTTATAATATTTTTTGCAGGTTTTTATTGCAGTTTTGAAATTTGTTTATGCTGTTCTCTGACTTCTTGCCTTTGCTTTGTTTTTTTCTTTCTTTTTCCATGTTTAGAAAGCTTTTCTCCATCCCCAGGAAAGAAAAAGCATTCATTTTAATTTCCTCTAGTTGTTTTATAATTCAATTCAAAATTTTTAACTTTTAATTCATCTGTAATACATTTGGGTACAGGTCTTAAATTATATAAGTTAATTTAAACAACTCTTCTCTGATTTATTTTGTTGGTGGTGGTGGTGATGGTGGTGGTGACGGTGATGATGGTGGTGATGGTGGTGACGATGGTGGTGATGGTGTTGACAGTGGTGGTGACGGTGATGATGGTGGTGATGGTGGTGGTGATAATGGTGGTGGTGATGGTGGTGATGGCAGTGGTGATGGTGGTTGTGATGGTGATGATGGTGGTGATGATGGCGGTGGTGGTGATGGTGCTGCTGATGGTGGTGGTGGTGATGGTGGTGGTGGTGATGACGGTGGTGATGGTGGTGGTGGTGGTGATGATGGTGCTGATGATGGTGCTGATGATGGTGATGGTGACGGTGATGATGGTGGTGGTGATGATGGTGGTGGTGATGGTGGTGATGATGGCAGTGGTGGTGGTGGTGATGGTGGTGATGGTGGTGGTGATGGTGGTGGTGACGGTGATGATGGTGGTGATGGTGATGATGGTGGTGATGGTGGTGGTGATAATGGTGGTGGTGATGGTGGTGATGGTGGTGGTGATGGTGATGATGGTGGTGATGGTGGTGGTGGTGATAGTGATGAGAATGGTGATGATTGTGGTGATAGTGATGATGATGTGGTGGTGGTGGTGATGGTGATGGTGGTGGTGATAGTTATACTGATGATAATGGTGGTGATGATGGTGATAGTGGTGGTGAACTGTGGCCTCACATCCCCTGGCCTATGTTGGTCAGCCCTGCTGGCAGCTGCCCTCGATCTCGCTGGGCTGTGTGCATCCCCAGCTAGAGGAGGATGATAGGGGCACAGAGCCCTCTCCAGTGGGTCCCCTTTGGAAGGAGCCTGCACAGCACTCCCAGTGACCCCAAGGGAAAAACCTGCCCCCCAGGCAATGCCCTACAGTTCAGTCCGAGGTTCCAGGAGCTTCCTTTCTGCTGGATGGACCTTCAAGCATATTGACCCTTAGCCCCGGGTCATCCCATGGCCCTGGGGATGCAGCGAGGGGCCCAGCAGGCAGGGTGAGTATCTCCTGGAGCCATGTCTCCTGGAGAGCTCCTTAGTGGCTGGCAGAGAAGGATTGAGAAGACATTTTCCCCAGCAGGCCTGGGCAGAACACTGGCACACCCACCCTCATCCCTGGGCCAGCATCCTCGCCCCCACTGTGCCCCCAACTCCAGCCCAGCTTCCCCACCTTGGTGGTCCAAATGTACCATGTGCCCCTCCCCCAAAGTCACTTTCTCAGTGAGCTTCTCCCTGCTGCCTTGCCCCCAGCCACGGACTCCTGGCCAGTTTCTTCCACAGCCCGTGACCCGATGACTCACGTGTGGCTCACTGTCTGTCTCCCTCCCTGGTGGGACCGTGGTTCCTGGACAGCTCCTGGATACAGTCAGCTGGGCTTTGTTCCCTGGGCCACCCAGCTGCCCCCTCCTGTCCTCCAGTGAGAATGAAGCCCATGCAGAGGAAGGCCCACCGGGCCCCTGCCCCCTTTCTGTTGCACTAGGGTCCCAGCCACGGCATCCACACTTGTCCAGTCCCATTAGGAACACCCCAAGTGTTAGGAACACCCCAAGTGTTAGGAACATGCCTAGTGTCTGTGCTGCTCACTCAGGCCTCACAGCTGGTGCTTCCTCATTGAGTCAGCGAGCTTTCCTTCCCAGAAAGTGAGCTTTCCTTCCCAGACGGTGTCTCAGCATGGCCACTCTGCCGTGCATGGCACCAGCGCACACCCCATCCCTGGACGGTCACACTCCTGGCTATGCCCTCAGCAGACAAGGCACAGTGACCAGCGCCTGTCTTAACCTGGGAGAGACACCTGAGCGGCCAGGACAAGTTTTACTCCTCCTTGCAAACCCTGGCGAAACATCCACAGAGAGTGGAGGCTCCGCGGTGCTGTCCCCTGTGCTCCGCGACAGGGATGGAGCTACTCAATCAAATCCAAATCCCGCCGTTCCTTAGGGCCTCGGGGAATGGGATGAGAATGAAGAGACAGCGGCCGAGACAGTGGCTCCTGATCACTCCCCGGGAACAGCCTCTCAACTGCGCCATCACTGATGGCCCCGTCGGTCCCCGCATCACACGTCACAGCCTCTCAACTGCGCCATCACTGACGGCCCCGTCGGTCCCCACATCACACGTCACAATGTTTTCATACTCTAAAGCACAAGCGCATGTTTCAATGGGGTCGTGGATTTTGTAATAATATTTTAGCTTGGAACTGGTAAGAAACTAAGGCAAATTAAATTCAATGCTAGTTTACCCTTGTATTTTAAAAGATGTTGAAAATAAACAGCAAACACCACCAATGCTCTGCTGGCATTCACTAACAAGCCACGCCATCCCACCTGCTCTGAAACGCTCTGTCTTCTGGGTCCCTCCGTGACCCCCCCACACATCCTAGACATCCCTTTTCCTGTGGTCTTTTTTGGCTCTCTGTGCCCTTCCCCCAATACTTATTGGAATATTTACTTATTTTTGCCTCTTCCCTAAACTGTACATTCCTTGAGAGAAGAAGCGTTTTGATTATTATTTTTTTTATTTTTTTAACCTTATCTCCTTTTTTTTTTATTATTATACTTTAAGTTTTAGGGTACATGTGCACAATGTGCAGGTTAGTTACATATGTATACATGTGCCATGCTGGTGTGCTGCACCCATTAACTCGTCATTTACATTAGGTATATCTCCTAATGCTATCCCTCCCCCCTCCCCCCCACCCCACAACAGTCCCCAGAGTGTGATGTTCCCCTTCCTGTGTCCATGTGTTCTTATTGTTCAATTCCCATCTATGAGTGAGAACACGCGGTGTTTGGTTTTTTGTCCTTGCAATAGTTTACCGAGAATGATGATTTCCAGTTTCATCCACATCCCTACAAAGGACATGAACTCATCATTTTTTATGGCTGCATAGTATTCCATGGTGTATATGTGCCACATTTTCTTAATCCAGTCTATCATTGTTGGACATTTAGGTTGGTTCCAAGTCTTTGGTATTGTGAATAGTGCCGCCATAAACATACGTGTGCAATGCCACCCCCATCAAGCTACCAATGACTTTCTTCACAGAATTGGAAAAAACTATTTTAAAGTTCATATGGAACCAAAAAAGAGCCCACATCACCAAGTCAACCCTAAGCCAAAAGAACAAAGCTGGAGGCATCACGCTACCTGACTTCAAACTATACTACAAGGCTACAGTAACCAAAACAGCATGGTACTGGTACCAAAACAGAGATATAGATCAATGGAACAGAATAGAGCCCTCAGAAATAATGCCGCATATCTACAACTATCTGATCTTTGACAAACCTGAGAAAAACAAGCAATGGGGAAAGGATTCCCTATTTAATAAATGGTGCTGGGAAAACTGGCTAGCCATATGTAGAAAGCTGAAACTGGATCCCTTCCTTACACCTTATACAAAAATTAATTCAAGATGGATTAAAGACTTAAACGTTAGACCTAAAACCATAAAAGCCCTAGAAGAAAACCTAGGCATTACCATTCAGGACATAGGCATGGGCAAGGACTTCATGTCTAAAACACCAAAAGCAATGGCAACAAAAGCCAAAATCGACAAATGGGATCTAATTAAACTAAAGAGCTTCTGCACAGCTAAAGAAACTGCCATCAGAGTGAACAGGCAGCCTACAGAATGGGAGAAAATTTTCGCAACCTACTCATCTGACAAAGGGCTAATATCCAGAATCTACAATGAACTCAGACAAATTTACAAGAAAATAAACAGCATGAGGAGGCCCAAAGAGCTGTTATAAACTCCTCGGAAACATCAGAAAAGCCATCTGAAATTTAAAATAAATGGGAATCCACCACTAAAAAATCCGAAATCTAAATGAACAAACCAATAGCCCACAGCCTGCTCCGAGTGACGCGGCCTCCACACGGACCCTCCGCACCTGCAGAGCCGCTCCGGGTGCCCGGCCAGGCCTCCGAGGGACGAAGTCCCTTTGGGGAAAGACATTTACCTAGAACACGCCAACATCTACAAGGGGTGAAATGGTCTTAATAAAGGGTTACATCTTCTGAAATGCTGCATTTTAAAATCCCGTCTCTCTCTGTCTTTAGGGTCCGTTTCCTTCCTAAGGCAGGTGCAGAGCCCGGCCTTGCTGCGCCTTCGGGGCGCGGGCATCTCCCGGCCCAGCTCCGCCCTCCTCCCGCGCTGGAAGCCGCCGCCCGCCCTGGCCCGCGGTGAGTCCAGGGGAGGCCGCGCTCTGTGGCCACGGCTGTAATTTGAAGGGGCGGCCTCAGGCCCACCCCAGTGAGGCACCAGCACCCGCATCAGCTCCGACTTTGCGCGCTCGAGACCCCGGCCAGGGGCTGCCTCTGGGTCCGCCTGCGCCGCGAGAGGACTTGGGGCCTCGGGGACCCGGCGGGACCCTCCGGCTCTCGGCTGCGGAGCTGCGCGCCCATGGCGCGTCCCACGGCCACCCGGGCCTGGGCCTGTCGGGGACTCGGGAGGCGCCGCCCAGGTCTCAGGGGGACTCTGCCGAGGCACGGCCTGGGCCCGGGGCGCCACGCGCGGACACGAGTGGGCGGGGAGGGAAGAGCAACCCCAGCCCTGCCGCCCCGTCCAGGGAGCCTCCCCCACCCGAGGCCGGCGGCTCAGCGCTCATGGGCGGCCTGGGGGCGCCTCCGGGAAGGACTCCTGCTCCCGCAGGAATTTGTCCCACGCAGAAGAACGAGGCCCCCGGGGAGCGCCCACGAACGCAGGGAGACGGCGCGGGGCCCTCGAGCCGATGCGGGGCGCTCCTGCCTCAGCCCGGAGCGGTGCAGCCTCGGGCCCTGCTCTCCGCCCGGGAAGGCTCCGCGGGTTCGAATCTGCTGTGAAATGTCACCGGCGCGCTCGCCATCCGCGGGCAGAAGGAGCCGCTCCCGGGGGCCTTTCCACTCCGGGAGGGGACGATGCGCTCCGAACCGCTCACGGGGAGCTTGGCCTGGTGGGTTCCAGGTGGGAGGAGGCGCTGCCCGCTCGGAGCGCCCGGGGCCTGGGCAGCTGCGTGGTCCCAGCGCCGGGGTCCGCGCCGGGTGGGGCCTTGGCCACGTGGAAACCCGGGGCTGGCCGTGCCCAGGGCAGTAGCGGTGACTCCGGCGGACGTCAGTGAGGACCTGGAAGTGAGGTTCCCCCAGGAGAACCCCCGTCAGGGACCCGGGGTCCAGTCCCGAATGGGAATAAACTGTGCGGCCCACGTAGAGCAGCTCGGAGCCGTCGCCCTGGCTCTGAGCAAGCCGAGCCTTCGAAGGCCCTGGACCGAGGCTTCCCTGGAGGTCCCCGGGCCCTGCCGTGCGTCCGAAGCTCCTGTCCAGACGCGGCGGCGCTGGGGCTGGGCTCTGCCTAGAGCCCAAGATGTTTTCAATGTTCGTCTTTGATTTAAGACGAGAAAGTTTGGCTCAGCTCCGCTTCCACTCGCCGGCATCTGTGCCCCAGCGAAACTTGCCAACGTCTGGACTGTAAATAAGGGACTTTGACCTAAAAGTTTTTACAAGCTTTAAAGTTTCAGTAAAGTTGGGTAGAGATATTTCTTGGTAAGTTTGATGCCAAAAAAAAGGAAAAAAAGAAAAAAGCATGTGTTTTGCCTGAAGGAAGTTTGGCCGGCTGCTCCTCACGGCCTGGGCCCCCAGGAGGAGAACCCAGCTCTGCCACGCTGGTGTCTGCTGTCCCGACTGTAAACCAAAAATAAACTTCTAAGCCCCCAACCGACTGAATGGACCCCCTCTCTGTCAAGGGGATTTCAAAGAAACCTGAAAAACGAGGTCAGGCCACGTGCGGCTGCCTCAAGGGTCATCCCTGCAGTGTCCAAAGCACAGGCTGGTGAGGGAGTGGGGGGCTGGAGATGCCCCATTCTACCCTCCTCCCTCTGGAATTCA
Organism: Homo sapiens; assembly: GCF_000001405.40. Lineage (NCBI taxonomy): Eukaryota > Metazoa > Chordata > Mammalia > Primates > Hominidae > Homo > Homo sapiens. The sequence goes on from NC_000018.10 coordinate 79,639,324, forward strand.
GGCACAACTGACCAGTATGAACTTTAAAACAGAGATCTTAAGGCTGACAAACAGGCTGTTGGTAGCAATATAAGATACCAAATTCCCACCTGACTCTAGTATAGCATCACATGACCGGGGGCAGGCCCTGGAAGTATCCAAATATTTTACTCCAAAATATATTTATTTGGCATATTTTCTAACGGCCCTCCAAAGCTGTCTCTTGTGGGAGACATGTACATTCTGTAGAGAATCCTCTTCCCTTTCCAGGCCTTTTTCTGACGCTGAAGAGATTGGCTGAGAGTCTAGCACCTTCTAAAGGTCTAAAGAGGAAACAGTTGCCATCTATTGTCTCCAAGGGTGGCCACCTATGAGACTTCATCTACATAAGAACCTTGGTCTCCAAACCCCTTCACCAAGACACTCCTTTCTGGTGATTCCACGTCTTTAGATAATAACTTAACTCTTTCAACCAATTGCCAATCAGAAAACTCTCAAATACACCTGTGACCTGGAGGCCTCCACTGAGTCATCCCACCATTCCAGACCAACCCCACGCACACCTCACATGTACTGATTGGCGTCTGCCTGTAACTTTTGTCCCCCTAAATGTCTGAAGCCAACCTGGGCGCATGTTCTCAGGACCTCTTGAGACTGTGCCTCGGGCCTTGACCACTCATATTTGGCTCAGAAGAAACCTCTCTAAATATTTTACAGAGTTTGGCTTTTTTCCCTCAACATGACCCTGCCACCCACCAACTTGAGCTGATGAATAAAAATGGTTTCAGGTGTCTCCCTGCCCTCCTTGCCCCCACAAAGAGAAACACATTGTCTGAAACAGCCGGAATGTTAAGCTCACTTTCTTTGTTCCTGTTTTCAGCTGGAGGTTGTGCCAGGGGTTCTCTGGAGGCCCAAGTCACCCCGGAGACACAGGGACACCCCACAGCCACGACCGTCCCACATGGGAGTCTGAGTGGAAAGTGGGGGACTGGGGCACCTCGAATGGGTTAGTGGCACTTAGAAAAGAGTGATGTCTTCTCAAATTAAGGGACAGACGCCTTTCGTGGGATGAAGGGAGTGCTGTCTACCATGCTACCGTGGACCACGGAAAGTCCGGAAGGGTCGTGGCACGAGCCGGCACACTGGAACGCTGCCGTGTGTGCCATGCAGGCAGCACGGGGCTCTTTCCTGAGGAGGGCTCTGCGTGTGGCCACAGTGGTGGGCAAAGCTGGGGCAGGGACTCCAGGTGCAGCTGCCTCAAGGGTCCTCCCTGCAGCGTCTGAGGCACAGGCTGGGGTTGCGTTCTGAGCCTGCGTGACGTCAGCCACACTCACTTTGGCTCTGGGATTCCTCCTTCCCATTCAAAAAGGAGGATCCAAACAAAAACCCACACATCTGTATCCTTGTGACTGCAGAGTATCAGGGCACCTCCGGAGAAACTGGGGGCCCCGAAGAGCCCCCCAGATGCCCATGTAGATGCCCCCCAGATGCCCACCACACCCTCCTCCCGTAACAAGTAGCCACAGTGAAACTTTCCAAATCCCCAAATAAAGCCGCAGTGCGGAGCGAGTCCTGCCCGGAATGGTGGGCTCCTCTGCTGTATTCTTAAAATTGAGGTAAAACATAAATAACATAAAATGTGCCATTTTAACCATTTGTAAGGGCACGGTCCAGAGGGCTAAGCACATTCACGATGTTCTGTGCAGTCCTCACCACCGACCGTCTCCAGCACTTTCTCATCCTCCCAACCTGAAGCTCTGTCCCCGTGAAATGCTCACTCCCCTGCCCCGGCCCCCGGCACCCCCACCTGCTTTCTGTCTCTATGGACCTGTGGACTCCAGGGACCTCCTGTGAGTGAGACTCACACGTGATTGTCTTTACTGGGCATGATGTCCCCAAGATTCATCCATGGTATAGCCTGAGTCAGATTTTCCTTCCTTGTCCAAAGCTGAATATTCCACTGTAGGACGGATCACGTTGTGTGGGTTCATTCCGCCCTGGATAGACACGTAGGTGGTGTGTGCCTTTTGGCTTTTGTGAACAAAGTTGCTGTGAACATGGGGGTGTAGGTGCTTCTTCGATATCCTGATTTCAATTATTTTGGGCCTATGCTCAGCCTTCACTGTATTTTAACATGATTTTATCTTTCTTTAAGCGACTTTTTACATACGTCCATAAAATTTTAACTTGTTTAGTTGAGCGGTAACTGTAATTACAGTGGACCCTTGAGGAATGCAGGTTTAAACTACATGGGTACATTTATTAAGCCAGTAGTTTGCACATGGCAGGTCCTCCTGGCTGCAGGGACTGAGTGTGGGGACTGGTCCCATATTCGAGGTTCTGGGACGCGTCCCCCAGGGACATCAAGGGACGGACAACTGTGCCATTTTTCATATTTGCCACCAGCACCATCTCTAACTGGGTTTTCTGCTAATCAACGCCCCTGATTGTCAGGAGGAGAGGAGACCGGGCAGTGAGGCCCCAGTGCAGACCCCGGGCAGGCTGGGCTCACTTTAGCCTCCCCAGGCTCCCTCCCAGCCTCCTGGCCTCGGGTTCCAGGCCTCTTACCATGAGGACGATGACAGGCCCGGAGCTCCCGTTCTGATTTAAAACTGCGGACCCAGCCGAGACCCTGCAGGGCCTCCAGCCCCACCTGCTCCTTCCAAGCCCGGTCTCAGCCCGGTCAGCGCCGCCCCCTCCGCCCTGAGGAGGAACCTGGCCCTTCGGAAGTCTTCCACTGTGTTCTCTGGGGAAACCACGGCGCCTCTCTTGCCAAAGCCTGGTTCCTTCTCTCCCTCTTTACCAGGCTGGGTTTTGCCGGCATTGTCTGTCGGATGCTATGGAGATGGGAAAATGAATTTCATCTTTCATCTTGCACACACCTGTCTGAAGGCCCAATGTTGCCCTGGTGTGGGGACAGCGAGGGGCAAACTCGAGAAGCCCCTGTGGACGCACAGGTGGCCTCGTGACACCCCCAGGGGAGGCGCCCCAGACCCCCCCCCCCCGCCCGACGCCAGAACCCACGGGGCGGGGCCTCGCCTGGAATGGGGCATCCTCTCTAGAGGACTTGGGATACCTCGAACTATGCAATGCGGTGTAAATACTGTTTACACGGTATTTTATTGGGTTTTTTTTATTGTTGTATTGTGATTTTTCTTCCCCTCTGGGGTTGGTGGAACCCTCAGTTGCAAACAGGAATGCAGAGGTGGATGGTGGTTCCACGATTTGGAAATCATGAAAGACTACAGAGTCCTGCCAGCTTCTTGGTAGAACTTTGTTTTTTATAAGCTCGATAGAAGATCTTATTAGCTTGATGATTCTTTGAGACCAGGTGCTATTCTTATCTAATTTATTTATTCATTTATTTCCTCAACAAATATTTCTTAAATGACTTTTATATTCTCCCCCAAGCATCTTAAGCAGATGCTTAATAATAGGAAATAACACTCCCTTTATACAATAACATTACGCAACGCCATCATTTGTTCTCATAAAGGCAATTAGTGCATGAATTTCCACCCCCACCCTCAAAAAATTGCAACACTGTGTGCGGTGGAGAAATCCTGGGCTGTCTCAGGTTTCCTCACTCCACACTCTCCCCAAGACAAAGTGGGTAGTTACCGCGCTAGAAGGTGGCCAAGAGCATGTGAGTCTACAGGCAAGTACCTTACTCTCCTGGGGTGAAAATAATTCGGAGAAAGTAGAATATATGAAAAGAAAGTGTGGAGTTAAAGAACCAAAGCTCACAGACCATCTCCCCAGTAACCAGAGTTACTTAAATGCTTTGAATGCCACTTCTCTCATCTAGAAAATAGGGGTGAGGCCTCTAACTTCCCAGGACTGCCGCCCACGTCAAACCCTACCCCGAGCATGTGAAGCCTCTGAGGCCTGCGATTTTGGCTGACAGAGGCACAGGCGGAGGCCAGGGCAGCGTGGGGAGCAGGAAGCCCCCGTGGCAGAACAAGAAGCTCCCCGTGGGGGAACAGGAACCCAAGCCCCATGGGGGAACAGGAAGCAGGTGAACTTGCTGCCTCCCCTCCCAGCTGGTGCGTCCCCAGCAGACAGAGGCCCCAAAACACCGAGTGACTCAACCTACAATCAGGCTTGTTTCCAAAACCTTGATTTCCAGGTTTCAAAATTGTAAGCTAAGCCCCGTCCATGGCCATGTGCCGCCCAAAGACCCCCCTCAGCCCCTCAGCCTGTATTCTTGCCCCCATAACTGCAAGCACTGCCCGGGATGGCCAGTTCCATAAAGAGCCAGCTTCCTGATTGCATTATCCGAGGACGAACCTCCCCAGGACTGAGGAGTTCGTCCCCCGCGGCTGATCACACAAATGGATCAAGGGCCTCCTGCTTGGAGGCCGGAGGGGAGAGCAGGTGAGACAGAGTCATCGATTCCCAGGCAACGTGGAGCACACATCTGCGCCTGGAAGGGGGCTGTCCCATTCTCGTGGAAGTCAAGGGATTTTTACTTCATCCTCCCACAGGCATCCTTCCTGCGCTGTTTCAGAGCCTAGAAGCTGGGGTGCCCCACAGGACTTGGCCATGTCTGCACCTCAACCGACAGTCACTTAATATGTTTCTCGAATTAATTTTAAATGTAATTTTGCTTTTCCACTTAGGCTCATTGTAAGTAAAACGAGTGACATCATGGACTAATGTGCCTGTTATATTACTCTCTGTAACACATTCGAATTAATGTATAATAATACGTAAGAAATAACTAGTAAAATAAAGAACGTGTGTGCACATTCTTCCTAAAGAGCCTCTCTTGCACGGACAGGACTAGGCATAAGGTATTTGGGGAAACTGTCTCGCGAGAAGTGAGGGGCGGAGGCAGGTGTCCGGAGGCCTGCAGGTGCCACGGGGCTGAGGCCGGCCTCCTGCGCGGAGTCCCTCCCTCTGACCTCCCCGGGGTGCGAGCCCCACCTGCAAGGCGGTGGAGAGACGTCTCCATCTAGTGGCCGCCTGCTTCCATTACACTGGGAAGCAAGTTCCTGACCCTGAGGGTCCCGGGTTCCTTTTGGTGATGAAAACCCTCCGGAACTGAATAGCGGTAATGGCTGCACAACCTTGTAAATATACTAAAAACCCCTGAATTGGGCATTTTAAAGGCATGAATTATATGGTACGAGTTATATCTCCATTTTTAAGAGAACTTTTGTGAAAGGTTTCAATATATGAGCAGAAAAACCTTGTTCACGTCTTCTTATGGTGAAATGAAAGCATCTGAAGCACAGTGAGTGTGTCTTTTTTACTTTGTCCAGAAACATGAAGTTTAAAACATCCAGGGACCACAAGTCTTCGAGATAGAAATGTTTCATTTGTGCTTTTCTGTAAGCCACAGCTATAGTTACTACTGAATACCATTCTTCCAGGACCCTTTTATCTGATATTCTAATAAGTTGTTTCTTTTTAAAGGCACTTCTCCCTAAAAAGTGTTCTCAGGCTGCAATTACACGGATCTGAAGTGTGCGGCATACGGCTTTGCTCTCACTCTGCAGTGGAGCTTGTGGGTGTGGTGAAATGATGATGTTTTATTCTAAGGGGAGGCCGAGAACCATCTGCTTCTCGACGGAAACCATGTGTTATTACAAGACGCTACGTCAGGCGTTTTAACATGATACACTCCTTGCAATTATACTTACTAAACAGAACACCACTGCAGAATTTCCCTAATGTTCTCCTCACACACCAACTCAAGAATCTTCCCCTGCACCTCAAATGGTGCAATTATTTTGTAAAGGTCTTTGTCAGTGGATTCAAAATAACCAGAAACAATAATGATTATTATTTAGAATTCCAGTGTAATTTTCCAGCTGAGATGCAGCCTCAGGTGTGGACAGAGTGGAAAATGAGGTGATTTGTGTCCAGCCCGTCTTCAGGGAGGGGAGACCCTGCTACTGGCTCCTCATTGCCCGGCAGGGAGTGTCCTCCCCCAAAAGATGCTGGAATGTGGCTCCACGGGAGCCATGAATCCGTGTGACCCTAGGCTCGTCACTGTCACAGTGCACATTTCATGGCCTCAAACGGGTCTTCCTTGTGTGTAAACTTCAGAGAGAAAGTGCCTTCATGGGGTGAACACAGAAGTGCCACCCCAGGAAGCCTCTGCTGCCCAGCAGCAGGAAGGGGGGTCGAGTCTGAGGCCCCAAGGAAGGAGGAACTGAGCTCTGCTGTAGGGAGCCCCGTCCAGGGATGAGCAAGGCGGGAGGGGAAGGCCGGGAAGCGGCCAGGGAACTCTCTGAAGGCCGCCTTCACTCTGGAGCCTGGCCGAGGCTCAGCTGGCTTGACCACGCTGCGATATGCATCTCCCTCCGCCCAGCCCTGATTCCTCTCCTTTCCTCACACAGCCGTTGACCCTAAACAGATCTCACCTGCAAAATCCAACTGCATGTCAGCCACAGTCTACAGTGCACAGTGGAGACCTCAAAGACAGGATTATTCAGCCCAAAATGTTACTAGCGCTGTGGTTGAGAGATCCGGAAACAGGCTGACCGCGAAGAGAGAGGAGGCACAGTTAGTAAGGCCGGTGATGAGAGGGAACATCACCACCTCGTGCTAAGGGAATGGTATGAGCAAACATATGCCAATAAAGACGAAATGCAAAAATGCCTAGAAAGACACAAATGGCCAAAACTGACTTGAGAAGAAATGGAAAATCCTAATAGGCCTACGACAAGTAAAGACATTTAAAAATCTTCCCAAAAGAAAAGCCCTGTCCCCAATGGCTTCATTGGTCGACTTTATCAAATATTTAAAGAAGAAAATAATACCAATTCTACACAACTTTTTCAGGAAAACAAAGAGTAAGTAATACTCCCCAATTCATTCTATGAGGCCAGGATCACCCTGATACCAAAGCCAGATTAAGCATTACAAGAAAACTTCACACCAATATCTTCCACAAACATAGATACAAAAACCCCTAACAAAATATTAGCAGACCAAATGCAACCACATATAAAATGGATTATAAACCAGGATCAATTAAAGTGTATCCCAGAAATCCAAGATTGGTTTAATATCTGCAAATCAGTTCATCAATAGATATGAAAAAATCATTAACAAAATCCAATACCTTTCATGATAAAAACTCACAGCAAACAAGAAAGAAGGAACGTCCTACATCTTTTAATGGACATGCACAAAAAACCTACAGCTAACATCATGGTTAATCACGAAAGACTGAGGGCTTCCCTCCTAAGATGTTAAACAAGACAAAACTGTCTGTTCTCACATTGTGCTGGAGGAGAAAAATAAATGTTAGAATTCATTAGTTTATTCACTTCCATGTAATGTACCAAGTAGACCTCAGGTGACAACTGTGCCACAGAACAGCTGGGAGGTGCCAGAAGCTCTCCGGCTGTGCCAGAAGAAGGGAGTGTTTAAATGAAAGTTGGGCTTGAAAATGTGAATCAGATTCACCCTAAAATGTTTTCTTTTCTTTTTTTTTTTTTTTTTTGAGTCAGTCTCGCTCTGTCACCCAGGCTGGAGTGCAGTGGCGCGATCTCAGCTCACTGCAAGCTCCGCCTCCCAGGTTCACACCATTCTCCTGCCTCAGCCTCCCAAGTAGCTGGGACTACAGGTGCCCGCCACCACACCTGGGTAATTTTTTTTTGTATTTTTAGTAGAGACGGGGTTTCACCATGTTAGCCAGGATGGTCTCGATCTCCTGACCTCGTGATCCGCCCACCTTGGCCTCCCAAAGTGCTGGGATTACAAGTGTGAGCCACTGCACCTGGCCTGTTTTCTTTTCTTAATGCCTGACTTGTAACAATAATTTCTCACATTGTGCTGGAGAAGTGGTGAGAACAGCCAGCCTTGTCTTGTTCAGCATCTTAGGAGGGAAGGCCTCAGTCTTTCATGATTAACTCCTTTCCAAGGAAGGAAGGAAGGGAGGGAGGGAGGCAGGAAGGAAAGGGGGAGGGAGGAAGGAAGGGAGGGAGGGAGGGAGGGAGGGAGGGAGGGAGGGAGGGAGGAAGGAAAGAAGAAAGGGAGGGAGGGAGGGAGGGAGGGAGGGAGGAAAGGGGGGAGGGAGGGAGGGAGGGAGGGAGGGAGGAAGGAAAGGAAGGAAGGAAAGGGGGGAGGGAGGGAGGGAGGAAAGGAGGGAGGGAGGAAGGGGAGGGGGGAGGGGAGGGGGAAGGGGAGGAGAGGGTTAAAACCATAAATACTGAAAAGAAGAAATAAAACTGTCTATTGGAGATGACCTAATCGTCTATGTAGAAACTCTTAAGAAATTTACAAAAAAGAGCCCTACTGAACTAATAAACAAGCTTATCAAGATTGTAAGATATAATATCATTACACAAAAATCAATTATATTTTATATAATATCAATAAACAACCTGAAAATTGAAAACAATTCCATTTACAATAGCATCAAAAATAATAAAATAGTATTAAATATAACAAGACATGCAATATTCGTTCACTGAAAGCTACAAAACATCACTGAGTTTTCATCAGCAAAAACCGCAAACATCGTAGAAGAGCAAAACCAATGGAGAGACATTTGTGCTCTTTGAAAGGTTCAATATTATTTACATATTGTCTCCACAAATTGCTGTGATTCAATGCAATCACTATCAATTTTTTTGTGGCAATTGCTTTTGTGGCAATTGACAAACTGAACTATTTATTTACATGGACCTGAAGAATCCAAAACAATTTTGAGAAAGAACAAAGTTGGAGAATGGATGCCACTGGATTTCAGACTTCCTATAAAGCTACAGGGATCAAGATCATCTGGTATCAGCATAAGGACAGACATAAAGATCAATGGAACAGAACTTGAAATTCCAGGATGCTCACGGTCTACAGTGTAAAATGCTGCACTTTAAGGCATCCCCTGAGAGCGATTTCTTTCTGTTAAGGACTCTCTCAAGTCCGGCCCACCCTCGGTTCTATCTTGTGCCGTCTGTCCATGGCTCCAATCCCTTCTCTGTTTTGAATCACATTAAGACAGTCATCTGGGGACCTGCTTCTTAGAAACTCTCTCCAGTGGCTGTAATGGAAACCTGGCAGTGATAAGAAAAGAAGCAAACTAGAAGGTAATTTGTACATAAATTGCAAGTGAAATTTATAGAGGAAGAATGTTTCCTCTAACACAACATTTTACGTTGTGTATTATGAAAATTTTCAAACATATGCGAAAGCACCAACAGTTCTCAGTCCCCCTGCACCCTCCAGCACCCTCGGTCCTCAGTCCCGCTGCCCTCCCCCCTCTAGCACCCTCGGTCCTCAGTCCCACCGCCCCCTCCAGCACCCTCGGTCCTCAGTCCTGCTGTCCTCCCCTCCCCAGCACCCTCGGTCCTCAGTCCCACTGCCCTCCCCCCTCTAGCACCCTCGGTCCTCAGTCCCACCGCCCCCTCCAGCACCCTCGGTCCTCAGTCCTGCTGTCCTCCCCTCCCCAGCACCCTCGGTCCTCAGTCCCGCTGCCCTCCCCCCTCTAGCACCCTCGGTCCTCAGTCCCGCTGCCCTCCCCCCTCTAGCACCCTGGGTCCTCAGTCCCGCTGCCCTCCCCCCTCTAGCACCCTCGGTCCTCAGTCCCGCTGCCCTCCCCCCTCTAGCACCCTTGGTCCTCAGTCCCGCTGCCCTCCCCTCTCCAGCACCCTCGGTCCTCAGTCCCACCGCCCCCTCCAGCACCCTCGGTCTTTTGTCCTGCAGCCCCCTCCAGCACACTCGGTCCTCAGTCCTGCTGTCCTCCCCTCTCCAGCACCCTCAGTCCTCCATCCCACCACCCTCTCCAGCACCCTCGGTCCTCAGTCCTGCAGCCCCCTCCAGCACACTCGGTCCTCAGTCCTGCTGTCCTCCCCTCCCCAGCACCCTCAGTCCTCAGTCCCGCTGTCCCCTCCAGCACCCTCAGTCCTCAGTCCCACTGCCCCCTCCAGCACCCTCAGTCCTCAGTCCCACTGCCCCCTCCAGCACCGTCAGTGCAGCACCATCTAATCTCGGTCATACCCACTAGTCCCTAAACCAGGTTACTTTGAAATAAATCTCAGGTATCATACTATTTCATCTCCAAATATTTCAGCATATATCTCTAAATGATAAGAATCTTCTTTAAGTAATATTCAAATAAGTCATCAGTTTTATGTTTTGGAATTATTTTTAAATAAACAGAAGAAATCCTCCCTTAAGTTGCATGGACAACCCACATTCAGCACTAAGCCTAGAGGTCTCCTTTAAAAGGCATTTTAAGACTCATCTGATGATTTAAAGTCAAATAAGTCCTATGCTTATTTTTCCAAAATATGTACTTTTTCCAGCTGCAAAGAATGCATTACAATACGCAATCGCAAATGGCCTGCTGCTGTATGGCCAGAACAAATGTGTTAGGAAAATAAATGTTAGAATGCATTAGTTTTTTCACTTCCATGTAATGTACCGAGTAGACCTCAGGTGACAACTGTGCCACAGAAGAGTTGGGAGGTGCCAGAAGCTCTCTGGCTGCACCAGACAAAGGGAATTTTTAAATGAAAGTTGGGCTTAGAAACACGAATCAGACTCACCCTAAAATATGTTTTCTTCTCTTAATGCCAGACTTCTCATAACAATTTCATAAATTAAACCTGAGCTGTATGGGAAGGCTCAAACAGCAAAACATTCAATGCCATCTCTCCCTGCTATAATTAAAAACACACCTGGTGAAAATTCTAAGACAAAACGGGATCCTTCTAACTCAGAGTCGCTAGAGTTACCACCACAATCAAATGCACCCTAGAAGCTTTTGGCGGTGTGTGCGCGTGGGCTCAGGGCTCGTGACCCTCTGTTCCGGCCCACGCTTCTGACCGGTGATTAGAAAGCGGCACGTTCTATCCTCGGCCCTGTCAGCCCTGCAGGGCGCACCAGCTGCTCTCACGGGCCACAGAATCACAGATGCGGTCCTCACCTCTCGGGAGCGGCCTTCTCCTAGACAGCACACGAGCCATCTACGTTTTCCCGGTTGTCTTTTTCATTCCAAAGTCCACATGTGCGCTACCACCTCCTTTAAAACATAAAAACAGAAAAGCAAAACGACGAAAAAGGTAGCAGTTCCCTTTAGCCACAGTGCAGCGCATTTGTTTTCATTATTCCTCCGTTTTACTGAGAGTAATGTGCCATCCAGACAAGCCCATGGGAGCGGTAAAAAGAGTCAGGGAATAGTCGATTGAGCTGGAACGGCCCCCATGCTCACGCACCTTATAGAGCAGATTCAACTGGCCTGTGTGTTAGGATGCACGGTGCAAACTGTTCTGACGGTAATCCATCATGGAATAGCATCTTCCATGCAGATGTACTTTTTGCTTATAGACACCTTGTCTTACGGAGCTCTCTCCCCACAATGACAAGATTCTGACAGTGGAGGCATCGCTTTCTCCGCGTCACATCAGCAGGGCCCCTCCACTCACGGGGACTTTCCACATTTTGCTCTTTTTCTCTGCCTCATGTATCGAAATAAAAGCAACCGCAAACACATGCCTCTTCTGGAATGCGTGCTCTGTCTCAAAACCCAGCCCAAAAGGAAGAAGAGGAGGAAGAGGAGGAGGAGGGGGAGGAAGAAACTGGTTTTCCCTGTTGGCCTATTTTATGCAGTTAAAAACACACCGAAGAAAAATCGGAGGGGATGTCTACTTATGGCAGTAAGGCAGGCCAGACACTTGGAAGGGTCCTCACCAACAAAACCATCCGATCCTGCCTGAGACTTGGTTTTCCTGCCAGTATTGGGCTTGAATGAAATAAGGGACTTCTTCAAGGCTCCCTTCGTGACCTGAATTCAGAGGAGGGAAATCCCATAATGAAATGGAAAAGGTGAGGTTGCCCTGGGAGGACTTGCCACATCAGAGCCACCTAAAGGTTGTCTGGGCCAGGAGGTGAGCTGGGGCTCCAGGCCCAGCAGAGGAGGCAAATGTGCTCCCCACTGGGGTCCCCAGCTTGAGCCAGTAGTAAACACCACCGGGTTCTCACAGAGTGACATCAGGCAAACCTGAGCTCACGGCCAAAGAGCAGCAAACACACGCAGAGGAACGCGTCCGTGAGCAAAAGTCAGCACGCACGACCCGAACACAAAACAGACTCAGACCCGCAGAGGCACCAAAATTAGAGGTTAGAGCTGGAGAAATTGTGCAGAATGCATAACAGAAAAACAGGGAGGCAAAAAATATTTGAAAGATTAAGAGGAAGAGATTATAGAATAAGGTCTAACGAATATCTATTCATAGTTCTAGGAAGTGAGACCAAAAAGGAAGAGGGAAAAATGATTAATTAAAGAGATGATGCTTGAAAACCTGCAAGAATTGATGAGAGTCGTGAATACACAATAAATTCCAAACAGAGTAAATAAAAAGAAATCCACCCATAGACACATGCAAGAAATCCACCCATAGACACTTCCATTGACATGCAAGAAAATGTCAGAACACTGAGGCCAGGCACGGTGGCTCACGCCTGTACTCCCAGCATTTCGGGAGGCTAAGGCGGGTGGATCACCTGAGGTCAAGGGTTTGAGACCAGCCTGGCCACCATGGTGAAACCTTGTCTGTGCTAAAAATACAAAAATTAGCTGGGCATGGTCGCGGGCACCTGTAATCCCAGCTACCTGGGAGGCTGAGGCAGGAGGCTAAGGTTGCAGTGAGCCAAGATCGCTCCATTGCACTCCAGTCTGGGCGACAAGAGCGAAAACTCCGTCTCAAAAAAGAAAAAAAAAAAATTCAGGGCACCGAAGACAAACAGAAGACAGATCACCTATAAAGCCAACAATAAGACTAACAGATTTTATTTTCTTCTTTTTTTTTTTTGTTTTGGTTTTATTCAAGACAGAGTCTTGCTCTGTCACCCAGGTTGGAGTCCAGTGGCACAGTCTTGGCTCACTGCAACCTCCACCTCACAGGTTCAAGCCATTCTCATGCCTTGGCCTCCCGAGTAGCTAGGATTACAGGAGTGTGCCATTATGCCTGGCTAATTTTTGTATTTTCGGTAGAGACAGGATTTCACCATGTCGGCCAGGCTGGTCTTGAACTCCTGACCTCAGGTGATCCACCCTCCTCGGCCTCCCAAAATGTTGGGATTACAGGCGTGAGCCACTGTGCCATGCCCAGATTTTCGACAGCAAAAATAGAAACTGGAATCCAGTGGAATCATGTCTTCTAAAAACAAATTGTCATTCTACTGCTGTCTACCCAAACCGTCTTTCCACAATGAGAGCAAATAAAACATTCTCAAAGAAACAGAAACTGAGAGTTAAACTCCAATAAAACTTTCCTAAAGGAGTTCTAAAGAATGTTCTCTAAGCAGGTGGAAACTAATCCCATAAGGGCATGATAGACTTATGCATAACATCGTGTGGTGTGTAGCATGTATTATGCAGCGTGTATTACGTAGCGTGTATTACGCAGCATTACGTAGCGTGTATTACGTAGCGTGTATTACACAGTGCGTATTACGCAGCGTGTATTACGCAGCGTGTATTACGTATAGATTACATATTCTATAACTATTTTAGATGTCTGTTAGATATGCATTGTTTTAGTAGAACCAGTTCCTTTACATTGAGATAGATCTTTTTCCTAATAAATTGTTACTTTAAAAAAGGAAGTTATAAAATATCAGATGAAATGACAAACAAATAAATTGTTAAATATATGTTAAATCTAAACAAACACTGTCTATAAGATAATAACCACAATATCTAACTTAGGAGTTTTAAAAGTTATAGAGCTAAAATATTGAACAATGTTAGTTTGAAAGTCTGGAGAAGAGTGTTCTAAGGTTTATGTTGTTGAGAAGGAAACTGAAGTATTAAACTTAAATTTATTATGTTAGAAATGCAAAGTAAAATTTCAATGGCAATCACCAAAAGAACAACAATGAAGTGAACACAAATTTTTAAAATAGACAAAAAAGCAGATCTCCATAGATTCCCAAAGGAAAAGTGTGTAACAGAGGAGAAAAAATACATACACACGCACATATATATATAGAGAGAGAGAGAGAGACAGAGAGAGGGAGGGAAGACACACACACACAAGCAAAGTTGATAAAACCGCAGGCGAAATTGGCAAATGCACTTTTAAAGTGAGAGATTTTGACACATCTCTTTAGACTACTGCTTTTTCAATTAGAAAAAAAGTAAACATATAGTAAATTTGAATAACACATTCAACAAGCTTAATTTATTAGATAGACATAGAATGCTGAACCAAATCAGAAAATAATACACATTCCTTTGAAGCAAATATTAACCATATACTACTGGGCTTTATGCTAACTGCATTAAATTTCAGAATAATAGTATCATACATTTTATGTTATCTAACCATAGTGCAATTAATTTAGAAATCAACAATACAAAGATAAAGAAATTTCCTATACATTTGGAAATTTTAAGATGTACTTTGAACTAACTCCTTCATCAAAGAAAAAGATTGCGATAGAAATAAAGCCATACTCGAATGATTGACTATTTTGAAACTTGTGAGAGGAAGCAAAAGTGAGATCTAGTAGGGCATTTATAGCTCTGAGATTTGATTCAAATGAACACAGGCTTAAAATTAATGAGCTAAACATCCAATTTAAGATGATGAAAAAGAACAATAATGAATCCAAAGAAATTGGCAAATTCCTAGAAAATATAATTTCCAAAAGTGAAACATCTCATTTTGAGATGAGACAGGTCTAAACAGACATTTAACTATGAAAGAAATCTAATCAGTAAATTAAAATTTTCCCACAAAGAAATACCAAGACAAGAAAGGCTTAAAGTTATATCAAACATTTTAAAAAGGTCATCCCACACTTATAAAAATGCTTTCAAAAATGGAATTAGAGACAGAAAAGAGGAAAGCTTCCCAACTCATTCTATAAGCCCAATACACCTTTGATTTCCAATTCAGCAAGGATAACACAAGAGAGGAACACAGGCGTTTCTCACTTGTAAACATGGCCATAAAAAGATTAAGTCAAATATTAGCTAACTACAAATCTACTTATGGAATTGGGTTTATCCCAGAAATACATAACTGAATCTGGTTTTAGAAACAGAATAATGTATACATTACACATATGCAAATATATGTATTTCCCTGTCTTAACAAAATGAAAGAGAAAAACCATATGGTCATCTCAACAGAGGCAGACAACCATTTGATATTATTCTAAAACAGTCATAAAAATCTTTTAGAAGACTAGGGATGAACTGAAGTTTCTTTAACCTGAGAAAAGACAGGCCAGAAAAACCCTTAGCATAAATCTTTCCTGATGGAGAAATGTCGGAAACTTTCCCTTTACCATCTGGAATAAGACAAGGAGACCCACTATAACTGATTCTGTTAATCACTGCACTATGGGGCTAAACTACCCACAGCAATGCAAGAAAAGAAAGAAAAGCTACAAAACTTGGAAGGGAAGCATAAAACAATCATCATTCATAAATGATATGTGTTTTTACCATGGAAACTGCAAATAATCTACCGATATACTATTAGAAATAAAAGATCTTAGTAAGGTGAGTGCGTGGCGCCAGTTCATGAAAATCCACTGCAGTTCTGTAAGCCAGCAGCAATCAGCCGGAAAACGGCAGTTTTTAAAAAGCTATCGTGTGCAATAGCAACAGAAAATAAAGTAACCAGGAATAAATACAAAACAAAAATGAGCAAGTGCTATACGGAGAAAATCATAAAACCTTATTGGAGGACTTTGAAATGGACCTAAGCAAGTGAAATGGTAGACCAAGTTGACAGATGGGAAAATTCAAATCACAAAACTGCCAGTTCTCCTCAGAGCGACTTAGATTCCACACAGCCCTGTTAAGGCCCTAACAGGTTTTATCAATAAACTTGACACATTAATTCTACAAGTTATGAAACAACAAATACCAAGAACAGCCACAAAACTTCTGAAGAAACTTCTAAAGAATCGTGGGGCCCTGGCCCTCCCAGATGTCATGACTTACGGAGCTCTAGCAATTCCAACAGCGCAGTAGAAGCCAGAATAGAAAATCTGGCCTGGCCGGTGCGTGGCTCACGCCTGTCATCCCAGCACTGTGGGAGGCCAAGGTGGGCGGATCACCTGAGGTCAGGAGTTCGAGACCAGCCTGGCCAACATGGTGAAACCCCGTCTCTACTAAAAAATACAAAAAAATTAGCCAGGCTTGGTGGCACATGCCTGTAGTCCCAGCTACTCGGGAGGCTGAGGCAGGAGAATCACTTGAATGAGGGAGGCAGAGGTTGCAGTGAACTGAGATCACGCCACTGCACTCCAGCCTGGGCAACAAAGCAAGACCCTGTCTCAAAAAAAAAAAAAAAAAAAAAACAGAGACTGGTATATATCAGAGATGACATCACAGATCAAAGAGAACAGAAGTTTTTCAATATATAGTGCTGGGACAATTGGTTATTCATATGGAAAATGAATTGGATTCCTGCCTTACATCATATATGAAACATCCATTTCTTATTAAGTAAATGGTTAGCTGTGAAGGGCAAATTTCATACATTTTAAAAGTATAAAAGGAAGATATCTTTAAAATCCTCATGTTAGGGAAGGCATTCTTAAAATTAACAGCTTCTGTTCATCAAAGTGTCTCAGAAAGAAAATGAAAAAGACAAACACAAAATTGGTAGACAACATGAGTAACATATAAACAATAAAATACTTTCCTTCAGAAGCCACAGGGAACTACTACAAATCAGTAATAAAAAGACAAACACCCCAACAGAAAAATGAGCAACAAACATGAACAGGCATTTCACAGGAAAAAAAACTCAAATGGCAGATAAAAAATAGAAAAATAAGCTAAACCATATGGTCATTAGGAGACTGACAATCAGAACTACAAGTTTTCATTTTAACACAGGTTTTTACTTGGCATGGCAGAGACCAAGTTGGATAACATAGACTTGTTGAGGATGTGGATGGAAAGTAACTCCTTTGTTGCTGGTGGGATTATAAATTAAAACAACCATTTCAAAAAATTGGTTGTCACTTCATTCATCTGAACATTTGCACACTCTATGATTCTGCAGTCCCCTCCACACACACACCCTCCTCCACACGCACACCCTCCGGAGGCTTTAACTCAGGTGCACCAAGAATCATACAGAATGTTCGCTGCAGTACTTCCCATGAAAGCAACTAAATGTCCATGTATAAAGACTCAGGAACACATTCTGTTACACCAAATGTCCATGTATAAAGATGGCATGAACACGTTCTGTTACAGCCACGTAATAGGATATTATACAGCAATCCCAATCAACAAACCACAGCCAAACAAAATCATTTAGAGGAAGATGCAGATACACAATGATTAGTGCAACAACCATCACTGAAGAATATATATGATGCTATTTTTATAAACCTCAGAAACAAGCCAAACTAAACAATATCTTTGTATGTGTATATATATATATATCTTTGTATATGTGTGTGTGTGTATATATATATCTTTGTATGTGTGTGTGTATATATATATATATATATATATATACTCATGCAATAAAACACCATAGAAAAGGAACATGATCAACACCAGGTTGAGGCTGGTGGATCTGCTGGTGGGGAAGCAAAGGGCAGAGTGGGATGGGGAGCTCTCCAGCGGTTGTTGTGATGTTGGTGACACCCTGGATTTCAGGTCAGCTGATGGGCTCATTGTAGGGTTAGGCTTCATAGCTCACCCAATATGTTACACACAGTCTGCTCTGTACTGTATGGGGAGCCTGGAAGCTGGAAACCCTGGAGAAAAGTGGCCACACTCAGCACCTGGCCAGGCCTGAGGACCCGGGGCTGTGAAAGAAGCTAGGCCAGGGAGGCTGTGAGGGATGGCAGGATGGAGATGGCGGCCAAGGAAACAGAGGCGGGGGTCAGAGAACACGGGGGTTCCACACTCCTCCTTGAGAGGTCTGAGTCCAGGAGGGCTTTGTGATACTGAGAAAAAGGAGGCGAGGTAAATGACAATGGCAGTCCTCTGACTCCGGACCGCGTTGTTCAGTTGGCCTGATCCCAAGTGAAACAGCATTGCCGTCCACCGTGCCCTTGGTCCACAGAAGAGCGGCAGGTGTAGCTGCTCCGTGGGCCAGTGGGAGGGTGGGATGTCTGCGTGGGGATGACCAGACAGGGCCGCCCTGGTCTCAGCTGCAGAGCCTCCTGGCCCAGACCTCGCCCTGCACAGAGAAGGCCGGCAAGACTGCACTCCCTGCTGCTCTGTCCACAAAAGGTTGGCAGGGAACTCCCGCTGAGACAGAAGAGACCTGCTTTTGTTTTGCCCCAGCCTGCAGTGGCTCCAAGTTATGCCAAAATGAAACCACGTCAGTCACAGAGAGCCCACAGGTCGGCGCCAGCAGCTTCTTTCACTCGTGAAAGCAGCAAGGCCAGCAGAGGTGATACCCTGGGAGGATTGAGTCTTCCTTCCAGCAGGACACTTTAACACCCTGGGCCTAATGCACCGATTCTTACCCGGTGCTTTTCACTGGCGTCCTTGCCATTTTCCCCCAGCAACGTGCATCCCAGCTGCATCTCAGGAGAGACGGAGGAAGGTCCGGGCTCACGCGCATCCCAGCTGCGGCCCAGGTGAGGTGGAGGAAGGCCCTGCTCATGTTGCCCTCACCACTACCTGCTGAGGGAGCGAGTTTCTGGGAGTGATATCTTGAGCCTCTTCTGCTTGATCTCCTGGGAGGGCTCATCCGTTCAGGTCCACAGGACATTTTAAAGAGCTCCCTGTGCGATCGTGAGGTATATTGAAGTTTAAGAACCACTACTTCAGGAGGTTTGTGCTATTATAAGGCCAATATTCTGCTCTATTTTATGTTCTATAAATGTGAATTTTATACTTTGGATTTTCTAAAAGAAGGACATGTGTTCTTATGTTGTTTATCAATATACTAAAAATATTAGAATAAAAACAACACGTGGAAATGGCTGCTTTAAATGTCTAAGATGCTCACCCCAACAAACTGGCAACGGCTACTGCTGCAGTTCCAAACCACGGCAATAAAGTGAGTATCACAATAAAGCAAGTCACATGCATCATTCTGGTTTCCTGGTGCTTTATAAAATTATGTTTACACTATACTGTAGTCTTATTAACTGTGAAATACCATTATGTCTTAAAAAATGCACATGCCTTAATTGAAAACTAATTTATTGCTAAAAAATGACGACCGTCTGCCCCTTCAGTGAGTCCAAATCTCTTGCTGCTGGAGGGTCTTACCTCAGTGCTGACAGCTGCTGACTGATCAGGGTGGTGGCAGCTGACGGCTGGGGTGGCTGTGGCAATTTTTAAAAATAGGACAGCAGCGAACTTTATCGTGTTGATCAACTCTTGCTTTCACGAGAGTGTGATGCCGATGGACAGCGTTTTACCCACAGCAGAGCTTTGTTCAGAATCAGTTAATCTGCTCACACCCTGCCGCTGCTTTATCAACTCGTTTACGGAATATTCTAAATTCTTTGTTTCATTTCAACAATCTTCACCGTGTCTTCATCAGGAGCAGATTTCATCTCAAGAAACCACTTTCTTTGCTCGTCCAGAAGCAGCAGCCCCTCGTCCGTCCAAGTTTCATCCTGAGATTGCAGCAGTTCAGTCCCATCTTCAGGCCCCGTCTAATCGTCTAATTCTAGTTCTCTTGCTATTTCCACCACGTCTGAAGTTATTTCCCCCACTAAAGCCTCAAACTCCCCAAAGTTATCCCTGAGGGCTGGAATCAACTTCTTCTAAACCCCTGTTAATGTTGATATTTTGACGTCCTCCCATAAATCATGAATGTTCCTAATGGCATGTAAAATGATGAATTCCTTTCAGAAGGTTTTCAATTGACTTTGCCTAGATTCATCAGAGGAATAAACTATAGCCTTAGAAAACGTATTTCTGAAATAATAAGACTTGAAAGTCAGAATCATTCTGGATCCTTGGGCTGCGGGGTGGATGTGGTGTCAGCAGCATGAAAACAACATTCCTCTCCTGTACGTCTCCATCAGAGCTCTTGGGTGACCATGAGCAGGAATTTTTCTGAAAAGAATCTCTCTTTCTGAGCAACAGGTCTCAAGAGTGGACTTAGAACATGCGGTAAGCCATGCTGTGGACAGAGGTGCTGTCATCCAGGCTTCGTTGTTCCGCGGATGGAGCACAGGCAGAGGAGATTTAGCATCATTCTTAAGGGCCCTGGGATTTTCAGAATGGCAAATGAGCACTGGCTTCAACATTAGCCCCTAGCAAGGGGGTCAGCCTGTCCTTTGAAGCTTTGAAGCCAGGCGCTGACTTCTCCTCTCCACCTATGAAAGTCCTAGACGGCATCTTCTTCCGATAGAAGGCTGTTTATCTGCATGTAAAATCTGTTGTTTAGTGCAGCCTCCTTCATCAGTGGTCTCAGCTGGGTCTTCTGGGGAACTTGCTGCAGCTTCTCCACCAGCAGCTGAGGCTTCACCTTCACTTTTATGTTACAGAAACGGCTTCTTTCCTTCAACCTCATGAATGAACTTCTGCTGGTTTCCAACCTTTCTTCTTTCTGAAGAAAGTGGAGAGAGGCAGCTTCCTCGCCTCTCCAGCCTTCATGGAGTTGAAGGGAGTTAAGGCCTCCATCTAGATGAGGCTGTGGCTTCAGGGAGTATCACGGCTGGTTTGATGTTCTATCTAAACCACTGAAATTTTCTCTGTATTAGCAATAAGGCTGTTTTACTTTCTTATCGTTTGTGTTCACTGGAGTCGCACTTTTAATCTCCTTCAAGAACTTGTCCTTTGCATTCACAATTAGGCTAACCATTTGGTGTAAGAAGCCTAGCTTTTGGCCTATCTCGGCTTCTGATGTGCCTTCCTCACCAAGCTTAATCATTTCTAGCTTTTGATTTAAAGTGAGGTACCTGGAACTCTTCCTTTCAGTGAAATGTGTAGAGGACATTGTAAGGTTATTAACTGGCCAGATTTTAATATTGTTCTGTCTGAAGGAATAGGGAGGCTGAGGACAGGAGAGAGACGGGAACGCCGGGTCAGGGGAGCTGTCAGAACACAATTAATTTTGGTGTCTCACGTGGGCAGTTACGGTGCTCCAAAACAATTGCAGTAGTAACATCAAAGATCACTGATGACAGATCACCATAGGTGATAAAAATGAAAAAGTTTGGACTGTGAGGATTACCAAAATGTGACACAGAGACACGAAGTGGGCAGGAGCTGTTGGGAAAACGGTGCCAACCGACTTGTTCAAGGCAGAGTTGCCACAAATTCAATTTGTGCAAAATGCAGTATCTTTGAGCACAATAAAGTCAAATGCAATAAGATGCCTGTGTATGGCAACCAGTTTGA